>NW_011332687.1:0-300000 GCF_000001405.40 Homo sapiens
CAGTTGTTGGGTTCTTATGAATGAGACTAAGACCTTGGAGTAGCTCGACATTAAACCAGGTGCAGGGGCAGAGGGGTGCTGTCATCGAAAGGTCTAAAACCCAATCTGAGTTATATGCATCCCAGAGCCAGGAAAGCTCTATAAGTTATATTGCAATGACATTCATTCATTCAACAATTACCTTCTGGGAACCAGGAACTGAGTGGACACTTCCTCAGCAACTTGGTCCTATCTTCTGATATTCGAAAGCCAGTCATCAAAAATCCAGAGATCAATGGGAAACAAAATTGCATTAATTCGAGAAAAAGCTATTCCTCTTGATTGGATTGGGTTTCAAGACAGGAACATATATCTTACATCTTGCCATTCCCCTGGTTCTCTCAGTAATCTTGGCCCATTCCCTTTTGTGTGTGTGTGCCAAAATATTTTTATAGACTTTATGTTTTTAGAACAGTTTTAAGTTGACAGAAAAATTGAGAAGATAATACAGAGGGTTCTCTTACCCCCTACACTCAATTTTCCTTATTATTATTATCTTACATTAGTATGGTACATTTGTTACACTTAATGAACTAATATTTATACATTATGATTAAAGTCCTTACTTTATCCAGATTTTTTAGTTTTCGCCGAATGTCTTTTTTTCTGTCCCAGGGATGCTACATTGCTGTCGTCCTGCCTCCTTAGACTCTTAGACTTGTCTTGACTGTGACAATTTCTCAGATTTTCCTTGTTTTTTTTGACCTTGACTGTTTGAAGGAGGACTGGTCAGGTATTTTGTAGAATGTCTCTCAATTGGGATTTGTGTGACGTTTTTGTCATGATTAGACTGAAGTTATGGGTTTTGGGGAGGACTATCGCAGAAGTAAGTTTCTATTTTCAAGACCTCATATCAAGGATACAAGCTATCAACTTGAGTGTGGATGATGACCTTAAGTTATCACTGTTGATGATCAAGTGACTAAGGTAGTGTTTGTCTGGACCCCCTGCAAATTCACTTTTTACATTTATGTAATTAACTATTAAAGAGAAAATAATTCTCACTACACATGATAACCTCGTCCTTTACAGAATCATAGGTCTAGAAGAGATTTTGACAGATTAGTTGGTCCAGTCTCTTGTCCCTGTATTCAAGCCACCCTGCACAGATGAGTTTGTGGTAGGCCTATTTTTAAAGATAGAAAGTGGCTGGGCATGGTAGCTCATGCCTGTAATCTTAACACTTTGGGAGGCTGAGGCAGGCAGATCACTCGAGCCCAGGAGTTTGAGACCAGTGTGGGCAACATAGTGAAACCCCGTCTCTACAAAAAATACAAAAATTGGCCGGGTGAGGTGGAGTGTAACTGTGGTCCTAGATACTCAGGAGACTGAAGCGGGAGGATGACCTGAGCCCAGGAGGTCAAGTCTGCGATGAGCTGTGATTGAGCCACTGCACTCCAGCCTGGGTGACAGTGAGACTCTGTCTCAAAATAATAATAATAAATATAGAAAGGGAAAGGGACTCCACAGTGAAAGAATTCTGAACTCTTGACAAATGAGGTTCTCTGGCTCAATCAATCAATAAATATGCAATGTAGAGTGTTGGAACCATATGCAAGCTGCTTAGATATATGTGTAACTCCAAGGCACTTATACCATCTTAAATCATTTCTGAAACAAGGTGGTGTATGAGTGAAGATACAAATAATTGAAAAAAAGGCAGTATAACACAGTGGGAATCAGTACGAAAAACAGTGCGGTTATAAACACAGTTTTTGGATTCATAATGTCTAAATTTACATTCCAGGTCCACTGAATGAAGGCATGCCACTTTAGATAAGTCACTAAGGCCTTTCTAAGCCTCAGTCTCCTTAGCTATAAAATGGGGATAATCGTACCCATTATTAAAAGTTGTGCAAGTCAAATAACATATCAAAAGCATCTGGCACATAGTAGGTCCTCAATACATTGTAGCTATTGTTATTAAACAGGGAATAATTATATGACCCTGTAATCATTATATTACATGGTATCATAATAGTTACATGGCACTGTAAATTAAATGGAGTGTGTTTTAGGAGGGCTTTCTGCTGAAGGAGTACACACTGTGGATCTTTCTCCTTAGTTTTCTTCCTGCTTCCCAGCTTCCTCCACTCCCTACTTTCTTCCTTGTTTGGTCTCGGATTTCATTACCTCCTCCCTGTTCTCTTAGTGGCTGATGCCTTCAAACCATTCCCCACTGCCAAGCCCTTTTGTTACACTGGCATTTGTCAAGCAGCTGAGTTTCTTAGTGACTGATAAGAACCACTTCTCCCCCAGGTAGTCAGGGAGAGGCAGCGAGCTGGCAAGAGTGGAGAAAATGTTTCTGTGTACAGGACTTGGATTCCTGCGTTTGTTTGTTTTGTTTTAAGTGGTTGCTTTGCTGATCCTATTACTGTAAAGGGTAATGATATTTGGGAATGAAAGTCTATGAATAAGTAATGATAATAGAAGTAAGACCCAGAACTGTGGGATAGAAAGCTGTGTTAAAAATAGTCTGTCATTTTCCACTCTGCCTACTAAGCCTTTTCCTAGACTGAAAGACACAGATCACGCTTCCACGAGCTGAGCCAACACAGCATGGCAGGAGTAAATCCACAACCCAAAGAAAACCGTACTCCTGAGCAAAGCAACTTTCTGCTGTGGTCAAAGCTCATCCACTGGGTTTCTCTGATGGAGGCAATGAAACTTTTCCCCTCAAAGCCTGGTAACCTGAGTTAAAAATGTAAAATGTATTGATTTGAGAGTGGAAACTACAAAATGAGAACACGTTAGGCTTTGCTCTGAGAACTTTATGGTTCTTGAGACAGTTATTCTTAGTTATTTGATTCAATTAAAATGCAGATGTAAGCAAGGTGAACCATAAGGAAATATGATAAGAGACTTTAGCTCAGGATGAAAGTGTAAACCATAGCATCAGAGGCATCATGCATACCATTATCTAGAAGGCTGGTCAAACTGAGGTCCTGCAGCAGCCTCAGCACAAATGGCTGCCAAACCTCGATTCTAGTGAACTAAGAGAAAACAGACAGTGAGGCAAGCAAGGACTTTGTACTCAGAATATTCTGCAGTTCAGGAAGTCCAGATCCTAGGAGTGCAAGCCAAGACATTACAACCGATGTGAGGAATTGCTCTGGTGCCAATCGTGGCCTCAGATTTATCGCTTTAATGGCTAAGGTCACAGGCTAAGGCATTCTCCAGATTCTGCTGTTGAATACAGACACTACCGCCCCTCCTGTCTCCCCACCATCAAACACAAGGAGTCTGGTAGGGCAGAACTGCACAAATGGGAAACACCCATCAAATGCAGCAGGAATATTAACTTCACTAGGAAGCCTTTGTATGCCATTACTTTAGAAAGGATTCCTTGTTAGTCCTACCATTAAACAATTAAATTGTCAGAGATGAATTCTGTGCATGTGTGTGCAGAGCTTGCCTGTGTGTGCAGGATGTGTAATTTCCCACTCAGGTGATGTCTGCTGCAGGTTGTCTTTCTCTCTCTTTCTCTCTCTCTCTCTCTCTCTCTCTGTCCCTTTCCCACCCCAATTGTGTGCTTTTCCCTTTACATTGTTGAAAATAAATACATCTTCCTGATGGTATAAGCTTTTATTATGAACTTTGATATGCCTACACATTCTATACTACACAGAAAGTAGTAATATAAAATGAAATGTTCAAAAATTAATTTGTCTCCAGGTATTTCTCTGCCAGAACATGATTCCTTAGTTCCCCTCTCCTGACACTAGTTATTGATACAGTCGGTTTACTCTACATGCATTCTAAACATGGATGTTATATCAAAAAACTCTAAACCAAGTCAAGGCTAATGCCTACAAACAGGAAGAATGATGAGCAAATGCTGTGTCCCTTATATTTTCATCCTAATTAGGAATTTATGCCTTCATAATACTGGCTTACTTATTCTAGTTCTCTATTGTAAAATGTCTGACCTAGGAAAATCAATGCTTGTGACAAGTACACATATTTCACTTAAACCCAGTAATAATTATTTTAGTCAAGAAAAAGCACACTACCTAAAATAAATTTAATTATATTTAATTCATATAATTAGGGCCACACTTAAATCTCTATACTTTCTTATATAGCTCACATTTTTACTTAATTGGAATATATTCTTGCCCTCGTCAATTACCAAAACTTTTCTTTGAGGTTTCATAATCTTTTAAAAATGCTAAAAACAAAATAGACTAGCTATACACTAAGATGAAAAGACTTTTAGAAATTCCATATGTATAAAGTGAAGGGGCCAGGTGCAGTGGCTCACATCTGTAATCCCAATTCTTTGGGAGTCCAAGAGGGTAGGATTACTTGAGGCCAGGAGTTTAAGGTTACAATGAGCTGTGATCCCACAGTTACATTCCAGCCCAGGTGACAGAGTGAGACCCTGTCTCTAAAAAAATTAAAATAATTAATAACTAATAATTTAAAAAAATAAGGTGAAGAGTAAGCTTAAGAAAATACTCCAATATCTGCAAATCCTCCAGCTCCTAAGAAAACCATGTTGGATTAATTCTCTATGTGCCGGTGCAACTATTAGTCACTTAATAAATGCTCCTTGATTGTGATGACATCGCAGCATCACGAATATATCCCGTGAACGAATATTAAGCCTCATAAAATGTTTAGCCTATCTTTTTTATAACAATGTACAGAAGGGGCAAATAGAGAAGGAAAGGAGTCTTGAAATCAGATTATGAGTAGCTTCAGTTTCTCTCCAGACTGCCTGTTTTTTGGATCTCGTTTTCTTTGGCTTATGATACGGTTTGAATATGCCCCCTCTGAATCTTATGATGAAATGCGACTCTCAATGTTGGGAGTGGGGCAGATTCCTCACTAATGACTTGGTGCCATCCTCATGGTAAAGAGTGAGTTCTCAGTCTGTGAATTCATGTGAGAGCTAGTTATTTACAAGAGCCTGGCACCCCTCCCCTCTCTCGTTTCCTTTCTCTCTATGTGATACAGTTTCCTCCTTTGCCTTCTACCATGATTGTAAGCTCCCTGAGGCCCTCACCAGAAGCAGATGTTGGCACCATGCTTCTTGTATAGCCTGCAGAACTGTGAGCCAAATAAACCTCTCTTCTTCATAAGTTTACCCAGCCACAGGTATCCTTTCATAGCAACACAAACAGACAAACACAGCTTATATCTGTTAGATGTTAGAATGACATCTCTTTACAAATAATTGGTATGGGCCAGGTGTGGTGGCTCATACCTGTAATCCCAGCACTTTGGACCAGCACTTTGGGAGCGGGAGGATCACTGGAAGCCAGGAGTTTGAGACCAGCCTGGGAAACCAAGCAAGACCTCCATCTTTACAAAAAATAAAAAAATAGCCAGGAGTTGTGGTGTGTGTGTGTGTAGTCCCAGCTACTCAGGAGGCTGAGGTGGGAGGATTGCTTGAGCCAAGGAGTTCAAAGCTGCAGTGAGTTTTGCTCACTCTATTGCACTCCAACCTGGGCAATAGAGTGACACCCTATTTCTATTTTTTTTCAATTAAAAAAGGATTGATATGTTTACTGAAACCACTCCTATCTATTTACTGATATAGGTTTTCCAAAATATTACCTTGAGCAAGGGACTCTCTCTCTATACATATGCATACATATATAAATATATAGTGACTTCCATTCAGAAATAATACTCATTAGCTTGTATTACGTCTGAAATCATGTCATTAGTTATTAATTGCTTTGATTAAAGTTTTTGTAGCATTATGAGACTCCTATTAAAATACAAATGTCCCTGAGAGAGATAACACTCCAAGCTCACTGTCAGTGATTTACAACTTTTCAGGAATTATTGCAGGATTATTTATGAAATATCAAATCTCTTTCCATCTGTGATGGCAAATAAGTAAATTCAGCCACATGAGGAAGTCCAGCACATAACTACTTCTGTGTCATGATATCAGGGCAGTTAGAAGGGACTGCCTGCTACCCAAACTCCACCATCCCTTCTCAAATTTTTTATTTTAAATTTTAGCCAAAAGGGTCTTTGTATACTATTAAACACAGATATTCCTGAAACAAGTCACACATTAAGCCCAAAATGTTATTTTTTTCATCTCTGAGCAAATGTATTTATCAGATTCTTGAAGATGCTGACTGAAACCCTTTACTGTTTAATTCTCTGAAATGTCTTCAGTAATTTTATGAAGTCCTAAAACTTCAACCTTTATGTTTATTGAAATAATCACAATTTTTTGTAATTTGCTCTCATATTATGTCCACACCTAGACTGGAATATTCAGCTAACTAGTGGACATCCCTGTCTACACTTCATACTCAAAATACCCAGAACCAACACATGCTATTCTCTTCATACCTGCTTCTCATTTGTTACAGGTTTCCTTAGCCACACAGTAGTAGTAACGTCACTCAAGTAGTAATGTCGGAGTCATCTTTCCTTCTTCTCTTCCCCACAGTCAGTGATTACATCCTGAGGATTCCAACTCAGTGATACCTTGCACTTGAAGGGGCTCTCATTCAGAGGCCCCCTATCTCATGCAGACCTTCACTTTTCCTCCCTAGACTGCCAAAAGAGCTTCTTACTCACAATTCCCAGCACCGCTCCCCACTGCACGTTACTCTTCCTAAAGCTTAGCTTCAATCATATCATTCTCCAGTTTGAAAACTGTAATGTTTCCCATTGCTTATTAAATTCAGATCAAACTCATCTTGCTTTTCAGTGTATATTATGATACACTGAATTATGTATATTCGTAATACAATATTAATAGCATAATATATTATCATACACTGTATTATGTAATATACACTGTATTATCATACACAATATTATGATACACTATATTATGATACACTTTTACTTTCATGTACCCACTAGTAAAACCGGAACACTCACTCCTCTCAAAGATTCCCTTTGCTTTCCAGCCTACGTGCCTTTCCTCAAATTGTTTCCTCCACATTTCACTCATTCCCCATTTCCAGCCATTGAGAGCTACCTATCTTCAAGGTCAACTTCAGGTTTTACTTTCTTCACTACGTCTTTCTGGCTTTCCCAGCTGGATGTGATCGTCTCATCGTGGAACTCCCATGGCCACTGCTGTGCCCCGACTTACTAAATAGTGCCATCATGCCTATGCTTGCCTTATGCTACTCACTGTATTGACAATCCATAAGTCTAGGAATAGTGTCTTATTAATCTCTACTTCACCTGCAGTGCCTAGATCTATTCTTGCATGTAAAATGCACTTAATTATTGAAGTATTTTTGAATGAGTTTTGAAGGAGGATAAGAAAGAAAGTGGAGGAACTCTGAAAGGGTAGCTATGCCAAGAAATGATATCCTAGGCTCCTGGAGAGCAATTTTACACACTTTATTATCTTGTATAAGACTGTAGCTTAGCACAAGCATCTTGGCAATGAAGAAAATCTGTGTTGGGGGCAAGGCAGGCTGGTCCAGAGCACCAGCATCCACATGGATAAAATCTAGTACTGGGACTCTCAGGCAGGGAGGGCAGCATGAAACCACTGGGTCCCGGGAATCTTGGTAGTATCTTCAGGTCCTGGAAAGCTGCAGGGCAGATGGCAGCTCTAGGCCAGAGGATTCTGGGAGGCAAATGAGGTAATAAAACTAACTGCCTGTTTATCCATTCTACATCCACTAGATTAGACTAGCACTATTTTAGCCTTGTTTGGGTTCTGTATATACGTGAAACTGTCAGTCAGTTGTTCAAACAATCATTATATATTTATTGAGTGCTTTCAGTATGCCAAGTACTTGTACTGTGCTAGGTGCTGAAGATACGGGGGCTA
Organism: Homo sapiens; assembly: GCF_000001405.40. Lineage (NCBI taxonomy): Eukaryota > Metazoa > Chordata > Mammalia > Primates > Hominidae > Homo > Homo sapiens. Next base: position 7,817 of record NW_011332687.1, read on the forward strand.
ACAAAAAAGACAAAAATCCCTCCCCTTATGGACATTACTTTCTAGTGGAAGAAGAGAAGTGATACATTGAACACATGCATAACAGATTAGAAGGTGATCTTTATTTTATCCTCTGGATGAAAATCAAGCAGGCTATAAAGGTGAAGTGTTAGAATTTCAAGCATAGTGGTCAGGGCTTATTAAAAAGATGATACTTGAGCTGGGATGTGGAAGAGGTGGACATGTATCTGTGCAGCTATCTGAGGAAAGAGCACAAAAGGAAGAGGGAATAGCCAGTGCAAATGTCCTGAGGACAGCAAAGCTGGCTGTTAGAGGAACAGAAAGGAGGCCAGAGTGGCTGGAGTTGTTGGAGGCAGAGTGAGATCAGAGAAATAAAGAGAGACTTCTAGTCTTTGCAGGCTATTACAAGAACATGGCTTTTATTTTGAATGGGGAGCTCTAGGAAGAGCCTTGGCAAAAATTGACACCATTGCTGTTGACCCGAGATTGAACTAGAAAGAGGGCCAAAGATGTAAGCAGGAAGACCAGTTAGGAGGCCATTGTCATATCCTAGGCAGAAGATCATGATGAAAGCGTGGACCAGAATGGTGGTGGTAGAGATAATGAGAAGTGATCAGAGTCAAGAAATTTTTTTTTTTTTTTTTGAGATGGAGTCTCACTCTGTCACCCATGCTGGAGTGCAGTGGTGCGATCTTGGCTCACTGCAACTTCCGCCTCCCAGGTTCAAGAGATTCTCCTGACTCAGCCTCCCAAGTAGCTGGGACAACGGGTGCATGCCACCATGCCTGACTACTTTTTTTTTTGTACTTTTAATAGAGAGGGGGTTTCATGATGTTAGCCAGGATGGTCTCAATCTCCTGACCTCGTGATTCACCCCCCTCGGTCTCCCAAAGTGCTGGGATTACAGGCATGAGCAACCGCGCCTGGCCGAGTCAAGAAAAAATTTAAAGGTAGCCTCTCAAGGACTTTCTGATATATTAGATAAAGGAGATGAAGTAAAAAAAATCAATGATGACTCTAAGGAGTTTTGTCAGAGCAAGTAGAAAAATACTGTTGTTTATTGAAGGAGACTATTAAAGGTGGCATAGGTTGGGAAAGCAGAGATAATAGGGGTTGAGTTTTGGGTCTGTAAAGCTTGTGATACCCATTAGGCATCTACACAGAGTCTGGAAGTCAGAAGAGAGTCTTGGCTACAGATATGAATTTGGGAGTCATCAGAATATAGAGAGTTTTGAAGGGAAGAGACTAGATGAGATCCACAAGAGAGTGACTGTAGAGAAGAGACAAGGTGCAAGGACTGAGCTTGAGGCAACCCAACATCCAGAGGTCCTAGATAAGAGGGGGAACCAGCAAAGGAGACTGAGAGGAACAACCAGTGAGGCAGGAGGCAAATCAGGTGGATGTGTTGTCCCAGGAGCCAAGATAAAGGCGTTTAAAGGAGGAGGGAGTGGGCAACTGGGTCAAATGCTGCTTAAGGGTCAAGTTAGATGCAAAATGGCCTTTGGATTTAACAACGTGGAGGTCAGTGGTGACATTGACCAGAACAGTTTCAATGGAGTGATCGGATAAGAAAGCCTCAGTGGAAAAGGTTTGAGAATAGAAGAGGAATTGGGTGCAGATGCTTCTTTTTGCCATTAAAAAAATGTTTTTTTTTTTTTTATTGTTGCTGTTTGTTTTTTTGATGGATTCTTGCTCTGTTGCACCCAGGCTGGAGTGCAGTGGTGCGATCTTGGCTCACTGCAACCTCTGCCTCCTGGGTTCAAGCTATTCTCCTGCCTCAGCCTCCTGAGTAGCTGGATTACAGGCGCCTGCCACCATGCTCAGCTAATTTTTTGTATTTTTAGTAGAGGCGGGGTTTCGCCGTGTTGGTCAGGCTGGTCTCAAACTCCTGACCTCAGGTGATCCACCCGCCTTGGCCTCCCAAAGTGCTGGGATTATAGGCGTGAGCCACCGTACCCAGCCAAAAATGGTCTATTTTTTTAAGCCAGTAATTTTAACTTTCAATTAATCCAAGTGGGTATTGTGTCCACAACAATCTGAATAAGTCAAATTTTACTTGTGAAATCCCCCTATCAGACAAATGACAAAAAGGTTTTGTGAAATGGGTTTCAGCAATTTTAAGTCTGAAAGTCTCTTTGTTAAACAAAGGAAAACAACCACTGCCTTCAGTAAATTTGCAGCTCAAAGTATTATAAGTTTTATAATCAAACTTCTATTTGGAGCTTCTCACACACACACACACATACACACACACACACACCCCAAAATGATGACATCATAGTTGTCAATTAAATATTGTACCTCATTATAAATAACAATTACTCATTCCAAATTTTTCATTATTGATTTATAGTTGGTTCTTTTTTCATGCCATAGCTACCACATAGTCACCTTAAATTTGTAATGAGGTTTCTCATTCCATAGACATTTGTCTGCCTCTTGTACTTGTAGACACAGGTTCATGTTGTCAACAGTTGGGTATTGAATCTCAAAAAACATTAAGCTTAGGATTAAAGGTAGGGCAGGGAAAGCTGTCAGTAAAACATGCTAACCTAATGTATCTGATGAGGACAGGGTCTAGTTCATACTCAGAACTGCAAGGATGCTGTGAAGTACAATGATTTGATACTTGTGATACCATTTTGTTGTAACATTAAAGCCAAGAGTCTTCTCCACCCAAGGGCAATGCCAGTTTCCCAGAAGGCTCATTTCTCCGAGCCAAAGCTCCAAAGATGCCAGTGCACCCATGCTGATAACTTAGTCTCATGTTATTTCTCAATTTTATGCTTAATTTGCTCCTTTTGATTTTATGTATTTTCACACAGCCAAGTGTACATGGGGATTTACCCATAGTCCTTTAAATGCCATAAAACTTTAATATAGGGAGATAAAAACCATAATAAGCCATGCCTCCAAACCCTCACATTTAGTTCTTTTGAGTTTGACAATAACCAGTTTTAGATTATTTGGAAATTTGGATTTCTACGTACTTGCACTGCTTTAAATGCCCTTGTGCCTTTCCTAACCCTCCTCTCCCACCCAGATGAAAATTATACTCTACTCTTAACCTGGACATGCAACTTCCATTGACTGCACAAAATGGCATCTTTACAATTCTTAAATTATCATCATAATGGCCCACATCATGCATGAGCCAATGCAATTTAATATGGTTCAGAATAAAGCCAAGATGGATGCCCAATTCCCAATTTTAGGCATGCAACCCTGGAATGTCTTTTGGAAAAAATGAAATAATGCTCTTGGTAGGCTGTTGGGTTCATCTGTTTTAAGCATAATTGCCATCTCTCAGCTTCCTAATACCCTTAAAACCTCTGAGAGTCTTTAATGTACAAAGTTCAACAAAAACACCTTCAAAACAAATTAGTTCTAATTATGTTTAATATTGGTTTGCTGCTTTATTGAATAATCTACATTTGCTTTTAAAAAAAGGAAATTCACTTAACTGCATGTCAGTCACCCAAGTTTTAAGTGTACAAATGAAATGGAAAACATTTATTACACAAATTTAATTACAATTCTAAGAAATAAACATGCAAATTAGATAGAGTTCAATTTGCAGATGCTAATCCTCATCCTTGATCTTGTTCCTTCCTCCCTTGATTTTCAGTCTGTGCGTCTTCTTGATTCCTAGGGAGCCAGGCAGCCAGAGGTCTGGTTTTTCACAGTCGGAGGATCACTGTTTTAAAGAAGTGTTATATTTAGCACATCTGGTATAGTGGCAGTAAACAAACATTATAGTCTTTGTAACACTTTTGTGCAGGTGCCTTCTCCCGATTTTATTAGGTCTATGCCTTCCAAGCCTCTGCCTTCATTACACCTGAAATGACCCATCTCGACTATGGAGGGGTCCCTAGACAGAAGTTATGAATTAATGATTTTAAAAAATAAACTCTGAGGCCACTATAGGAGAAAATTACTATTTGCAAAATATTCTGATTCCAAGGCTTAAATTACATTCTCTTGAGCAAGGACAATCTCTTGTATTACTTTTTATTTCCTGGAGGTTTTCCCTGGAGGCTCCCCACCCAGAAAGGGTTGCCAATTCAAGTTGCAGCAGGACCAAGGTTGCTTTTTTTTTTTTTTTTAATACGTACGCAGCTCAGGAGGGAAACGGGCGGGGGCGGGCGGCGAGGGAGAATAACTGTTTGGTCCTGCAAAGACATCTGTTTCTCATCTCCGTTTGCTGTGGCAAAGGAGAAGAAAGTCTTTTGCAAAGGGTGGGAAAGGCACAGATTTTTTTTTTAATCACACGCACACACAACAACAACAAAACTAAACCAAATTTAAAAAGACAAGATATCTCGGAAGGTTCCAGAGTGAATACATTATTCGGCTGGAGCCAAGCCCCCAGGGCTAGGGCGGGAGCCCGAGAGCGCGTGGGGTCTGGGCTGCGGGCTGGAGCTGGGCCCGCGTGTCCCCGGGCACCGGGAGGGGAGGGGAGGAAAAGGAGGAGGGAGGGCGGGAAGCAGGGAAGGAGGCAGGGGGCGGGCTGGGGTGGGGGTGCGGGAAAGGCGCCCCGTGTGCAGCCTGAGGAGCGGCGGCGGCGGCCTGAGCAGAGGGAGGGAGGGAGAGCGGGCGCGCTTGTCATGTTCCCTCTCTCACCCTGGGGGCATCCTGCAGAACCTCTCCTCGGAAATCCACGGGGAAATGGCAAACAGGATTGACGGGTTTCACACGCTCCTCGCTAGACAGAGCCGCTCATTACCATAACCGTCTGCAGCGACGGCGGCGCAGCGCCCCAGTCGCGGCGGCGGGACCTGCCGGGACCCTTGCCCGCCGCGCACCCGCAGTCACCGCCGAGCGGGCGGCCGGGCCGGGACCCGCGAGTGTGCACCGGCGGCCGGGCTGGCGCCGAGCCCAGAGCGGACCAGCAGCAGCTCAAGCGCTGCGGCCGCCGCCTCCCCGCTGACCCCGCGGTAAGAGCCGGGCTGGGCGCGGGCCGCGGGGGCGGGAGGGCCGGGCAGGGTGGAGGGCGAGGGCCCCCCGGGGCTCCTGCCCTCGCAGACGGGCACCCACGCGGCCTCCCGCGCGCCCTCTTGGCACCAGGGCTGTGCCGAGGTCACCGAGTGGACTCGCAGCGGCCGGAGCGGAGTCGGGGCGGCGTGGGGGCCAAGGCACAGCTGGGCGCGGAGGCGGCGCGGGCTTTTCCCTGGGCTAGCGTGCGCCGCGGCGCCTTCACCAGGGCGGGAACCGCCGCCTCCTCTAGGGCTGCTCGGGCTGCCACCCGCGCGCACCGAGACAACTCCAGGGGCGGGTGGGGTCAGAAGCTCTGGTGAGACCTCATGGTCCTCCGTGGCCGCTTAGTCCCTCATCGTAGGGGAAGGGGTTAAGTAGGAGGGGTGCCCCCAGGTCCGGATGCCGCGGCGCTTGGCAGGTGGGGAGAGAGGGATTGTGGATGTCAGGAGCGCGCGTTTGCAAGAAAAAGGAATTGATGCAGTAGCTGACACCTTCTGTCCCCCGCCACCTCCGCCCCCGCACCCTCCTCCCAGGCAGCAGAGCTGCGCTGCGGGCGGCGGCGGCTCCTCTGTCCTCAGCTCACCTCCTCGGCGGGCTGAGGCTGCTGCCCGCCTGGTCCACGCCTCCGCCTCTCGCTTCCCTTCCTCCCCTCCCGCCTCTTCGGCCCTAGCAACTTTCCGAGTGCCCAGCTGTGGTCGCAGAAGCAGGGAATAGGCGTCCTCGCCGCCAGGTCCCACGGGCGCAGGGCGCTCCCGCAACCGCGGGCTTCCAGCGGGTTTGGCCGGCAAGGGAGGGAGGGAAGGCCGGGCCGACATCTGCTGCGGGCTGGAGCGCGGGGGCCCGGGCCAGCCCCGCCAGAGCCCTGCCAGCCGCTGTGAGTCATTTCCTTGGAATCCTACCTTTGGTGTTTATTTCCCTTAGAAGGAAACTTGGTTTTTTTTTTAAAAAAAAAAAAGGATAAGACATAAAGAATAATAATAGCTCTTATTCTTCAGAAGAGGCACACGGCTGCGGCACCGTAGAAAGACAACTTGCCTTTGTTCCCGGACACTTGGGGTGTTGTTTACTTTCTCCTGCGGCCAGCGGCCGACCGGGCGCTGCTGGCTACCCGGGGAGGGGCTGAGGGCTGCGGCACCGACACCCCGGGGGTGTGTCTGTGCGGGAGCCAGGATGTGGTTGGTGGCTGCCGCCCGCCTTCAAGAGGTCGGCCCTCCAAACCTCGGACCCCACCCCCGCAACCGCCACACACACACACACCTTGGGCACCAGGGCTCGGGCATCGGAGCACCCCTTCGTGCTCTTTAGGCCCAGCACCTGCAGCCCCAACCACAGGACCCAGCTTCAAGCTCTTGGCCTCGCGGGGCTGCAGCTGAGAAATGTACTTCCCAGGGCAGACAGGTGTACTGCAGGAACGGCAGAAAAGCGACATCTGTTTGTTTAGAAGGGTTGAAGAATTTTGTTCCGCCCATCCAGTCCCTTCCACTACCACCACCAGGAGCCGGACAAGCTATTGAGATCATTTTGGGACAATGTGGAGGTCAGGGGCTTGATGCCATTTAAAACTGGCAGCATCGATCGGGGGTGGAAATAGCCCTTTACTTCCCTGCTTTCCAGTGCTGGAATCAGACTGCTAACTGCTATAATGATCTTAATCAAATGCTCTCCAATTTTCAATGACAGATGGAAGAAGAAGTGAGCAAAGAATGACCTGGAGCCCCTTGTTAGATTCAAGGTGCCGCTGAATTCATAGCTACCCTGTTTTGTGTGCCAGCCACTCCTATTAGCATCATAATTGCTTCTAGGAAAGAACAAGCCCAACTCATCTGGAAAAAAACAAATTGTATAGAAATGCCTGGTAACTTTACTACGAACATTTGCTGGAAAAGCTTGGCATTCTAGCCCTCAGTCTTCTGGGGATGCTGGAAGTGTCATTCCACTACATCCACCTGGGTGTCAAAACAGACATTCAGGAGCCTGAGGATGAAGGGTTAGGGCTTTTTTTTTTCTTATCTTTTAAACCCATGCATAGACAAAACACACTCTAACACCCTCCTGTTGAATCCATCACCTCTGATCTTAGAAAATAAATTTTGCCATAATGTATATCCTTTTCTTTATTTAATATTAATAGAACACGAATTTGTGGACTTGAATTGCTGACGTCAGTAGCAGAATTATAAATCTTATCAGACAGAGAATTATGACAGTTTAGATCTCTACATATAATACGAAGAAAGATTCACGTTAAGCATTTGTGCTTAACGCTGCCCTGTCCAATTTTTCGTGAACATTCAACTTGCCTTCTTAATTTGTTAACATCCAGTGTAAGTTTTAAATAGACTAGGAAGACTCAATTGCAAAATCTCCTCCCCGCTCCCAAATAATCCCAACTCATTCATGTTTTATTCAGATTTACATAAATCACTTGCAGAACTCAGCCTCTCTAGTTTAGGGTTTTGTGTGTAACAGTTCTCAATTTAAAAAAGAAAAACTTAGTAAAATTAGATATTGTGAACAAAATAATAGCCAAGATAAATACTGTTATGCCATGTTTCAAGTTCACGTGCATAATAGGATATGCTGGAAATAATGCTAACAAATAGAAACGCTGAAATTCCTCACAACCAAAAAAGGTACTACCAAAAAGTTATTAAAATATAAACAAACTCTGACAAACATAAAACAGCACAGGGCCCATATAATGTCCTGTTAAACAAAAGTAATTGCTGCCAGGAGCCTGCAAATGTTTTTCTTTCTTAAGGGGCATGAGTTTGACAACCTGCTTTTGTTTACATGAAATAAAAGTCTGCATAGGCAAAAGGCTTGCATCTTATTCCCATGATCTAACACAAAAGTGAGTGTAAACTTCAAACTAGAAAATGTTGATTCTCTCAATAAGAAAGGGCTGCTGACTGTTGAAAAGCTGTAATTCATGTGCTCTTGGCAATAGTATTTCCTGATATGATTGTCTCTTAGAATAGGTGAAGAAACTGGACAATTTCATGAGAGTCTTCCAGGGAATAAATCATCATGAAGTTTGATACCCTACTTGGATGAGGAGTTTGAGAAATGATAGACAGAAGGACTTAATTTGTTAAATCAATGTAGGCTAAATTTCTTTGTTGATGACTCAAAGAGAAAAATAAATGACATGTCCCATCGTTTCTTTGTAAAGATTTAATCGAACCTTTCTTTTGCCCACTTGTTTTAAGGTTTACTAATAAGTCCGTACTGATGTCTCTTTGGAGGGCATCTTAAAAGAGAACGGGGAGGTGTTGTAGCAGCCCAAACCAGCTGAGTCCTAATTCTCTCCACTGACCTGTACACCTTCCCTGTCTGTCAAAAGATCTTGCTTCATTATTCAGTGTGGTTGGGACAGAATTTGAGACCTCAGAGAGAAGACTGGGTGAAAGGTAGAGTCATTGCTGCCAAGAGCTGCTCTTTTAGCCAGAAGGACATTGTCACTTTAATGATGCTATTTCGCCTTACCCTGGTGTTTTTCCTCTTTTTCCTTGGAAGTGGACCCTTGTTATAGCATGTAGGTAATAATAGTCTCCCACGAGACAATGGTAGATTCACTCTTTCCCAGAAACATTACAAGCTGTATAATTTGGAAAAGAAAGCAAGAACTGGGCCCTTAGTTTATGTTTGAAAGACAATCAATCTTCAGAAAGCCTGACGTCACTTGTGTGACAGTTCTTGAAACCACAGAATGAGATAGTGGGGGCTTGAGTCTCCTAAAGGGATTGGCAGTTAAGGAGGCACTGAGGTTGCGCTACTGTCACCACTGGTCTATGGCTGCTAGGTCTTTTTACCTTCATATCAGACTCTCCTCTCCCTTGAACTTACTCTTGACCCTACCTCGAGACCTGCAAAGGGCCAAGTGAAGACACAGAGCCCCCATGAAAGCGGCCTCACTGCCTGAGCTATCGAGGGGCCCAGGAAGCCTCACAGAGCAGAGAAGCTCCCATCTCCCTGCAGGCCCAAGGGAGAAGGGCGTGAACTGGAGAGAAGGGCAGTGATGTGTTGCCTCTTGGAAAGTTCCTGCTCTGTGTCTGGGCTTTGCAGTGTAAAGAGTTGTTGGCTGCCTCTGGCCCCAGAGCCTGGCTCCTGTTTAATATTCTGCCTGCTCCGTTGATGTTGTGCTTGGCTCCTGTGGGACTGCAACTCACGGCTTGAAACTGGAGCCAATTTTCTGTCTTCATCTCGCAGTGTTTTGACTGGAGGCAGATCCAGTTCAGGCCGATCAGGGCTGGTGGAAACAACTACCAAGTGTCTCTCTGTCTGCTTTGCTTTGGGAGAAGAAAGTGGAGGGAGCCCCAGCATGTTGTAGAGGAACTGGCCTGCGGAAACGAGAGGAGGAGGGTGCAGGGGGCAGCGGAACAGACTGAACCTCAGAGCATCAGTTGGAATTACGGTGGATATTTCTGCTTCCCCTGCCCTTTTCTTTTGATTGATTAGTGGATTTCATCAAAGGAGACTCCCGGGGGATTGACTAGAAAATTGATTTTGCCTTATTAATAGAAAGGAAGCGCAAGGGTTTTGGCTTCTTAGCAGTACATTTTCTTTGGAAGGTCAGGAGGAAAATGTGTTTAGGAGGCAAAGCAGCTGTCTAGAAGAGGGCTGAAGGGAATCTGAGAACAATAAGAAATGGGGTTTTAAAGATCCGCCCATGAAATGCAGATTGCTGAACACAGAGGCTGAGCTAATAGCAGCTAGAGAGTTTGCTGAGGTTTTCTTTGAAAAAATAATAAAATGTTTCAGGGTAAAGGGGAGGGCCGAGAAGTAAAAGTTTCCCAAAGCAAAGAAATGAAGATGCCAAGGCCGTCCCTTGGCTTGCTCTTGATTAGGGCTGTTTTCTTCATTCTTGTTTTTTTTTTTTTTCTTTTCAGATCTGAGGCTGTCAGAGATGACTCTGGTTCTGTCCATGAATAGATTCTGCGAGCCCATTGTCTCGGAAGGAGCTGCTGAAATTGCTGGGTACCAAACACTATGGGAGGCTGACAGCTACGGAGGCCCAAGCCCCCCAGGGCCAGCACAAGCTCCTTTGCAGGGAGACCGGGGAGCTGGTCCCCCACTGGCAGGTATTGCCCTTGACCTGCGCCCATCCCCCCCACCCCTCGCTGCCCTTTGCAGCCAGCCTGGTGGACAGGAGGTGGTGTCTGGGGTGCCCCTCTGAGCCAGGAGAGCTAAAGCTCCAGGGACTTCCCGGGCTGCCTGTGCGCCTCTCATAAGTGAGTCCAGAGCTCCAGAGAGAGGACCAGAGGTGATATTTAAATTGCATTCAAACCTGTGTCTACCCATGCTGCTTTTTGAATATAAGTCATGTGTCTGTATTTTTAAGAGGGCCAAACCAGATATTGAAACTCTGAGTTTGGGTTTTGGTTTTCTACCCTGTGGAACTGTATGGTTCTCTCACAACTATGAAAGCTCTGGTGGGCTCAACAATGACACCTTTATCCCATGAGATATAAAGGAATCTGCACTTTGGGCCAGCAGCTATGAGCTTCTTTTCTTTGTTAACCCATTTATGCCCAGTGTTCCATTATTGGAACGCTAAGCTTGTGGAAGTTATTTATATCCTACTGCTCAAGGTCATCACCAAGGTCTGACTTTTCAAACACAAAAAAATTTGCAACCTATGGCATAAATGGGTAAAGCACACAATTGGTTTTAGGATTGTAGGAAAAAAATTTAAAGCCAAGAAAATAGAAGTATGTTCTTCCTGATTCTTTCTTCTTATAGTTTAAGTTCCTTTGGATTTTTTTGCAGTATTAGCTATTTTTAAAAGAAACTAAAATATAAAACAAGTACTCAATGAAGTCTGTTTTGCTAAAAAAGATTAAAAACTGTGGTCTTCATGGTTGGCATACTACATTTTGGAGAGTGAAAAGGACATTAGTTACCCAAAATTTTAACTCAAATTTTAAAAATTTGAATTTTGTATTTTGAAAAAAAGGAATGCTATAATCCCAATGTGCAGATAACCATTTGTTCACTAACCTAAAGCCAATAAGATTTCAAAGTTGTTTGGTTATCAGTGGTTACAGTTAAAGATGTATACATCTTTAACAGTGGTGCTATGTTGTCATGAATTTAATTAAACAATTTAAATAAATACTAATATATTTTAGAGAAATTACACTCCTCCCCTTTATGAATGTTGCAGTTTCCTTTTGCATAGAATTAAGATTCTGCATATTTATTAAATGCTAAAATATGTGATTTTCCTCTATAATTGCCTAGAAATCTTTTCCTAGCCTGGGTCACAGGATTCCATATGATAGCAACTATTAAGACAAATGTTTATTTTTAATCACCACATGTACAGACAAATATGTAGCCAAGTTATCCTCTAGAAGGAAAGGAAACGAAAGTATTTTGTTTGGAGAACCTCTGGCAAACCGCATGTCATTTGTCATATCTGATTTATTACCACAGGATCACATTACAGGGGAATTTCAAATCCTATAACAACATCCAAGATCACATACTTTAAGAGGAAGTATGTGGAAGAAGAGGATTTTCACCCACCACTCAGCAGCTGTAGCCATAAAGTATGTTTTTTTAATAGTCATTATTTTTATTAAGAGTTTAAGATACTTAGTAACAGTTGCTTGATCCACTTCCAGGAATTAAATTGTTTCACCCAAGCAATGAAAATGAGCCACTTCTCAGTGGAGCCTCATTAATCGTTGTCGCTTTTTTGGGTCCTGTGTTATTTTTCACAAGTACTTGAAGAAAAAGCTGGCAAGAGCTATTCTACCCAGAAATGTCAAAATTATGTAATCCAAGGAATTTTTTTTAACGTATGATTTAATATTTCTCAGACTGTGTTTTGGGTTATGGTTCTTCCACACTTTTGTGTGTGGGGAATGCGCTCGTTCTTTCCTGTCATGTTCTCCCCAGTCTGAGTTCTGGCTCCTGCAGCCAATGCTACTTCCCTGTGTGTCCACATGGGGGTGGTTACACAGGGCTTTTCCTGACCTCTTATGGGTAGACTCATCATCCTTGAATGTGTGTATACAAGTAGAAATATGCACTTCACTGGACATGGGTTACATATAAGTTTGTTGAAACATGGACTTCATTTCCAGGAAAAGACCAAAGCTAACTTTTTTGTAGGTATAGTTAAAAAAAAAAACAAGATGGGGAAATTGCATAGAATTATGAATCTGGGCATCTAAGCTTTTGAAATATCAGTTCATTTTTCTTTAGAGTTACCTTCCTTCAATAACTATCTGCTGATTTAATCAAGGCAGGTATAAGCACAGACCATAGTTGTCTGAAATGCAGAGAGGATTTTCAATTCTTCTTCCTCTCTGTCTCCTCTTGCCTTCCCCCTCTGCCACCTCATCCTTTAGATGTTGCTTTTACCTTGCTCATGAAAAGACAGCAGAATGCATTGGTAGGTACTGGGCTTTTCCCTGCATGTGTAGTCCCTGCCTTTGGTCAGTATGGGCTGGTTTAGTTCACAGCTCCTCAGGTTATGGTGCCAGTTTGCTTTTTTGATGGCCTGGAATAACTGGTCCCCAGGACACAAGCAGTTTATTTCCTTTTTAGTTTCTGTGTTGTGGTTGTAGCAGTTTCCCAGTTGCTACTGGATTTGCACCAACCATCGCATAGTGACAGTGTCACACAGCTCAGGAGTGAGCCCTCTCATTTCCTCTCGGCATCTCGTCTCCCACTCAGCTCCACAAGGAAGCCTACTTTGGTCCTTCAACTGACACATTCTGTCAGGGTCTGAGCCTCATTCATTAGTGTGTCCTCTTATCAAGCAAGGATAATTGCAAGTATGAAACCCAAAGGATTAAAAGAGGGACAGCATTAAAAGCCAAATCTCATGCTCCTTCTTGGCTAGACCAGGGTTTGAAGTATATTCATTATGACTTGCATTTTGGCATCATTTTAAAAACATGTATTGATGTACAATATATGAGTTATGTGTCTGTGTGTGTGTATTTGTATAGACACACATAAAAAAGTACAGGTATCACAGTACAGCTTGATGAATTTCATGAGGTCATGTAACTAACATCCAGGTCGAGAACCAAAACATAACTAGCAACCAGAATCTTCCTTCTGCCGGCTTCTAACACTACCCCTCGCCCCGCTCACCCCAACTCTGAAAGTACCTCCTCTCCTGACTTCTAATAGCTTAGATTAGTTTTGTGTTTCAGCATCTTCCTTATTGGGCCATAATAGATCAAACCACCTGAACTGTCCCTCCTGGGGCCTGCACTGTGGCTCGATTCCCTAGTGCTTGACCACACCAGTGAGTCAGGAAGTGGGTGGGTGCTCCAGCCAAGTGAGGAAAGGGAATATCAGCAGAATGGGGGACAGCCTCTCTAAATTAACCCTGCGGAACAAGACCACAACATGCCCAGACCCAGACAGTGCCAAGAAAGAAGTATGCTATGATGATGTTTTCATATAGTCCATTTTCTAAGCTTTCTCTCTTCCTTTTTCTGTTTGTTTTTTTCTTTTTTTTTTTTTTGGTTTGTAGACCATCTCAATTTTTGAGGAACGAGCCCACATCCTTTATATGTCCTTAGAAAAGCTAAAGTTTATCGATGATCCTGAAGTGTACCTCCGAAGATCTGTCCTTATAAACAATTTGATGAAAAGGATCCATGGAGAAATTATCATGCAGAATAACTGGTGCTTCCCTGCCTGCTCTTTCAATGGCACCTCTGCCCAAGAGTGGTTTATGGCTCAAGACTGCCCTTACCGAAAACGACCACGGATGGCCAAAGAGGAATGTGAAAAGTTTCATGCCTGCTGCTTTTACCAAGAATGTGGTGGCCACTACCTAAATTTACCCCTTTCTGTCAATGCTAATGTTGGAAGTGCCTCCACTGCTGCCTCCTCTCCCTCCGCCTCTTCTTCCTCCTCATCTTCCTCTTCCTCTCCCCCTTTGCCTTTACCGAGTTGTTCCCGCCAGGTGGATTTTGATGTAGGTAGTGCATCTATTTACAAGAGTGATGGCCAGATACCTGCCAATGAAATCTTTGTCACTAATGTCAGATCACTTGGTGTTCAGGAAAAGGCCAAATTAAATGATGAGAAAGCAAATGATGACACCAACAGAGATGGTGGCCCCCTCAGCCACGAACCTGTGGGAAATGACCTTGCTTTTGAGTGCAAAGGCCAATTTTATGATTATTTTGAGACCGGATATAATGAAAGAAACAATGTAAATGAATCTTGGAAAAAGTCCTTACGGAAAAAGGAGGCTTCACCACCAAGTAACAAACTGTGCTGCAGCAAAGGAAGTAAAATATGAGCCATCTTCTCACCGAACTTTGAAGCATGCACAGCATGATCAGTTAGCTCTCGTAAATTTTATTTTGAATGGATTTTGTAGTTTTGTACAACAGATAAAATTATGCCATGAACATGCCATGTCGTTTTAATGCCTGGAGAGCAGATTGCGTAAAACATCTGTATAGCAGGCATCAGCGAGCTTCTTATAAATGTGGTGATTTTTACCAAGGAAACGATTGACTTAATGCTTAAAAGTATATCATAGTTTTCTTACGGAAAAGATCAGTAGATGAGATTGGGGGACAATGTGCCCTTGCAATATTTCCATTGCCCCCCAAGGAGCCTGTCACTAGCTAAGAAATTTCTACATGTTTGCCAGTTAATTAGGGAGTTATTTGGTAAGCAAATCAATATAACCAGCAAAGATACCTGCTTCTTCTATATGATACAATATTTTTTTTAAATAAAAGACTAAAGACAGGGAGCTAGATGAAATGGCTTAATGGTGCTGTTAAGTATTTGTACCTAACAGTCTTGTGTGACAGATGAAAATAGGATGTAACATAATGAAACACACCTGTCTAGGGGCGGCAATCAACAGTCTTACACAGAGAGGGTATTCCCTGCAAGTTTCTGGCTTGCCTGTGATGGGTGATGAGGCTTTTAGAGAGGTGTTATACAGGGCGATTTTTGGTGCCTTACTTTTATCTTAATTTTTGCCAATGTGAAAATTAAGGATAAATCAGAGTTACAGCAGGGATTTAACAAACAGGACAAAAAAAAAAAAAAAAAAAAAACCACAGGGTGGATCAATATGGTTTGGAAACTGTTAACTTTGAACTATTGTGTTCAGCTTTTGATTCGACATCTCTATTCTTTATTTTTGATGCCCAATTGCTTTTGGATTCGCCGTTTTTTCAATAGGGATGGAGGAAATGAGAGAGAGAGCTGTTAGAAAGCAGCACGGGCTGCTCGAGCTTTTCTATGGCAACTGTGTGTTGCTGGGGTTGGGGTTTTCTGGGTTTTGGGTTGTTTTGTTTTGTTTTCTTGTCCAATGAAGTTCACGAACCAGTGGCATGCATTATACTTTTCTCTGTTTTGCATCATTTCACTTGTTTAGATTATAAAAGCATGTGGGTTTTTATATATGAACTTTGCTGTTGATTAAGAAGCACAATGTTAATAAATGATGTGGTGATCAATAAGGTTTATCTTAAAGAATGTAAAGACTTTAGGTTTTTGAAAGTTATTTTGGAGAAATGGGACTTAATCTATAATAGTTACTATGTATTTGGTCTACATTTTCCAAATAATATCTTTAACTTGTACATTTGAAAAGTGTTCAGAGTGGCCCTCCTACCATCCTTCCTTCCACTCCAGCCAACTCTTCCTGCTAAACTGTATTCCAGTTTCCAAGTTTACTAATTGACTTGGGCCTGTTCAAATAATACTTCACAGAAACCAAATGCCAAACGGAGGAAATAAGTAAGCCCTCCCAGTTTCTCCAAGATAAAGCTTTTTTTATTATTGCTATTAATATTAAATATAGGTCTCATTCATACAGTGTATGAGTAGGATCATTTGGACAATTGTCCACAAAGACCAATTTTTAAAACATTTTCTTGTGTTATAGTTAAATAGTCTAGTAATGTTTTGTCCTTTATTTTCAATATTTGATAAACATTTGATGTTCAAAACTTAGCTAATAGATGCTTGTATATGAATGTGTTGTAATAAAGTGAGGTTTTCTTGATATATATTTATTAAGATGATAAAAATTCATTAAGTTTTTTAAATTTTAATGGCTATTGGCTATGTTTCTCTTTTCCATTATTCTCTCTCCTTTAAAAAACTCAAAACATCTAGAAACTGTAGTGGATAGTGGCCACACAGGAGTTTTCTAAATTAAAGAGTATTTTAAAATGCCAATCTGACAGGTGTTTCAGAATGATCCTAGTTCGTAAGTTTAAGTTTCTATTGATTAAGAAGCACAATGTTAATAGATGATGTGGTGATCAATAAGGTTATGTCTGAAAGAATGTAAAGATTTTCCTTTCTGGAGTGTCTCTGAAAAAAATTGTATAACACGAAGCCATAAATACTGAATCTTAGCTGATTGCATTATGAACTGTCAAACTGTGAAGATGACCCATATGTAAACAGTTATAACAGCTACAGATTATTGCTAGTAGCATTCCATACAATTCCATATTAATGTTCTTAGGAGCTAATATTTGATAAAGGGGAAAGCTAGTTAAAAACTAATTAATTTGTCAAATGTAGCATTCTTATTATGAGTGTAATATCTCATGGAGATTTAAATATGAACGAAAGGACTTATCCTTCTGCTTTTTAAAAGCCCCAGCATTACTAGATAGTGTTTTTCTTGAAGGCCAAAGCTGTAAAATGACAAAGTTGGTGATTTTCAGCAGCACTCACCTGAGCTGTGAGCGCCTGCACCTGTTCGGTAGAACCCACTAGAATCACTTCTCTGTAGGATAAGTGATGCCTTTGAATCCAGCAGCATAAAAATCTGTTCTTTTTAGTCATCAAGTTTTTGTTTCCAGGATATTTCTAGCATTGCAAAAAAAAATTTCTTCACCAAACACTAATTCCTAAACACCCATCCAAACCACAAAAATTCTCTTGTTAGTAGGCGAGAGTGCTAGGACTTCCTGTGTTCACCTCCCATGCACCCAGCATTGTCTTTTATGCATGAGATATTCCATTAGATTTTCCTAGAGTGGCCAGGACACCCTTCATAGTAAGTTATATCTCTTAACTGGATTCTATAGTTTTATCTCGAGCAACTTGGAAAAGCTAAGACATCCTCCACCCACACTGGTATCTACGCGCCTGGAAGCTGCACCTTCTCTCATTGCTGTGCTCTGCTTTAAGGAAAACCTGATATGACAGAATCAAGACTATTAAAAGATAAATGAGGGGAAATCTTCATTTAAGAAAGTTGCCTTGCTCCCCAAGAGTGCCTTTAATTGCTATTCCCCTAGGCATCTGGGTGCATATCATTAATGAAATCATTAACCTTTGTCTCTGGTCCTTCCTTTCTAAAAACAGCAGATTATAGAAGGTGGTCTGGCAAAGGGATTTTCAAAGGGCAAAAGTCTCATCATCATCTTTCCACTCAAAATCCTATTATTCTACATTTCACTTTGCAGGGGTCCTAGGGACAGGATTGCAGGGACAGGGGACATGGGAGGAAGACAGAAAAATTCAAAACCAGCAGATGCCACTACCTGGCAATGAATTGAAAATTAGGGGAAAGCATCTTTGGCGTGACCTTTTATTAAGACAACAGAAATTTAGAACATTTTACATGCTTCTTTGTTAAATGGTGAAGCAAGGGAATGAAAGTATTTATTTTTAGAGCTCATAGTTAACTCCATCAAGACATGGCTACCCACCCCTCCAGTTATGAACTTGTATTACAGCTCCACTTGGTGACTTCCTTTCTGTGTATCAGGAGCAGAGCAGAGGACAACTTGTAGAAGACATGACCATTAAGAGACATCAACTTCGCAACAAATATAAGACAAGGATACAAGGATTCCTATGTGATGCAGCTAGGTTTTTATATCCTTCTAACAAATGGTGAGCAGGAGACTTTTTTGGAAATAATTAGTTGTGAAATTCCATTTTTCTGACAGCCCCTTAAATTTGAAGTTATTTCATTTGTAGTTAAGGTTATCACATCCCTGCCAATTTTACTAGATTTTTTCAGAGACAAGCATTCAGCATGGCATTAGTAATGATGGTTTAAACTAGGTGCAGAACTGTCCCATGAAGAGAAGAATGATATCAGTATTTAAATAATAAAAGAAGAGACAATGTATGGTTTATAGTGATTCATTTTAAGATTGCTGTATTTTGATTTTGTGGTTTAAAATAAATGCATTAAGGATCTTTTAAGTTACTACAAGATGCCTCTCTGTTGCTTTCTTAGCTATAGTGCCTAAGCAAGGTATATTATCTTGACATGGCTAAAATGTCTCAATTCTATGTGATATAGCTACACGACCTGGGGTGAAAGAGTTACTAGTTTGGAGATTATTTCCCAGCCTTGGGTACCTGCCATATTTGAGCTGGGAGAACTCACTTAGGAAAAGCACTTGCAAAGATGTAAGTTATGAACACTTGAATCTCGCATCCTGCCATAAAGTGCATCAGCAAGTGACTTTAATAAAACATGCTGTTTAAAATAGTCTGTAATTTCCTGTTTCTGCATTTCCCTTCAGTATCTGTGACAGGCTGAAGAACGATGACTAAACGAAGGGAATTTACACAAGCTAGTCTGGTGGTGTTTGCAAACCATCGCCATGAGCTTCATCTTCTTTGGTAAACAATCCGCTGGTGGGCTGTCTATGGTTGGTTTCTTTTCTTTGTTGTTGATCCAATTTGTTAACTTTGAAAATGCAAACTACTTATTCACAGTGTGGAAACACCTGCTTTTGACCACAATGAAACTGATAGAATGTATGGCGATGTATTAGTTGTTTCTCATGAAATTTCTTATATTTCTCAACCCCATTTCTATGACTCTTCTCTTGATTTAAAAATATGAAAATCGAATAAAATCTTGTGGGGAGGACCTACATATAAAAGAACTTGCAGAGATGTAAGTTATGATCTTGCTTTGTGCCAAGATCTCCAAGACAATAGGCAAATATCAGAACTTTGGGGGAAAGGGATCTAACGTACCCTAGTCTTGTGCTGTGCAGACCAGCCTGGCCTTCGGCAGGCATTACCTCTATCCAGATCTTTCCATGGAAGCAGCTGAGTCCAGGCATCAGGCATATGATTCTCCACTGCCTCCTCTGGTCAGCACACACATGAACCCATCTTTGATACTTCTAGACGCAGTGCTTTTTCTTCAGATACCCTCTAAAGTGACTGCAATGAACTAAGCTCTCAGATGTGGTAAGACCCTGGTATCCTCTCAGCCAAGAGATGAGTAGATGTCTCTGAAATACACTTGGCACAGCACTCAGATATCTATACCATCTTCAAAACTCACAACATCCCTGTGTGCACAATAAGCAAAAGATAGAGAATGACAGGCTATGCAAGGGATTTGCGCAAAAGGTTGGGGAGTTGATCTCTGGTCCAGTACACTGAAGGAAATCTGAGAAATACAGTGCTCCCTGTACACTGCAGAGTGAATCCACTCTCTTTAAGGAAAAGTCTAAAGACTGCAAGGGAAAGAAGACAGAATTTTTTGTTTCTTTGTCAAACCTCTTTAGGAAAACAGAAAAAAACATTTCAGGGACTAAAGGATTGTTTTAAATGTTTTTGCAGGAAGAGAGAAATGGCTTGTCTGCCCTTTCTGGAGCTGGGAGGGGTTCTCCTTGTTCTCCATGTCCTTAGATGCTGTGCTTTTCAATAAACCCACCAAACTGTATTTGTGAACAGTTATGGTCATTAGCCCAAGGAATCTCTCTCCTGTTCAGTTTAGGCACAGAGGTTGTGGGTTTCTCACAAGACTGGAGTATAGAAGAGGGTTAAGAGTAGGGGGTTTGGAGTTAGACTGCCTGGATGAAAATCTCAGCTCTGCCAGGGTAGCTGTGCAAGCTTGGCCTTGGCCAACAAGCCACTTTACCTCCTAGTGCCTCAGTTTACTCATCTGTAAAATGGAGCAGCACACATTATCCACCTCATCAGGTTGTCAGGATTAAAGGTTTTAATATCAGGGAAGTGACTCAACATTGCCTGGGTGTACATTATGGGTTTGCAGTGAACAAGCCTCCATGACTTCTCCATTACTGTCCTTGAATGCCCGGCAAGTGGAACCCAACCGTGCCAGATCCTCCTTTTGGTGGAAAGTATTCAGCCTCTTTGGTTCTGTACAGCAAGCTTGAAGTTAAACAGGGGGATGGTATGAAACCTGGGGTCCCAGGGCCCTTAGCTATGAAAGTCGTCATTGGTGACCTTGAGATATGTTTAGTATTTAAAATACCAAATCATAAAATCTTCTGAAAGTGGTTGCACAGGCTAACCCCACATCAGATTTCCTTACCTTTGGCTGGAATTAAATCAGCTCCAGGCTGTCACAAACTGAGAAGAAACTCTGACTGGGAAAACGAAGGCATTATCCTTAATAAATACAATTTGTTTGTCAGACAGAATCTTTCAGAACATTGGCTATGTGAAGGGAATAAGAGGTGTCCCTTACAAATGGAAAGATTAAAAACCACTAACCTCTGACTCATCTCTAGGATTTGCCAAAGTTCAAGTTTATTTAGTTGTTGTATCAAATAATTTTCTTAAACCTAGCTTTTACTCAGAAAAAGTACAGTATTAAGTTAGGAAAAAAAGGGGGGGCAGGCGCGGCAGCTCATGCCTGCTGGTAATCCCAGCACTTTGGGAGGCCAAGGCGGATGGATCACTTGAGGTTAAGAGTTCAAGACCAGCCTGGTCAACATGGTGAAACCCCGTGTCTACTAAAAATACAAAAGTTAGCCGGGCCTGTGTGGTGGGGGGCGCCTTTAATCCCAGCTACTCGGGAGGCCAAGGTAGGAGAATTGCTTGAACCTCAGAGGCAGAGGTTGCAGTGAGCCTAGATGGATCCACTGCATACAGCCTGGATGAGGAAGTGAGACTCTGTCTCCAAAAAAAAAAAAAAAAAAAAAAAGGCAGGAGGGGGGCAGGGGAGATAATTTAGACTAAACGCTATTCCTTGTGCTCCTCTACCTGATAATTTTGGAGGCCAAAGCAGAATTGTCTGGATAACCACAACCAAGGACACAGCCTATTATAAAATAACTGGGATACAGTTTCCATGTATAAGGTCAACTAGAGGTTGGTTATCCCTATTTCAAATTCTTATCCCTTCTGTTTTGCCAGTAAACTCAGAAACCCACTGATAATTTCAAAATAGAATTCCATTTACAAAATTACATTCTGTCTCTCTATTTTTGAAGAGTATATATTTTTCCCTAAGGTGAGGTTCATTTGTAGCAGGCTTGCTGATGGGTAGGTCCTGAAATGAGAACAAAACTGAACCATATGGCTTGAGAATGAGAAATGGGCAACAGAGTATAATGAGAGCAAATGCAGTGTTGTACCATGGGGGTCCCAGGACTTCTCTGCAAGAGGCTCCCCTCCTATCTGACTGGGCTAGGATCTCATGATTGGCAACATTAGTTGCCATTTGAGCCAGCTGAGAGAGGCAGTGGGAAGCCAGGACACCTCAGCCTGCCCAGGGAGGTCTAGGCTGGCCATCTCTAAACCTTTGTCCTCTCAGAGTTTGGAAAACCAGCAGCTGGAGTAGATATTTTTATTTCCCAATCAGTAGAATTTTAACCAGTTAAGATGATCAATTAGAATTCTCAACCAGCCCAATCTTGACCTAGCTGGTTTTAGGCAAGATGACTTAATGCACAAGGGACATCTCTATCTAGAGATGGTATTGGTCCCTGCACAGAAAGAACTCTTAAAGAAATTCTGGGGCCATTTATCTGGGTGTTTTAAGTGATGAATAAAGAAATACATACTAGGAAGAATCCTGGGATGGAATTTGTACGAATTAATTGATTTCTAACACTTGTTCTTATTATAGATCCAACAAAGCTTACCTCAATCTTTTAAAAATGTCCTGTTTAGGCCAGGCACGATGGTGCACACCTTAATCCCAGCACTTTGGGAGGCCGAGGCAGGAGGATCGCTTGAAACCGGGAGGTGGGGGTTGCAGTGAGCCTGCAGTCCCCACCACTCTGGAGGCTGAGGCATGAGAATCGCTTGAACCCCAGAAGCAGAGGTTGCAGTGAGCTGAGATTGCGCCACTGCACTATAGCCTGGGTGACAGAGCAAAGAGCAAGAATCTGTCCAAAAAATAAATAAATAAATAAAAGAAGAAGAAAGCAAAAAGAAAGAAAGAAGAAGAAAAAGAACAAATCATAACTCTTCATTTATTTGCTTAGAGTCAATCTATTGTATTGATTTCTGGTCAAATGACTGCTGTTTCTTAACCACAAGATTATAACCAACTTAGTGGTGAGAACTAGATTAGGAGTTAGGAAACAGAGTCTTGCCCAGGTTTGCCACTCACTAGCTGTCTAACCATGAACAAGCTCCTTCACTTCTCTGGATCTTGATTTTCCATCTGTCAAATGATGAGGCTGGATTCAAAGGGCCTCTAAAAGATTGTTCCCTTCTAACCTTCTCTTCTGATTCTAACAATTCCTGATTCTAACAATCAGGGATCTTTCTGAAGATGTTCACTTGAGTTTTCTGCATGTCACCCTTTCCTTTCCTTCCCTTCCCCAGAATGCCTTTTTTCCCTCCCAGTGAAACTGAGAAACTGCTTCTGGATCTTTCTTTAAGAACACATCTCTGAGTTTTCCTGTCCCAAATGATTGTTTTCTGCATATGGCGGCTAATCTATTGTCTTCTGTAATATACATTCCTCCGGATAGGCCATGCTTCCCCATTCTCACTGCAGTTCCTCTGCCCCTCCCCCTGGAGTGCTCCTGCCCCCGCCTCCTTTAGCCGATTAGCTCCACACACCCGGAGCCAGCCAGGCACAACGCGGCTCCCCCTGGCACAAGACTGTCCTCGCCTTCAAGCAACCAGCCTGTCTGCACCATGCAGGCAGGAGATCCGTGAACCCTCTTCTCTCTCATTCTTATGCGTAATAAAATAGCGGACTTTCCCCCTTCTTTTTATGAAGACAGTTCTTGCAGCTGTGACTATAACTGTTTTTTTTTTTTTTTTAAATACCAGCCAAGATTATGGTCCCATAACCCAATTAGTGTCATTTGGTTGTGGTCCAAGGGCTTCCCCTGCACGAGTTTTAATTTGGGGATCCCCGGAGGCTGCACTCCACATCTGTAGCCGGCCTGTTCTTCCTCTCCCCTTATTTGCTCGAGGTTTATGGGAGGATTAGCTGTGTGGTCTGGGAGGCGGCTGCTTCTCTTTCATCCTCACGGCTCTCGAGCCGCGGAGGAGCCTTTTACTTTTCATCATCAAGCCCTGGCACCTGGAGGGCGGGCAGCCCTAGCGACTGGAATGAATCAGAGGATGCCCTGCAGGCCCCGGGGGGCGCGGCCCTGCAAGCATGGGGGAGGGGAGGACGGGGGAAAGGCTGCTTATTGGGCTGCTCAGCACCCGGCCAGACTGCGCTGTGCTGGGACGGCGAGGGGGTGGTGAGGAGGGCAGCCGCAGTGTGAGGTGGCCCCCCCCCGCCCCGCCCCCACTCCCTGGCTGGCGAGGGCTGGCAAGGGCTCCGGGCGCTCATTGTGCAGGCAGCTGGCACCAGCTGGGAAGGGGAATTAGCATAACAAAGAGCCGGAGCGAGCGCGGCGCGGCCCGGCGGGGGCTCTGCCGAGCGCCCCGGGCTCGGAGGAGCCGCGCTGTCAGCGGCTGTGGCGCGCTCGGGCCTCCTGGCCTGAGACCCTCGGAGCAGCGGGGCCCGGCCCCCAGCGGGCGCGCTCTGTCTGGGTTCCGGCCGCAGGACTCGCCCGGAGAATGCAGTGGGTGTGGGTGTGTCCGGGACAGCGTGAATGGGCGTGGGTGTGTGTGTTCGGGTGAGTGTGGGTGCCCGTGTGTCCAAGCGTGCGTGTAACCGTGTCCCTGGGCGTGGGAATGCGGGTGTGAAGGGGTCACCTGCACACGGGTGGGGACCCGCCAGCCCTCTTCCCTTCCGCCCCAGGAAGGCCTCTTTGTTTATTTCTTTCCGGAGACCGCGGTGGTTCTTCAATCACCAGTTCTCAATCCTGATTGCACCTCGGAGCCCCCTTCGGGAGCTTTTACAAAACCCTCAGGCCTGAGCCCTACCCCAGAGGCTCGCGATGAATTGGACTCTGCTGAGGCCCCCAGCGGATGTTTCTTCAGACGTCCGCGTGGATTCCGACATGCGGCGTGGTTGGGAACCGCCGAGTACCCACTCCCACTGTCCCCAGCCCTGCTGCCGACCCTGGACGCCAGCGAGCGCCAAGGAGACCGGGGCCGGCTTGGCCTCGGGTTTAGGGCCTGGAAGCTTATCCTTCGCCTTCACTGGTTGAGGTCAAGTGCACATTCCCCCGACACTAGCGCTGGGTCTTAGGCTACCGACTGGGCAACCTCACCTCCATTATTGCATCTAAGCCTTACAGCAGCCCCATGGGAAAAAAGCTGTCGTGAAACGAAGCTCAGTTGAGTGTCACAAAGGGTCACAAAGCTAGGTATTCGACCCACCGAATTGGAGTCCAGGGCTATGGGACTCCAAAGTCCACGTTCTTTCCACTGTAATATTTAAAAATAAAAATTAAACAACTAAATCAAAAACCACCGCTGCTTTTCAAGTGCTGCCAAGACCTCAAGCTGACCAGGTCCCTGGAAAAACCCTGGGAGGACTCTGGAGGAGGCGGGGTTAGGGTGTAGCAAGACTCCTGACCCCAGAAGGTAGATACGGCCTAGACGACGTCACTAGAAATTGCCCGGGGCGTCTTCTCTCCAGCAACCTTCTGCACCGCCTTCCACCTGGGTAGTCTCCCTCCCCGTCCCGGCCCTTCCAGGCTCCAGCTCCCCACCCCCTCCCTACAGGAAGGAAATGTGACAGCACAAGCCGTTCGCCATCACCCAGGAGCTGTCAGCAGCTGCGCAGCCCGGGGCGGGAGAGAGCACCGCGGTCAGAGACCCGGGGACCGGGGAGCTGCACCACCGCGTTCCGGGCCCCGCGCCTGGGCTTCGCCTCGCTGCACCGCGCCTGCTTGCTCCTAGCGGGAGCCCAGAGTCTCCGAGTCTCCTCAACAGCTTCGCGACAGGAGTCTCTTGCCTCAGCTGCCTGAGCAGTCCTCCTGGAGAGGGAGGAGAGGAGGATGAAATGAGCTCTGGGCTCTGCTAGCCCCAGACTCCCCCATTACCCAGAGGTGTGGGTTTCCACGAGTGCAGGCTCCAACCAGCGCCTTAGCATCACCAAGCTCCAGAGGGCCCTGGGCTTCTGAGGCCACCCAGGCCCACCCACCCTTCTCACAGCAGGGGAGATAAAGGTCCAGGGAGGTGAAGTGACTGGAGGTTTCATGGCCTCCTGACTGCCTGCCCAGCTTTACTCTGGCTGCACCAGACCCTTTAACAGGCAAACCTGTCAGTGCTTACTTACCGGGGACATTTTCTACAGAGAGAACCTCAGTGCTGGGGAAAGGAGTAACTATAGGCTTGCAGGCAGCATCTGCCCACAAGGTGCCCTGGAGAGAGGGAAAAGTTGGAAACCCTGGGCCCCCAGCCTGAGCACTACCCAGTTTGAGTTTCTGGGGCCTGATGGGGCTGGTGGTGGCTGCTGTTGTTATTATTAAGAGTTCAGAATTCTCGTAGGTTCTAACAACTGTGTTCATTCTCAATAAATGGTTTCTTAATAATCGTTTTAATTAGCAAAAAGGCTGTCTTATTAAAGCTAATTAAAGGCAATTTGGGAACCTTATTTTCATACAATCATAAAATTAGAGAAACAAGAGGCAGGAGAAATGGGAAAAGTCTCAGCTTTTCTGCAGAGGGGGCAGGGAGGAGCTGGGGAGACCCTACCTCCAAGCCAGGCATGCAGAATGCCAGTGCCCAAGGGGGTGGACTGGAGCTCCTAGATTTGGGTGTGGCCTCAGGCAGTGCTGGGGACCAACTGCTGAGAGGGATACTCTGTTCACATCCTCCAACTGGAGTCTCAGAGTCACCTGAACTCCTCCCTCTGCTCTCACACAATTAGTCAATTCTCTCCCTCTAGCTATCTTTACATTGAAAAAGAAGGTGCTACTATTGCACCTCTGCCATTGCACCTGGCAGCCATAACCTAGGTGGTTTAGCATCCATCAGGTGCCTTAGCATCACCAAGCTCCACAGGGGCCCAGACTTCTGAGCACCCAGGGTTATCTACCCTTCTCACAGCAGGGGAGATTAAGGTCCACCGAGGTGAAGTCCACAGCCTCAGCCCTGCCCAGGGTGCCCCCTAAGTCCCCAAGCATTTCCACTCCATCCATTCTGTAGCTGATCATCCTAAATCACCAGGCAAACAGGAATACTTTACCTCCCAGGTTTGACTTTCAATGCCCTCCAGACCTCAGCCCAGGCTACATGCCCAGCCCCACCTTCTGCTCCCTGGGGGGAACCTTCTGCTCCAGCCACTTCTGTCCTCTCAATGTCCTCTCTTGCTGACCTGCAACTTTTCACCTCCCAGCCTTCACTCCTGCTTTTCCCTTAGCCTGGGATAACCTCTCCATGCCCCCACTTATACAAAGAGTAACTTGCCCTCAAGGCCACTTCAAGGTCCACATTTTGTGTGAAGCCTTTCCAGGGCTACTATAGGTCTGTTCTGTGATACATAAAATGTAATATCCCCCCTCTCTAGAATTACTTTTCAACTAGAATCATAGTTTTGGGGGAGATTTTTTTTGGAAGGCATTATAAAGTAGAAATTAAACATGGGCTTTGGAATCAGAGAGCTTAGTTACAATCCTGGCTTCCTATAACTTTGTGACCTTGAGTAAATGTCTTGACTTCTGTAAGCGCAGGTTTCTTCATGAGTAAAATGTGGCTAACTATACCCATAACTAAGTTATTGGGATGGTGTATGTAAGTCACTTTACATAATGCCAAGCACACAATATGAATAGCTGTGGGACCCTTGTCCTTGTTGATGTGGGGGAATAGTTTAGAGTGACAATTTGTTGTTTTATGAGCATGTCCTCCAGAAAAAGAGAGCACCCAGTCAAAGGATAGATTCCATGGCTATCTGAACTTCCACTGCACTCATCCCTAGGGGTTCTAGTACCTCAGTACGCACCCCCATTCCTTCTCTCCAGGGTCCCTTCCAAATCCTAGGAAGGGGCTCTACCCTCGGGTCCATGGGATAGTGGTTTATGGGCACATACTTACTGTAAGTGTCTAGTGTCAGAACTCTACACAAGAAAGACACTAAACATGGGGTTAGCTCCTTGCCTTCTTGTTTTAAGTTGCCCAGTCTCCATCCTCAGTAGACCTCCCTGTAAACAACCCATTCTGGCAGGAATCTAACAGTCTAAAGGGCTCTCCAGTAAATTCTACCATAACACCAGGAATTCTTGCCTGTCCTTAAAAATGCAGCTTTGTGCATACATAGATTTTTTTGTACAGCAGGCTTTGTCCCTCTCCTTATCTGAAGGCCATGGGACAGTGGGTGGCCACGAATCTGCAGGGGGCTCCCCTTCTGTCCTTCCCTGAACATCCTCTGGATGAAACAACCATAGCAAAACTGACCTGGGAGGAAGAGCAATGAGCCCATGCATGAAATACTAGTGTTTAGCTGCCTAGTCTCAAAGCAATTGTTTAAGTAGGGGCCTCAGCCATGCTAATAGCTATTATCATAGGACCTTATGTCTATTAATGTCTCCTCAGCAGAAGGAAATGCAAACTTATGACATTCTGATTGTGATAAGCAGCACACTTTCACCTACGAGGGGCTGTAATCGAAGCAGAAGTGCCTCACAAATTAACTAGCAGTCGCCCACACATCAAGCACAGAAGATACTTTCTCTATCATAGGTAAGAAAGGGACTTATTTCTCATCCTGGAGCATCAGTGGCTGTGTCAGCCCCACCACAGCTTCTGATGGGACTGGAGCTACACTGACATGTATGATTAAAGCTCCATGTTATACCGCAGTGGCTGAGTTTTCAAGGAGATGGAGGAAACCTCACAGGACCCCTGGGGCAGGACACAACACTGCTCCTCAGAACATTCCTTTTAAAAAAGTTGTCATGAAATCCAATTAACCAGCTGGAAGGCCATCGTGGGCAGGCCTCCTCGGGGTTAATAAATAATAGAATATGCCCTACATTGGAAGGGGCATCTCTCTTTTCTAAGCTTGCAGGCTGTGACAAGGGCTCCTGGCAGGAAGAGACATGTACTACCACCACGTCCTGGTCCCTAAAACTTTGGTGAGTCCAGCAGTGAAGGTCCCCTAGACAGATGCCCAGAGTCCTGGGGGTACCTTCCCCCTCCCCTACACCGTAAGCCACAAATTCATCAACCCAGCCCCAGGTATGAGGGAATGAGGGGTCCTGTCTTGAGAGAACAGAGCATTAGAATGGGGTCAGGAGCTTTAGTTCTAGCTCCCGGTCAGTCTCATTGTCAGGCAAGCTGTTCACAGGCTCCTGTTCCCAGCTGAACAAGACTGATGGTAGAGAAGACTTCAAAGTGGGCACAGCAGGCTCTCTCTCACTGGTCCCCTCTCCGTGGCTGATCCCCCCGTGGGGAACACTTTACTTCTGTTAGACCAGCACTGCTCAATAAAAATACGATGCGAATCATGAATGTCATTTTCAATTTTCTAGTAGTCACATTAAAAAAAAAAGTTCATTAAAAAAAGTGACATTAATTTTAATAATAAAGGCTGGGCGTGGTGGCTCACACCTGTAATCGCGGCACTTTGGGAGGCTGAGGCTGGAGAATCACTTGAGCCCAGGAGTTCGAGACCAAACTGGGCAACACAGGGAGACCTTGTCTCTACTAAAAATTAAAAATTAGCCAGGTGTGGCGTTGCACATCTGTAGTTCCAGCTACTCAAGGAGGCTAAGCAGGGAGGATCTTTTGAGCCCAGGAGGTCGAGGCTACAGTGAGTTATGATTATACCACTGCACTTTTTTTTTAAATTTTTTTTTAATAGAGACAAGGTCTCACTATGTTGCCCAGGCTGGTCTTGAACTCCTGGACTCAAGCAATCCTCTCGCCTCAGCCTCCCAAAGTGCTGGAATTATAGGCATGAGCCACCACACCCAGTCCCTTAATTTTTAAAAAATAAAAAAAAGTTTTAAATTATAAAACATTTAAATAATATATTTTATTTAACCCAAATATACACAAATTATTGTCATTTTAACATGTAATCAATATAAACATTTTGACTGAGATATTTTATATTCTTTTTTGTCTTGTACTAAGTCTGAAATCTGGTGTCTAGTTTACAATGACAACACATATCAATTAGGACAAGACACATTTCAATTTCAATGCTCAATAGCCACATACTGCTAGTGGCTACCATATCGGACAAGTCAAGGCCTGGATCTCCGTGATCCCTTGTACAGGGAATCATGCAGCTCCCATCTGGCTCACAACCACATCCCCTCTCCTCTGGGCCCTCTGGGCACCATGTTCTTGCTTCTTGGGGACCCTTAGCCCATCCCCCTAGTTCACTCCCAGGGACTGCCCAGTGAAAACTACCCGGCACCAGAGGGTCAACGTTTTGGGGCTGGCCGGCTCTGATCTACACCCTCCAGCATCATCCCCACGGCCCAGAGAGGGTTGTGTGGGACTATCCTAGAGTGGCAGAGTCAAGGACAGGGGAGGCAGGTTGGGGGAGAGGAGGAGTTGCAGACAGTAGCTCCAGTAGTTTCTGGAGTGGTGAGGGCTTTAGTTAGAAGCAGACTGAGGAGCCTTTAATCCTCTCTGTTACCAGAGAGGAAAATGTGGGTGGCAAGTAAAGTCTTGTCAGGGAAAATACTGGCAGGAAGGTGAGCCACATGCCCGAGTAATCGCCGACTCCACCGCTCTCCTTTGATGTAGCACCTCGGTGCCATGCAGGCCAGGCCAGGCCTGTGACAGACAGGCCCTTCCTGGGCGATTGCAACTGTGTGTGTATGTGTGTGAGTGTGTATCCTGGCTCCTTCTCAAGCTGCAGATGCCCGTCTCTGCATGCCCTCAATCTGACAGCATCCCAAGGGGAGTGAGTCCTAGGTTCATGCTTTCTGAACCTCACATTTAGACATGTGGCCTAAGAAATTAGGAGTGTCACGGAGTGGACCACAGGCTGGGACAGATGATACTGTACTCACCATGCCCGTCCTACTTCCTTGACTGCTGTCTGCTACCTAGTGGAATAGCAGTGGATGAATGAGCACGTGACTGTTCCAGACAGTGGGCAGGCTCGGTCAGCAAAGTAGAAGAGGGCGCTGCAGACAGCAAAGAGCTCCAGTGGAAGTGCTGTTTATGGGCCTGGAACAGTGGAACAGGATGAAGCCTCAATAAGGTCCCATGGGAGGGTGAGAGTCACCCATTTGTAAGAGACAACATTACTGGGGTCCAGTTCTCAGGCCCTTGTGTGGTACCAGGAACTCTGCCAGCTCTAGCCTGATGTTGCCACAATCCCTCAGGCTTTAGAAAAAGGAAGGGAGCTGGCTGATTGATCACTCTTATACAACACTTTACAGTTTACAAAAAACTTTCACCTCTATTACGGTGTAATTCTCCCAACAATTCTATAGTGTTGGCAGGACAGGTATTGTTATCCTTATTTTATAGGTGAGAAAACTGTGGCTCAATGAAGGGAAACACTCTTTCCAGGGGCAGAGCCAAGATCAGCAGGCAGGCTTTTTCACAGAGCTCTCCAGAATCATTGCTCAAGCTGACCTTAGAGCAGGGCTCTTATAATTCGGGGGTCATAAATCCCTTTGGGAGTCTGATTAAAAAAAAAAAAAGCTTTGAATCCTCTTACTGAATAATGGACTTCAAACAGTCCATGACCCCCTTGAAATTTTATAGAAAATATTGTCTGTACAGTTTTTAGAGGGAGGGACTGGGGATGAAGGAAAAAGATCAGATTTTTTTTTTTTTCAAGAGTCTTGCTCTGTTGCCCAGGCTGGAGTGCAGTGGCATGATCTCAGCTCACCACAGCCTCTGCTTCCTGGATTCAAGTGATTCTTCTGCCACGGCCTCCCGAGTAGCTGGGATCACAGGCTGCGCCGTCATGCCCAGCTAATTTTTATATTCTTAGTAGAGACGGGGTTTTGCCATGTTGGCCAGGCTCGTCTCAAACTCCTGACCTCAAGCAGTCCACCTGCCTCGGCCTTCCAAAGTGCTGGGATTACAGATGTGTGCCACTGCACCTGGCCAAAGATCAGATTTTTTTTTTCTAGTCAGAGTCTCACTTTGTCACCTGGACTGGAGTACAGTGGAGTGATCTCAGCTCACTGCAACCTCTGCCTCCTGGGTTCCAGCAATTCTCTTGCTTCAGCCTCCCAAGCAGCTGGGACTACAGGCACACACTGCCAGTCCCGGCTAATTTTATTTATTTAGTTATTTGTATTTTAGTAGAGACGGGGTTTCACCATGTTGCCCAGTCTGGTCTCGAACTCCTGAGCTCAGGCAATCTGCCTGCCTCCGCCTCCCAAAGTGCTAGGATTACAGGCGTGAGCCCCCCAACGTGGCCCAAAGATCAGATTTTTAAGGAAGTCTACGACACCCAAAAGGTTAAGAATTTGTGATCTAGACCAACCTCTTCATTTGACAGATGAGGTAAATGAAGCCGAAAGATGGCCGGTGATTTGCCCAGGACTAGCATCAGAGCAGAAGTGGGACTTGAAATCTGAGTCAGTCTGCCCTTTCACTATACACCAATTATAATGAGGTTTACAGATGCCTGAGCTGCTCCTGGCTCCAGGGAGCCCTAGCTTGGGAAACACCAAGCCCCTACACAATGAGATCCAGATTAAGAATGGATGTGTCATCCCAGCTCCACCGCTAGCCAGCTGCACAACTATCCCGCACTCTCTGCACATCATTTTACCTTCCAGAGTAGCATTTTACCTTCCAGAGAGAAGCATTCCCTGACCTCCCTACTTCTGAGGAACAGTATGAGGAAGCAAGGACATGAAATGTGATGGAGCTCCAGAGATGGGGCAGGGGAGGGGAGGAAGAGGGAAGAACAGAAGACAGCAAGTGGTTGTTCAAAGAGGCTGGGGCTGGGCACTGGATAGATGGGATGGTTTTGTTTTATGCAGCCGTTTCATCTTCTGGGGCTAAATTTCCCCATCCCTCACACTGTAGGTAACGAGTCTCCTCAAACTCTGCCCTTGCATCCTCTGAATTGATCAGGGTCCTTCTTTGTAAAACAAAGCAAATATAAAAACCTGGAATCCTCCCCATCTGGTTTAAGCATGAGAGGATTCAGTAAGGGTATTAAGAGGGCTGAAAAACAGACTAGAGTCTGAGCTTCCAGGATGACTCCCAGAGCCACACTGCAGATCTGGCTGCCAGGGGAGCAGCTGCCTCCGTCAGGAGCAGGAAGTTGCCAGTTCTAACCCATTCTGTGCCTGCTGTGATCTGGTGCCAGCAAAAAGGGAGGACCCCTTCCTGCCATGTCCCTGTCCCTAGGTAACTCTGTTCAGAGACAAAGATTAGCTCAGATTGGTGCGACTAGCACCCCTAGCAGCAACGGAAATGAAAAAATAAGGGCAGTTTTCTTTTGTTTTAGTTTTCATTGGAAAGGTAGGATGCATCCTTGAAAGACTATCAAAATATCAAGAGGGTGTTGAAAACATTTGGGCAGCCATGAATACGTCTATGATAGTGCCCCTTGAGATGCTGGGGACATAGTCCCAGGAGACTTGCTATAACAACTGTATTTTGAGGTCTCTCATTTTAACTTAATTTTTTTTTGAGACAGTGTCTCACTCTGTCACCCAGGCTGGAGTGCAGTGGTGTGATCATGGCTCACTGCAGCCTGGACCTTCTAGGCTCAAGCAATCCTCCCACCTCAGCCTCCCAAGTAGCTGGGACTGCAGGCATATGCCACGACACCCGGCTAATTTTAAAAATTTTTCTGTAGAGATGGGGTTTCACCATGTTACCCAGGCTGGTTTCAAACTCCCAGTCTTAAGGGATCCTCCTGCCTCAGCCCCCTAAAGTGCTGGGATTACAGGCCCCACACCTGGCCTAATTTCAACACATTTTTTAAAAATTCATTGACTTCTGTATTATATGTGTATATATCTCTTATCATCTATCTAGAAATATATATATACATACACACATATACTATTTATAAGCACACATTGTATACATACATGTTTTATTTACCATAATAATCACATTTCTCTAAAAATCAAGTAGAATTGGGGTGTTGAGGAGAATATTTGAAGCTAATCCTTCAGTTTCTCATAACCCTCAGCTACACACACACACACACACACAGGCCCTTAAAGATCTTAGAAGGAAGGGAGGCTAAATGTCCTGGTTTATCTGGAACAGGCCTGGTTTATGCCTATGGGCCCAGCATAATGATTAATAACACACCTACTGTCTCCAAAGTCCTCATTTAAATGATAAATTATATAGTCGTCTTAATCTTGGGGGACACCTGACAGTCCCTGGCTTCTGGGATGTGTTGACAGAAACGAAATTGCAACCTGACCCAGCCAGCCCTTGGGGAAAACTAGGTGGTCAGCTGATTTGTCTTTATTCTCCTATTTTGAGAGGTCGGACCTCCAGGCCCTACCTCACCACCCCCAGCCAGTTGAACTAAGACCTCTGGGGACATGGGCTCCTAAGTCCTGTCCCCTAAGAATCAAGAATGCATAATCACAGATGCTCACACACAGGCTACGGTCCTAGCCAAGCCACGGCCATCTTATTGCTCAAAACTTTCCTCCTCTAGGAACCATCCCTAACACTGATCCACTGTAAATATAAGTCCTTTAGTATATGATGTCCCCACATTGCATAAAACTCACTGAACCTGCTTACATGCCAATTCTGTATGAGTTTGATTATTTCGTTTACTACAGTCCTGCCTTTCCCACCAGACTAGGGATCCCAGGGTTAGGGGGCTATCTACTAGGTATCCCCAAGTGCAGGATTGAGTTCTTCCCCCATCAAACTAGGGGTCTCTAATGGCAGGAACCAGTCTCCCCTATCAGATGAAGCTCCCAAGCACAGGAGTCCTGTAACCTGGAAGACAATCATGTCATCTTCTCTTTACTTCTGCCTTTGCCTTCAGTGCCCAACTTAGGTCCAAGGGAAAGTGTAGGTATGGATCTTGTTCTCCTAACTACCCCGCACCTGGGCTGGGTGAAGGGGTGAGATTTGTTCCTGTGACTCCCTTTCAAAGCAGTTCTGATTTTTCCAGTCTGCCTGGGCCTCCAGGCTGCAGAGTGGACTGACTCGTGCTTAATGAAGCACATTCTCCATCTGTGGTCTGCCCCTCCTGGCAGCTCCAGCTGCCTGGGGCCTGGCTTTGGGGGAAGCAGTAAAGAAGTTCCTTCATCTCAGGCTGCCCCCCACTACAGACACACCAAGGGATCCACTCCCCCAGGCCAGCCCCACCCCACCCATGTTAGGCTAATGAGACCCAGACCCCACACCAGAGCTGTCCTGATTGGGTTGACCTATTTAATTAAAACAGCAGCTTCCAAAAACGGAGGTTCTGCTCCAAGGCTCTGCCCCTGGCCTCAAAGACAGACTCTGGCTGTCTCTGGCCAGCTTGGACTTTGGCACTCCTTCTCAGACCCCGACTTTCTTCTCTCCCTCCCTCCTTCCTTCTCCTCATTTTTCCAACATCTGTGTCCAGAAAGGAAGAAAAACCGTGTTTGGACTGGCCTCCTTCCATCAGTCATTTTTTTCCACTTTCAAACATCTTGTCTAAAGCAGAGTCAGTTACATAAACATTCCACCTCTTTCCATAAATTGGCCGCAGTTACTGAACAATAGCGTTACTGTGCAGGGGAAGAGGGAGCTCAAGGCCACACCCCACAAGTGCTGGTCCCCCAGCCAAATAGAACCAGAGACTCATTCTTTGAAAGAACCAAAGAGGAAATCCAGAATCTTCGGGCGAGACCTTTTCTGCTGTGCTTGGAGTGGTTCCTTTACCAAAGCCCCTCTCTGCTCTGCCCTCCCGGCAGCCATCTTCCATCTCTTAACTTCAAGCTGTTTGAACGGATGCCCAATTTCTGCTTTTTCCTTAACTGCCTGACAGTGTGTGTCACTGTGTGTCCCTGTCCTGAGGGCAGAGTGTGTGGATGATGGAGTTGGTGGTGGTGGTGATGTGTGCCTGTGTGTGTGTGCGTGTGTGTCTTTTGGCAAGATTTTTGGAGGCACGCCCTCAAGATTTTGTTGCCTTTTCTTAAATAGAAGCAGTTAGACCTCACTAATTCAGACCAGTTGGAGAAAAGTCCACAGGGGAAAAAAAGTCTGACTTAACAGAACACAGTTCTTCTTAGGCCCTCTCCCTTCTCCCAAGTGCATCCAGTTACTGGAACTGGACTAACCACATTGGCAGATACAGTTTTGCCAGACTTGCTCCGTGAATAGGTAAAGACCACTTTTTCCATTATCTTGAGTACCTAATTAAATGTGTGGGCCACTCAAGGTGTGAAAATGCGTTTTTTTTTCTTTTCATAGTAGGTCAGATATCTTCAACACTTATATAGTACTTGTCATTGGCTTAGTGAACTGTCTTCTTAGCCAGACTGTATGCTCTTTAAGGACAAGTTCTATATCTGAATCCATTCACTATCCAGTGCCTATTGTAGCTCCAAGCACATAGTAAGTGTGCAAAATAAATGTTGAATAATGGATGGATGGATGGATAAATGGATGGATAGATGAAATTAGTGAAGTGGGAATAGAGGGGTGGAGAAAGAGCCTTGGCAGGGGAAGTTTGAAGGAAGCTTCTATTGACCTCCTTCTGATGAGGAGCAGAAGTAGCAGAGAGCGATGTTAGAGCAAGAGCAAGTAACAGACAGCATTGCCATCAGCTCTCACAGCAAGTGGCAGGAGAAGGGGGAGGCAGAGATGGTTGGAGCTGGGGCTGGGGAAGTGAGTGGTAAAGCAGGAGTAGGAAGGCTATGATTGAATGGGGTTGGTGGGAAGATGTAATTGTGTGAATGGGTCTATGAGCAGCTCTGGTGCTAGAGGCAGATGTGGGTGTGGTAAAAAGAGATTGCTATGGGTAAACTAAGTTGAAAAGGTGCTGTATCAGTTAAGCTGCTTTTGGCTGCAAGTAATAGAAAATTTAGTTCAGTTGGCTTATACTAGTCATTCTCAACTGGGGGCAATTTTACTCCCCAGGGGACATTTCACAAGGTCTGAAGACATTTGTGGTTGTCACAACTGGGATGTGGGGGATAGTCATACTGGTATCTAGTGGGTAGTGGCCAGTGATGCTTCTCAACATACCACAATGCACAGGACCACACATAATGCACAGCTGCCCACAACAAAGTATTATGTGGCCCAAAGTGTCAGTGGTGATGTTGAGAAACCCTGGCTTAAACCAATAAGAAACAATTTATTGTTCCATACAATCAGCAGTTTCAAGGGTGGTCATTTTATGTGTTCATTGAGGAGGTGGGTTCTCCCCACCAGGAGCCTTTGCCTCTGCCATGTATTCGGCCTTTGTTCCCTCAGGGCCACAAGAGACTACAGTGGCTCCAAGTATCACATCCTCACCCAAGAGCATCTTCCTGTCCCTTTATAAAACTCAAATTCCTTTCATGTCTCACTAGCCTTGTGTTTCATGCCTATTCCTCAATCAATCCTGGGCGAGGGGATTGCCATGATTAATTTAATTGACATCCCTCACCCCTATCCCCACACTGACACTGGGGTGTGGAATGTGAAACATGAAGAAAATGTATATTCTGTTAAAAAGAAAATGTATCTTCTGGAGAAAGAAGAGGGTGCTGTGTGGTTCACAACAGGCTCTCCCCAGTGTATTGGGTTCATGAAACTGAGAAATGCAGTCCTGGGCCTCAAGGCTGGAACTTGCTGCTCTGTTACTCACTTTGGATTCACACCTTCGTTCATTCATTCCATAAGCAATAGATATTTACGGAATGCCTGTGCGTGGTGTAAGGGACATAACAGACATGTGGTTCCTGCCGACCTGGAGCTTTCAGTCTTGTAAGGGAGACACTAATCAAATAGTCTCATGGATGATGTGCAATTAAAGACAGAGACAGGCTGGGATTTAAAAGCACATGGAGCAGTGACAGTATATTACAGAAGACATTACAAAGAAGGTGAGGGAGAGTCAGGAAGGGTTTCCTTGGTTGAGCTAAGATCTGAAGAATGCATGAAAATTAGCTTGGTAAAAGACAGGGGGCAGAAGAGATTTCCCGAGAATAGTAACCATGTCTGCACATCCCTCTGTGGGGAGAAGCTCAGTGCAATCCAGGAACTGTCACAGTGGAGTGCAGAGCAGAGATCCAGGGGAGGACAGCAGGGATTTTGAGAGGTTAGGCAAGGGCCGAATCTCGTAGGGTTTGCTCATGTTAAGGATTTTTGTCTTGGTCTTACGAGCAAGGAAAATTCATTCAGGTGTCCCAAACAAGGATCTTTTTTTTTTTTAAGTGTTTAAAGTTTGTAATTCCTAGTAGGAAAACATTATCTGAACGAATACCCTAATGGCAAACCACTGTACATGCTTCAGCTGCACTGGGGGAGAGGGGTAGGGGATTATCTTCAAAGCACCCCAGCTCTCTTGATGAGAAGGTCAGAGGTACACTGGTTTGTATCATTGCGACATCCATAAGGTGATGTAGGTTGCTTTCCCTTCAGCAAGGGCTTTATTTATCAGAAGGACATTATGCTTGACCTCCAAATTTGGCTGACAATTTACTGATAAGATTCATAAACTTTGGGTTGTTCTGGTATTGTGACATATTTGCTAGGTGCTGAGCCACATCCTGGAAGGCTGCCATAACTTCTGGATCCTGCATGGCTGCAAGAACCTCTGGATGACCAAGAATTTCATTGATTCCAGGCATTCTGGCCATTCATTCCAGGCATGCCCCCTCCCATTCCAGGCATTCCTCCGGGAAAATTACCAGGCATTCCCCCAGGAAAGCCACCTGGAAAAGAGCCATACTGAGCTCCTGACTGTCGTCTGGCTTCTTCCTCCCTCTGGGCTCTCTCATGCTCTTCTCGAGCCTTCTTAACTCTTTCTATTCTTTCTTTGATCTCTCGCTCTTCACGTTTTCGCTCATACTTTCTCCAGTGTTCTGCAATTGTGCCCTAGGTTGAACTTCTTTTAGCATTGCACTAACATCTTCATCATAATCCAATTTACAGGCAAGAGCAAGATCATGGGCTGCTTCTTCTCAGTGGCCTATAAGTCTGTGTGCTTTCCCGCCGGGCGCGGTGGCTCACGCCTGTAATCCCAGCACTTAGGGAGGCCGAGATGGGCGGATCACGAGGTCAGGAGATCGAGACCATCCTGGCTAACATGGTGAAACCCCGTCTCTACTTAAAATACAAAAAATTAGCCGGGGGTAGTGGCCGGCGCCTGTAGTCCCAGCTACTTGGGAGGCTGAGGCAGGAGAATGGCATGAACCCGAGAGGCGGAGGTTGCAGTGAGCAGAGATTGCGCCACTGCACTCCAGCCTGGGCGACAAAGCGAGACTCTGTCTCAAACAAAACAAAACAAAACAAAAAACAAAAAAATTAGCCCGGGGTGATGGCGGGCGCCTGTAGTCTCAGCTATTCCGGAGGCTCAGGCAGGAGAATGGCGTGAACCCGGGAGGTGGAGCTTGCAGTGAGTCAAGATTGCGCCACTGCAC
Source organism: Homo sapiens (assembly GCF_000001405.40). NCBI lineage: Eukaryota > Metazoa > Chordata > Mammalia > Primates > Hominidae > Homo > Homo sapiens. The sequence continues at coordinate 46,351 of NW_011332687.1, forward strand.
TCCAGCCTGGGCTACAGAGCAAGACTCCGTCTCAAAAAAAAAAAAAAAAAAAAAAGAAGTTTGTGTGCTTTCCCTCGCCACTTGTAAGGCTGAGCTGAATCGGGATTTATTTCAATGGCTCTGTCACAGTCTCAGATGGCAGCATTTGGCTTCTGTAATTTGACGAAGACACTGGCCCTCTTGGCATACAAAATGGCCAAGCAAGGATTCAGCTTGATGGCATCTGTGAATAAGTCAATGGCTTTCTGCAGTTTACCATCATTTAGGGCTCAATGGCAGCCACTTTCTTATCATTTGCCTGATCCCTCATCTCCTCTGTTATCTCTGCATTTTCATCTCCCATTTCTTGAGGGGCATCAGTGTCTGGTTCAATCACACCTTCATTATCAATTTCTAGATCACTTTCCTCACTTGGTTCGTCTGCCTTTAAGTCTTCCTCCACCTTCTTACTATCAGGTTTTTCTTCCTTGGTATTTTCTTCTGATTTAGCTTTCTGAGTAGCAGGTGGTACTTTACCCGCCATGCTCTCCACCCACTCTCTCAGGAAGCGCATTTCCTTGGTGTATGGAACACTCAGATCCTGTTTACACATTTTCACAAAGGCCCGAAGTTCATTCGCTTTGTGGGGGTCCGTGGTCCGGAGGCGGTCGGCGAAGCTGAGGGGCTGCAGCCCGGTTCCAGGCTCTGGCTCCGCGTGACCGCGCAGAAACGGGCTTTTTTTTTCTTTTTTTGAAACAGAGTCTCGCTCTATCACTCAGGCTGGAGTGCAATGGTGCGATCTCGGCTCACTGCAGCCTCCACCTCCTGGGTTCAAGAGAGTCTCCTGCCTCAGCCTCCCGAGTAGCTGGGATTACAGGCACAGGCCACCACGCCCAGCTAATTTCCAAATAAGGATCATTTTGATTGCAGTGTGAAGAACAAAGTGGAGAGAAGCAGGCTAGATTTGGGAAGACAAGAAACTACTGCAGGGGTGCAAGCAGGTGAGGTGGGATGGTGGGTTGGATCAGGGCGAAGGTGGGAATGTAGAGAGGTTGTGAGATTTAAGATACATTTGGCCAGACACCGTGGCTCAGGCCTGGAGTCCCAGTACTTCGGGAGGCCAAGGCAGGTAGACTGCTTGAGGCCAGGAGTTTGAGACCAGCCTGGCCAACATGGCAAAACCCTGTCTCTACTAAAAATACAAAAATTAGCCAGGTGTGGTGGCACGTGCTGTAATCCCAGCTCCTCAGGAGGCTGAGGCAGGAGAATTGCTTGAACCTGGGAGGTGAAGATTGCAGTGAGCTGAGATCATGCCACTGTACTCCAGCCTGGGAGACAGAGCAAGACTCTGTCTCAAAAAAAAAAAAAAAAAAAAAAAAAAAGAGAGACATTTAAAAGGTAAAATTGACCAAATTTATTGATGGATTTCTTGTGGACCAGTGGGGAAAAGAAAGGGTTAAGGACGGATTCCTAAATTTCTGGATTCAGAAAATGGTTGGAAGGTAGAGCCATTTATTAAGAAAGAAAACAGTGGAAAAGGATCAGAACTCTGGGAAAATTAGAGTTCAGTTTTCGTCGTGGTGAGATCACAGCTCCCTTGAGACATCCAAGTGGAGATGCTGAGCAGGCAATTCGATATATGGATCCAGAGATCAAAGGAGAAGACTGCGTTGAAAATATACATTTAGAGAATATCGGCATACAGATGGTATAGTGGGTGTCTATCACCAAGTAACAAATTACCTCAACACTTGGTGACTTCAAACAACAGCCATTTATTATCTCTTACGGTTTTGTTGTATTGAGACTTTGGACAGTGCATGGAGGGGATGACTTTGTTCTACAGTGTCTGAGGTCTCAGCTGGGAGACTCAATGGCTGGGACCTGAAACTATGTATATTTTTTTCTTTCTTTTATTTTATTTATTTATTTATTTATTTTTATTATTATTTTTTTTTTGAGACAGAGTCTCACTCTGTCGCCCAGGCTGGAGTGCAGTGGTGCGATCTCGGCTCACTGCAAGCTCCACCTCCTGGGATCAAGTGATTGGTTCTTCAGCCTCAGCCTCCCGAGTAGCTGGGACTACAGGTGCCCGCCAGCATACCCAGCTAATTTTTTGTGTTTTTAGTAGAGACGGGGTTTCACCATATTGGCTAGGCTGGTCTTGAACTCTTGACCTCGTGATCTGCCCACCTTGGCCTCCCGAAGTGCTGGGATTACAGGCGTGAGCCACCACGCCTGGCCTATATGATATTAATGTTGGCTGCTGGCTGAGAGCTTAGCTAGAGTCGTTGGCTGCCAACACCCACATATGGCCTCTCTACGTGGCCTGGGCTTCCTCAGCACAGGATGGATTGCTTCTAAAATCAAGAAACCCAAGAGAGAGATCCAAGTGGAAACTGAATTCTTCAAATGACCTAACCTCTGAATTCATACAGCGTTACTTCCATTTGACCAAAGAAGTCATAAGCTGCCAGGAAGATTCAAGGGGAGGAAACTTAGACCCTACTTCTTGGTGGAAGAGTGTCAGTTATGTTTTAAGAGGAGTATGTGGGATGGGATAAATATATAGGTGTGACCATTCTTGGACAATACTATGAGCCACAGATGGTGGTAACAAATAAGGTGTCCCAAACAAAAACAATATGGATGAGAAGAGGAGAGTGTCTAGGATGGAGATTTGGAGTTATCTTACATTATAAAGAAGAAGAGTCTAAAAAAAAAAGGCAGAGAAGAAGCAGACAGGGAGTAGAAGGAAAACCAGAGAGCATGGCGTCGCAGAAGCCACGGAAAGAAAGTTCACTCATTTATTCACTGAGTATTTATCAGGCACCTACTGTATTTATCAGGCACTTATACCAGACTGTTCTAGGTTCTGGGACTGTACTAATGAATGCAAAATTCCTTGACTTCATGATTATTACATTCTAGAAGAGAACTATCCAGTTAGTTGAAGACTGAAAAAAAAATGTGCCTTGGACATAGTCACTTGAAGGTCAATGGTGATCTTCATGAAAATGGCTTTTATAAGAAATGGGGACCAAGCATGATGGCTCATGCCTATAATCCCAGCACTTTGGGAGGCTGAGGCAGGAGGACTGCTTGAGCCCAGGAGTTTGAGATCAGTCTGGGCAACATAGCAAGACCACATCTCTATAAAAAGTAACAAAAAATTAGCCAGGCATGGTGACGTGTGCCTGTGGTCCCAGCTAGTTGGGAGGCTGAAGCAGGAGGATAGCTTGAGTCTTGGAGGTCGAGGCCATAGTGAGCAGAGATCATGCCACTGCACTCCAGCCTGGATGACAAAGTGAGACCCTGTCTCAAGAAAAGAAAAGAAATGGAACAGAAGCCAGATTGGGTGGGTTGAGGAATCAATTGGAGATGGGGAGTATAAAAAATGGATTGGGGAGGTAAAGGCAGCTATGGGGCTCTGAGGATAAAGACAAAACCCCTGACAGGGCATTTCCACTTCTCTGTAGCATGTCCTATTATCAGGCTGCATTGGAAGGGGCTGAAGCCCCACTGTGACTGGCAAGGGACCTGCATCATTTTTTTCTGCGCTCCGCTCAGCATTGTTCAGGAGTAACCAAGAATGTGCTGCCTTGTGCAGTTCCAGCCTCCAACCCTTAGTCACAGCTCTGTCATCTCCTGCACCTTCATGGATTCTTTCCTGGATTGTTTCTTTGTTGCTGCTAAACTCCGTCCTGAGCTTGCAGCCCAGATTCTAGCCACGTTGATCTCCTCACAAGCTATGCCTGAACTCCCCTCCTTCCTTCTATCTATCCCTTTCACTATTTGAGTTCACTTCAAAACTCCTTCTCCATGAAGAAGGACCCACGCCAGCCCTCATGGATGCTCTTACCCACTGAAGGCTGCACTGAGCTCAGCTCTGCACCATGCACGGTTCTGGCTGGCCTGTGATGTTTGCGTCTTAATCTCCCACACCACAGGTAACTTATTTGAAAGCAGACCAGGGTGGAGATGTTTCCTATGTCTTTACAGTGTCCCCGAGGCAAGCTCGATATTGGACTAAGTAAATAGCAGGGGCCCAATATCTGTTGCATCTGTTGAATGACTTGATGCAGAGCCTACCTGAGCCCTCCCACACTTGCCCCAGACGACCTGCTCTGTGAGCCTGTAGCAGTAGCTGAATACAGGATAGGAATGGGGGCTGCTTTTCTCAAGACTCTGCTTGCAGAGCTCCTGGGGAATAAACAGCAGGAGAGGCCCTCTCTCTACTCAAGAATCTGAGTTCAATCTGGGGATAGAGGAAGAGGGTTATAGTTCCCCATCCCCATAAGCACCCCCAGATAAATCAAAGAGAACACACCAGCCCACAGCAGTAGCTGAACAAGCCCATTTAGGTATGGCAAATAGATAACAGAATAAAAGACTGACTGAGGCAGGATGATCTTCTCTGGTAGAGTTTTATCCAAGTGAAAGGTCTTAAGCTTGATGTGGGAGACATACAAATGCCACTTGTTAGCCATACCACCTTGTACAAATCACATAAACCCCTCTGAGCCTCCGTTTCCCAACCTTTTTTTTTTTTAGAAGCTGAGTCTTGCTATGTTACCTTGGCTGGACTAGTGGTGGACTCACTGCAGCCTCAAAATCCTAGGCTAAAGGGATCCTCCTGCTCAGCCTCCTGAGTCACTGGATTACAGACATGAGCCACCGTGTCCAGCTCCCAAGTTTTCTAATCTTTAAAATTGGAATAATAATACCCACCACAGGCTGGACATGGCGGCTCACACCTGTAATCCCAGCACTTTGGGAGGCTGAGGAGAGAGGATTGCTTGAGCCCAGGAGTTTGAGATCAGCCTAGGGAACAAAGCGAGACTCTGTCTCTACAAATAATAATAATAATAATAATACCTACCACATAGAATTGCTAGGAGAAGTAAATGAGATAATGTACAGTTGGTCCTGTTAGTTGTGACCTCTGTATTTGCAAATTTGCCTACTCACAAAAATGTATTTGTAACCCTCAAATCAATATTTACAATGTTTTTGGGGTCATTTGCAGACATGCACAGAGCAGCAGAAATTCAAATCACGTTCCCAGCTGAGGCTGGATAAGGCATGCTCTTCCTTCTTCTTTCAGCCCTCATGCTGTAAACAAATGCCCTTTTTGCAGTCTATTTAGTGCCATGGTTTTGGCATTTTTTGTGCTTTTTCTTGGTGATTTCACTGTCTAAAATGGTCCCCAAGCATAGCACTGAAGTGGTGTCTCCTGCTCCTAAGCACAAGAAGACTGTGATGAGATTTACTGAGAAAAGAAGTCTGTTAGATAAGCTTTGTTCAGGCCGAAATGATAGTGTTGTGGGCTGTGAGTTCAATGTTAATGAATCAATGATACATACTTCATAGAAGCTCATAAAACAAGGCTATGTATTGATTGGTTAATGAAAATGTTCTGACCAGAGGTTCGAGGTCTGCAGTGATTTTGTAGGGCGTAAGTACCCTAAGTAATGAGAATGGGCAGTATGTAGAAGTGCCTATATAGTGCATGGTGTAGACGAGACGCATTGAGAAGTGCTGACTCCTGAACTTGGTGAGAAGATGGCAGAAAGCACTCCAAGCAGTTTCTTTCCATGGTTGTTTGTGCTTTGCCGGGAATTTGGATCCTGTAAGAGTCAAACAATTTTTGCTCATAAGTTTCTGTCCCTTTGCATCCATTGAGGTACAGAGTTAAAAAAAAAAAAAAAAGTTTCTGTCTTATTTCTCTTGTATCCTGTGGGCGACTCATGTTTCTGCCCCAGACAGGGAGCTTAGGCAGGGGCTGAGTCTCCAAAAGGACTATGTCTCTTGCCTTCTTTGTGTTTTCTACCCTCCTTCTTGTTTGACACCCAGAGGTCCCAACTATCTTGTGTTTCAGTGGTTACTCTCACTGTGGTTCATCCTGGGGTGGGTGGAGGAGCAAAAGCCCTGTCTGGATCCCCGTTCCCCTGCAGGGTGACAGAGAAGTCTCTAAGCCCCGGCCATGGGGGAAAATGTGGGGGCGGGGGAAGGGGGACCCTGACCACCAGCTTTCCCCCCATAGGAAAGGCCCTCCCCTATTGGGCTACTGTCTTTTCCCAGGTGGGGACGAAAGCAGCAAGAACTAAGAAAAAGGAGTAGAGGTTTTCTCCACACATGGGTCTGATTAGACTCTCATTCCTGAGGCTCTCTGGGCTTGAACACTTTCTCTCCAGGAAGCCAGACAGCCAGTTAGAGAAAATCTGCAAACCTGCACTGAGGCCAGGCTTCAGGAGGCAGCCCCGGGTGGGATGGAAGGGACGGGAGGGCTGTGGGCACTTGATCTTTATCACAGCCCTCAGCCTCCCGGCCTCCTGCCAGCTCCCATAGCCCCTGGCCAGGATCCTCCAAGAATTCAGAGCCTGAGGATTGTGTTACCTTCTGAATTCCATTAGCACAGGCCAGCTGGGGGCGGGGATGGGGGCTGGCTAGGGCTTACCTGAGGAGTCGTTTGGTGCCAAGCAGGCGCCTTGGGTCACTTGTTTCTGCCTTTCCAGCTTTGATTCCCCCTTTGCCTTCATTCTCTCACGTTCTCTGCAGGGAAGGACATGAATTGTGTATATGTTAATATAAACAAAAAAAGATAGGGGTTTTTCAGATGTTCATAGGGAAGAGAAGTTAACGATGATACTAATAATAGCAAAACTGTGTGCCAGACACTGTTCTAATTGCTTATATGTATACAGTCCTGCATTGTTTAACAAAGGGGATATGTTCTGAGAAATGTGTCATTAGGCGATTTCATTGTTAGGCGATTTCACCATTGTGTAAACATCATAGAGTGTACTTGCACAAACCTAGATGGTAGAGCCTACTACACACCTAGGGTGCATGGTATAGCCTATCTCTCTTAGGCTACAAACCTGTACAGAATGTTACTGTACTGAATACCATAGGCGATTGTAACATAGGCAATGGTAAGCTCTAGAATGCCACAGGCAATTGTAAGTGTTTTTTGTATGTAAACTTATCTAAACATAGAAAAGGCATAGTAAAAATACAGTATAAAAGATAAATGATGGTAGACTTGTATAGGGTACTCACTGTGAAAGGAGCTTGCAGGACTGGAAGTTGCTCTGGGTGAGTCAGTGAACGAGTGGTGAGTGAATGTGAGGGCCTAAGACTGTGCACTACTGTAGACTTTATAAGCACTGTACACCTAGGTTGCAATAAATTTATAAACAATATTTTTCTTTCATCAATAACAAATTAACCTTAGCTTGCTGTAACTTTTTTACCTAATAAACTTTGAAAAATTTTAAAACCTTTTTGACTCCTTTGTATTAACACTTAGCTTAAAACACACATTGTACGGCTATACACAAATTTTTCTTTGTATATTTGTTTCCTTATGTCATTATTCTATATGCTTTTTTCTATTTTTATATAACTTTTTTGTTAAAAACTAAAACACAAACATACACATTAGCCTAGGTCTACACAGGGTCAAGAACCACCTCCATATCTTGTCCAACTGGAAAGTTTTTTGTTTTTGTTTTTTTTGTTTGTTTGTTTGTTTTTTGAGACAGAGTTTTGCCCTGTTGCCCAGGCTGGAGTGCAGTGGTGTGACCTCAGCTCACTGCAACCTCTGCCTCCCAGGCTCAGGCAATCCTCCCACATCAACCTCCCAAGTAGCTGGGACTACAGGCCTGTGCCACCACACTGGCCTAATTTTTGTGTAATTTGTAGAGATAGGTGTCTCACCATGTTGCTCAGGCTGGTCTCAAATTCCTGGGCTCAAACAATCCACCCACCTTGGCCTCCCAAAGTGCCAGGATTATAGGCATAAGCCACCACGCCCGGCCCCATTGGAAGGTCTTTGGGGGCAATAGTTGTCTCCTGTGATAACAATGCCTTCTTCTGTAATATCTCCTGAAGGACCTCCCTAAGGCTGTTTTACAGTTAGCTATTTTAAAATAAGTATAAGGTGCATACTCTAAAATAATGATAAATAGTATCGTAAATACATAAACCACTAACATAGTTGTTTATTATCATTATCAGTTATTATGTATTGTACATCGTTGTATGCTTTTATACTAGTAGGTTTGTTTACACCAGCACATGAGTAATGCATTGCGCTACAATGTTACATCGGCTACCATGTCACTAAGTGATAGGAATTTTTCATCTCCATTATAATCTTATGGGACTACCCTCATATATATGGGTGGGTCATATATCCTTGACCAAAACATCATTCTTTATGTGGTGCATGACTCTATTAGCACATTTAAAAATCAAAATATCTCTATTTTACAGATGAGGAGATTGAGGCAGAACTGTGTTGGACTACAGTTTCTTCATAACCTTAAAGAAGTTAGACAAAATGAATCTAAAGTAACTTCCGGCAGAGCGCGGCCGAATGATCTCCGCTCACTGCAATGCTAGGCTCATGCTTGTAATCCTAGCACTTTGGGAGGCTTAGGCAGGCGGATCCCTTGAGCCCAGGAGTTCAAGAGAGCCCAGGAGTTCGAGACCAGCCTGGGCAACATGGCGAAACCCCATCTCTACCAAAAACACAAAGATTAGCCAGCCATGATGGCGAATGCCTGTAGTCCCAACTACTTGGGAGGCTGAGGTGAAAGGATTGCTTGAGTCTGGGAGGCGGGTATTGCAGTGAGCTGAGATGACACCACTGCACTCCAGACTGGACAACAAGCCAGATCCTGTCTCAAAAAAAAAAAAAAAGAGTAACTTTCATGTTCATTTTTCATTTGTTTTTCTTTTTCTTGGTCTCTTTCCATAACAAGAAGGAGGAAAAGGAAACAGAAAGAAGAATTTATTTAATCTTTACTACACTGGGCTCTATAACAATGGCAGCAAACTGTGTTTTCAAGAGCCAGAAAGTAAATATTTTAGGCTTTGTGATCCATACAATGTCTGTCATAACTATTCAGCTCTGTCATTGTAGCACCAAAGCAGCCAGATACAATATGTGGACCAGCCTGTGTAGCTGTACTTCAATAAAACTTCACTTAACTAAACAGGCAGAGGGCTGGATTTGGCCCTCTGACCTGTTGCTTTATAAGATTACCCAGGCAGGGGTCCTGCCCTCAGAAAGCTCACCTTCTGCTCCAGGCTTCACTGTGAGATATATGAAGGTGACTGACATATTCCATTTGTTCGTGCAAAACTACATATACATGTGGACACACACACATGCTCATACACACATGCACATAGTGTTCCCCAGCTTTACATGTATTTACACACACCACAGGCCTCTTTTACACATTGCCTGGTGGTTTACATCTCCAAAAGGAATAGTCCTGCTGGGCATTCACGATGTTCTAAGCCCTATGATCAGTGATTTTCATGTTTTCTCAGGTCACCCTTCCCACAGTTTCGTCCATAGGAATTTTGGTCCCTGTATTAGTTTGTTAGGGCTACCATAACAGAGTACCACAAACTGGGTGGATTAAACAACAGAAATGTATTTTCTCACAATTCTGGAGGCTAGAAGCTTGAGAACAAGTTGTCAGTAGGAGCCAGGCGTGGTGGCTCATACCTGTAATTCCAGCACTTTGGGAGGCGAAGGTGGGGAAATCATTTGAGCCCAGGAATTCGAGACGAGCCTGGGCAGCAAAGTGAGACCCTGCCTCTACAAAAACATTTTAAAAATTGTCTGGGTGTGGTGGTCTGCACCTGTAGTCCCAGCTACTTGGGAGGCTGAGGTGGGAGGATCACTTGAGCCCAGGAGTTTGAGGCCACAGTGAGCTACGATCACACCACTGTATTCCAGCCTGGGCAACAGAGTGAAACTCCATCTTAAAATAACTAACTAAACAAGGCTGGGTGCAGTGGCTCATGCCTGTAATTCCAGCACTTTGAAAGGCTGAGGTGGGTGAATTCACTTAAGCCCAGGAGTTCAAGACCAGCCTGGCAAACATGGTGAAAACCCATCTCTCCTAAAAATACAAAAATTAGGCCAGTGTGGTTGCACACGCCTGTAGTTCCAGCTACTTGGGAGGCTGAGGCAGGAGGATCACTTGATCCTGGGAGGCAGACGTTGCAGTGATCTGATGGAGTGAGACCCTGTCTCAATAAATATAAATTAATTAATTAATTAATTAATGGTGTCAGCAGGGTTGGATTCTCCTGAGGTTTCTCTTCTTGGCTTGTGGATGGCCTTTTCCTCTTTGTATCTTCATATGGTTTTCTCTCTCTGTGTCTGCTATGGTCTGAATGTTTGTGTTTCCCCAAAATTCATGTTCCTATCCTAATCCCCAGTGTGATGGTATTAGGATGTAGGGCTTTTAGGAGGTGATTAAGTCACGAGGGCAGAGCCCTCGTGAATGGAATTAGTTCCCTTATACAAGAAACCCCATCCCTTCCACCATATGAAGACACAGCAAGAAGGTGCCATCTATGGTGAAAGGGACCTCACCAGACACTGAATTTTCTGGAGACTTGATCATGGACTTCCTACCCTCCAGAACTGTGAGAAATAAATATTTGATCTCGATAAGCCACCTAGCCTTGTGGTATTTTGTTATAGCAGCCCAAACGGACTGAGACAGTGTCTGTGTCCTTATCTCCTTTTGTTATAAGGACACCTGTCATGTTGCATTAGGGCCTACCCATATGATCTCATTTTAAATGACCCTTTTAAAGACCCTGTCTCCAAATGGTGCCATTCTAAGGTACTGGGGGACAGGGCCGCAACACATAAATTTCTGGGGGATACGAGTCAACCCACAACAATCCCATTTACAGAAAAGATAACAGAAAAGACACTGAGAGGCCAAGTAATTGGCCCATGGTCACAGAGCAATTTGATTGCCTGACTTCAAAGCCCATGTTGCTGCATGTATTAGTAGTTCATTCCTGTTTATTGTTGAGTAGTATTCTATTGGATGCATACATTATGTTTTCTTCTTATGCATTAATTTTTTTAATTTTTTTTATTTTTTGGAGATGGAGTTTCACTCTTGTCATCCAGGCTGGAGTGCAATGGTCTGATCTCAGCTCACTGCAACCTTTGCCTCCCAGGTTCAAGCAATTCTCCTGCCTCAGCCTCCCAAGTACCTGGGATTACAGGTATGCACCACCACATCCGGATAATTTTTGTATCATTAGTAGAGATGGGGTTTCACCATGTAGGCCAGGCTGGTCTTGAACTCCTGACTTCAGGTGATCCACCCGCCTCAGCCACCCAAAGTGCTGGGATTACTGGTGTGCACCACCTTGCGCCCAGCCATGCATTTTTAAATTGATGAACATTTATGTTATTTCCAGACTATTAGGAATAAAGTCACTGTGAGCATTATTATACCAGTCTTTTTGTGGCTGTAACTCTAATTTCTCTTGCCTAAATACCTAGGAGTCTAATTGCTGAGTGATAGAATAGGTGAAACATTTAACTTTGTAAGAAACTGCCAAACAGTTTTCCAAAGTGCTTATTCTATTTTCACTTTTATCAGCAATGTATGAGATATCTGGTTGTTCCTTGTCATCATCAACATGGAGTTGTTTTTCCCTTTGCTATTGAGTTGGAGTTCGTGTGTGTGTGTGTGTGTGTGTGTGTGTGTGTGTGTGTGTGTGTGTGTGATCCTTTGTTGAAGAGATTGATTTCCGGTATGATGATTTGGGAAGCTCCAGTGAAAATGATGAAAATCACTTTTTTAAAACCCCAAACACTTAAAGGCTCTGGAAACATGCCTAAGGGCATACAGCAAATGAAGAAATATCTATTAAAGAAAATCTACAAATATCTGGTAAGAAAAATGATAATCTATTGTATATGAACAATTGTTTCTTTGTAGAAATTGACAAGCGAATTCTCAAATTCATAAGGATTTGCAGAGGACCCAGAATAGCTATAACAATCTTGAGAAAGAATCTTGGCTGGGTGTGGTGGCTCACACCTGTAATCCCAGCACTTTGAGAGACTGAGGTGGGCGGGTCAAAAAAAAAAAATACAGGTCACAAAGACTTTGCTGCTAAAACAGGCTGCGGTAAAGAATCCAGGCAAAACCCACCAAAACCAAGAGGGCAATAAAAGTGACCTCTGGTTGTCCTCATTGCTCATTATACGCTAATTATAATGCATTTTAATGCTAAAAGACACTCCTCCCAGCACCATAACAGTTTACAAATGCCATGGCAACATCAGGAAGTTACCCTATATGGTCTAAAAAGGGTAGAAACCTTCAGTTTTGGGATTTGCCTACCCCTTTCCCTGAAAACTCATGAATAATCCACCCCTTGTTTAGCATATAATCAAGAAATAACCATAAAAATAGCCAACCAGCAGCTCTCAGGGCTTCTCTGCCTATGGAGTAGCCATTCTTTATTCCTTTATTTTCCTAATCAACTTGCTTTCACTTTACTCTATGGATTTGCCTCGAATTGTTTCTTGCACAAGATCCAAGAATGCTCTCTTGGGGTCTAGATCAGGACCCCTTTCCTGTAACACAGGATAAGTGCTCTCCCCTCTCTCTGTGGGACGAGGGCCCACTGAGTACTTTTCCTAGAGGGAGGTAAGGAAACAAAGGATTTTCCTTAGGGAAATGGCCCAAACACCTTGTGGGCCATAACCAAACGTTGGTAAGTACACTCTGATGGTACTTATAGAACCTGACACAGGGTTTCACTAGCTAAGGAATTATTTTGGTTCCACCCATAGTGGAAACAATAGAAGTAACCCTGTTGTGATTGGCAGTCCCAAGGGGGCCTTGTGTCTTTGGATGGAATTTATAGATGGCTCTTTGCTGACCAGAGTTCATCATAATGGGTAGGGGAAGGGCTGAGTGCATAAGACTGGCGTTGGTTGAGTCTTTGAACCAGTAAAATGGCTCCCTTTAGATGTGGGAGCCTGACAACCAAAATTAGTGACTGAAGCATAAGTTTCAAATCATCAAGGTTTATTAAGCCAGCTTGAGGGTGCGCCCAGGAAAAATGAGAGTCACAGACACATCTGCAGCTCTTTTTTTCCAAAGAGGTTCTCAGGAGGTTTGATATTTATACATTTTCCTTAAAAAAGGAATGGGAGCAGTGAGAGGAATTACTACATATTTGTCAGACTTTAGTTAGTGCCCAGGAAATCTACATTTTACATAATAAAAGGTGAACATTTGAAGAGAAGAGGAATAGAGGAAGCAGATGTCTCAGAGAAGGGTGAAGAAGCGACTAATCTCATCTCGTCTTTGTTCTATACCTGGGAAGATAAGTTAGTCATTGACATTATCAGCGTGGAGTCTTTCGAAAGAGCTGGTTTCTGTGTAGCCCTTAGGGAAGAAAGCCTAATGGCAGTTATCAAGGGAGCAGATGTAATGAGGTATGTCCAACCTTCTATAGCATCATGGCCAGGACTTAGCTTCCAAGGTTTCTCTGGGGTCCCCTTGGCCAAGAGGGGATCACTTCAGTCAGCTAGGGCCTTGGAATTTTATTTTTTATTTCTCAGGTCTCAGTAAGGCAACCTGGGGAAGAGTCATTCCCCACCTGGGGATTCTTGAAGACACATGTTAGATATAAATGAGGCTTGGTGAGAAGGGGGGATGACAGGAGTCTTGGGGACCTGCCTGGGTATCATCTTTCCTACTCTGAACTTGTCCGTGTGAGGAAGCACCCAAGGACCAACACGGAGATGATATCTGCCTTTAGGTCCCTCAGCCCAGATCCACGGTGGAGGCAGAATTAATTAAGGTGTGAGTTGGTGACTCCCTCCCCGCATTTCCCCATCATCCTGTCTCTCCTTTGCCCAAGACAAAGCCCTCTTTTAAAGGCTAGGAGCTTCTGCTACTATGAGAATGTGAGAGGAGAAAGGAAGAAACCAGTCAGGCAGGCAGTTAGGGTGGGTCCTCAGTTAAATTCTTTCAAACAAAAGAACAGCCTGAAAAATCAAGCTGCAGGCAAAGATGAGGAAATTTGCACAGGGGGTCGTGCCTAAGACATTCCCACAGCTGCACAGATAAGAACAACTGCACAGGTGACTTGCCCAGATGTGCTTGCAATGGAAAATTCCGTCCTTTAACACATATGCGTAAGGGGAACAAAACAATATGGAGTAACTCAAGCTAAGGGCTCCCATGCGCATTAGGAGAATGAGGTGGAGCTACCAGAAATTTGTGCCTTATGTACATGAGAGGCCTAGCCCTTATCAGTTTCTTATAAAAGGCTTTATATTCAACTATAAAAATGGCAACCCATTCGGGACCCCTCTCTGCTGTGGAGAGCTTTCTTCTTTCGCTTATTAAACTTTCACTCCAACTTCATCCTTTGTGTTCATGCTCCTTAATTCTCTTGGTTGTGAGACAAAGAACTTGGGGTGATACCTCACAATGAGAGACTGCTACATTGTGGTACATTGCTGAGACTGTAACAAAAGCAGCCTTTGCTTACTACATATTTCATCAAGAGGAACTTACATATTTATTATAAGGTTTTTACTTTTAAGGACTGAATCCCAGTATCATGTCTCTGCTCAGTGCTACAGGAAAGCAAGTGGCATCCAGGCAGAGCCTGTGGAGATCTATCACTGTGGGGCCAATTTAACCTGCAGTAAAGAGGCTTGTGCATTTGAGCTTTATAGTAACAGCCTTCAAATGCTAGTTCCATGTCCATGGAACACAAATGACCATGTGTCTGAGAAAGAGTTTGGGCATGCAATGTAGCAGCTTCATGTGAGGAATTGTATTTGTCAAACTAAGGCAGCCTAAACTGTTGGAACTTATGCTTGATTTAAGGGAGTTGATGATGTAGGCAGGGGAGACAACCCAGAGAGCTCATCTGCAGTCCACAGACCTCCTAAAGAATCCATAAGTGGAGCTCTGTCTCAATATAATTGGTTTCCTAGGTAATCCTATACATTTTATCTTATGTATTTAAAGACACTATTCAGAGAAGGGGTCCATAGGCTTTACTAGTTTGTCAAAGTCATCTATGGCACCAAAAAGACTCAAAGAATAAGAACCTAGTACCTCTCTCTCCTTTCTCCTCTCTTTTCCCTTTTCTTTTCTCCATCTCCTTTCTCAGTTTTTATAGCAGGGCAATTATAAGACAAAAAAGCCCGCTGTTACTAACACTGATCCCTCTTCACAGCATACTTTTGATATGTTTGTTTAAAAATCTACATTCCTATCAGGAGAGGAGTGGGGAAAGACAAAGGAGATGACCTAATTTTTAGTTTCTAGTGAGGAAGGGATCCATTGTGTGGTTTATTTATACCCAGTTCCCTCCAGAAAAGCCTTGGGACAAATATAAACATTTCAACATATGTAAACCTATGTTTTAGGCATTAAACAGCAGGAGAGAGAGCAGGGAGTGATCCTGGGGTGCTTGCACAGACCTTGCTCAGCTGTGGAAATCAGCATTAGCATTTGGCTCTATTCCAAAAAGCTCCTTCATCACCTTCAGAGCATATCTCAGAATCTAATAATAATTTAAGTGAGTATTTTTGTCAAACTTTAAAAGCTTGGCACGTTCTGTCCTTTAATATCTTCCCTCAGAAAAGGAAAGCTGCTTAATAAGTCTCAATGGCAATGGATGGAATCATTAATCAAGAGGAAGAAAGTTTTTTTTAATAGTCATTTGACTTAATTCATCTTAATTTGTCTCCAAAATATTTTCCTAGGGAGGAATTGGACAATTCAAGTCTTTTTTGGTCATCAGCATTGATAAGGCTTTGGTCCTCAGGTAGTAGTGGGGTCATTGTAGGAAAGTTCCAGCTTCCAATTCTTTATGTAGTTTGGTTTTTTTGAATGTTGGTCAAAAACAAGATGGTGCAACTTTATCAGACGTTTTCAGAAATCATTAGGAATAAAAATTCCATTACGATCCCAAAATATGTATTAGTCCTATAGCAGACACAATTCATTGCCCACTCCCCATAGTCATTTTTCCTTCCCTTTCCCTCCATTCCTTTCCCTGGGCACATGACTACCCAGCTAAAGACCACATTTCCAGCCTCTTTTGCAGCACAAGATGGACACATAACTAAGTCTTGGCCAGTGAGATGTGAGCAGAAGTGGTACGTGTACTTTCTAGGTCATTCCTTTAGCAAAAGAATGTGTCCACTCTCACCTTTCTTCCCTTCCCATGAGCTGGAAGGTAGGAGTTATGGCAGGAGCTGGAGTAGACTGGGAGGTGAAGCCACATGCTGAGAATGGCATGGCAACAAGGTAGAAGAAACCTGTCTGTCCTACAAGATAGAAGAAGCCTAGATCTCCAACACTACAGAACCACCATACCAACCCTGAACCATCTACTCATTCTTTTATGTAAGAGAAATATGCTTTGTTAGAGACACCATTATTTTGGCCTTTGGTATAGTAGCTAAATCTGTACCCTAACCCATGTTGATCTCAGTCACACTTCTTCTTACTCCTAGTTACTCTTATTCTCTTCTGGGCTCCATTTCATTTTGCCAGCCAACCTCTGACATTTTGCTATCATGATACATTGCCAAAGCTGTTGCAGGTGAGCAGGGAGTACCTGGGCCAGCGGTGCAGGGGTAAAATAATTTACCAAGACAGTTGTAGACAAAAACAAAAGGCAGATTTATTAGAGAAAGTAGGAAAATACGTTGCAAGGAGGCAATGGGCAGCCAGCAGAAGAGAAGCTAACCGCCAGGAAACAGGCTTGCTGGAGATTCTATAGAAGAGTGTTTATGCTGTCTGTTGAAGAGGGCTTTGTGCAGTTCTGATAACACCAAGGTTGCAGTGAGCTATAATAGCTTGCAGGTGTCTGGTGATAGTTGGATGCAGGAAGATTGTGAGTTATTTGTGCAGGAGGGCTATGTGTCCTGGACCATGAAGAAAGGAAGACTTGTAGTTTATCTGCTTTCTTTTTTTTTCTTTTTTTTTTCTTTGAGATGGAGCCTTGCTCTGTTGCCCAGGCTGGAGTGTAGTGGCATGATCTCAGCTCACTGCAACCTCTGCCTCCCAGGTTCAAGCAATTCTCCTGTCTCAGCCTCCTGAGTAGCTGGGATTACAGGCACACACCATGACGCCTGGCTGATTTTTGTATTTTTAGTAGAGACAGGGTTCACCATATTGGTCAGGCTGGTCTCGAACTCCTGACCTCAGGTGATCCATCTGCCTCGGCTTCCTGAAGTGCTGGAATTACAGGCGTGAGCCACCACACCCGGCCGTTTATCTGCTTTCTCTCTTTGCTTTCCCTTGGTCCTGCCAGCCTAACTCTGTTTCTCTAATTAGGACTCCACAAAAGCTTCCTCAGTCACTCGCCCTTCCTGCAGCTTATATGACTTCCTCATCCAATCACCACTCCACATCTCATTCTCAATTCTCCACCATGGCCTACCTCTAGATAATCCGTGATCTCTAACTTCTGCAAAGGATTCATAGAGATAAAGCAACAAAAGCTGCCAATATTTATTTTAACACTTAACACATGCCAGTTTCTATTCTAAACTAATTATGTATGAATGTAATGTCTAAACTAATTACATCTCATTTTAACCTTTCACCAGCCCTTCAAGGTAAGTAGTTTTATTCCCTCCATTTTGAAGATGAGGAATCTGAGGCACAGACAGGTGAGGGGATGCCCTTCCCACTCATCCTGACAGCAGTTCTGACTCCAGAAACCCTAAACAGAGACAAGCAAGATCAGAAAAGTCCGTGAACGAGGCAGGTGAATTGCTAGAGGCCAGGAGTTTGAGAGCAGCCTGTGCAACATAATAACACCATGTTTCCACAATAAAGTTAAAAACTAGCCTGGCATGGTGGGCACGCCTGTAGTCCCAGCTACTCAGGAGGCTGAGGTTGGGAGGATCCCCTGAGCCCAGCAGTTTGGAGCTATGGTGAGCTGTAATCACACCGCTGCACTCCAGCCTGAGTGACCCTGCCTCAGAAACAACAAAAGAAGAAAGAGAGAAGGAAGGAAGGAAGGAAGGAAGGAAGGAAGGAAGGAAGGAATAAAGGAAGGAAGGAAGGAAGGACGGATGGGAGGGTGGGAGGGAGGGAAGAGAGGAAGAAAGAAAAGTCCTTGAGGTCACTGAAGAGTATGACGGCCAGGCTATCTATGACCAGTGGCAGCTGCTGGGTGGTGGAGACAGGCTGAGCAGTTTTGGGGGACTCCTGCATCTCTGTCTCTCAAGAAACGGCACAACTTTTGTTGGGGTTCTGCTCTCTCTCCCTCGCTCCCAAACACACAGAATTCCATGGTTGTTTTAAATGGTGTTCTCCCCAGTGATTCCCTCAGAATCCTCCAATTCCTATCCTTGGGCTCTCTCTTATTTTTTATTTTTTCCTTTGTCAAGCTTTCTGCTTACTGAGAACCACATAATAGCAGAAAGCAACTTACCAAGCCAGACCCCAGAGAGCCCTACAAGTTGGAACTGGGTCTCTCCTCTCAGCCTGGGGACAACTGTGTCTCTCTTCCCCATTAGGCACATTGACCAACTGACAGATATTCAGTATGGTCACAGAGAAGGCAATCTGGAGTAAAAGATGCTTATTTAAAATGGAAAATTCTTCCTCTCTCATCCTTCCTTTTTTCTACTGAAAATGTCTCTCTGTCCCTTGCTCCCTCTGGCAGCTTCAGCAAGGATGATGTGTGATCACATGTTAATTGAGTTGTAATTCCTCCTCCTGTTAAAGTGGGTAGTTAATTGTTCATGGGAAAATTTAATGCTGTTGTACTAGGGATGTCACAGAGAGTTCTTCCTTCTTCACACCAGTATGTAGTCCATGCTACATGTCAGCTGTATTGTCATTATCCTGCCAAATGGATGAAAGGATTGCAGTGGTTACGGTCAATTGGCACTCAGCATCTAGTCCGCCTTCCCAGGTAGAATTTCCTGTTTGATTTACAGAGGCTGGTAAACTAAACTCTTCATTTCTCAGACTACCTTGCAGCTAGGTTTCTAGAAGAGAATTAGATTCTCCCAATTAGATGTGCCTGACTCAAGTGAGACAAAGGCTCTCTTCCTGCAGCTTTGACTATTAAGTATCTACTGGAGAACCAAGCAGCTAAGCTTGTCCTACCTCAGGGTCTTGCTCAGAGCCATCCCTGGAACCAGCAGCAAGCATGGCTGTACAGACGTTATGTTTCTCAATAGCAGACTTCCAGTGCTCTGTCACCAGCCTTGTAGTTGTCAGGGGCAATGATGTGGTGGCAGTGTTGGTGGTGGTAGCAGATGCCTGAATCCAGCTATGGCTATGGCCACATGGATTTTTAATTCATCAGCTTCAGATTTACCCACCTTGGTAGCAGCTCCCCTATTGGGCCAGTTCTGGTGTACTGTTCTGAAAGTTGTTCTAGGAGGCACAGTCTGGGGTCGGCTGCTTCAGCCCTGGCAATAATCTTTCAGGCGTCTAATTCCTGATACTACATAATCTTTTTGTTTAAAATTGGTATAATGGGTTCTGTTTCCTATACCTGAACGCTTTTAAAACGTGGAGGGGGGGGGGGGTTGGGGGTTTGGAAGTACAAACAGCTGAGAGCCATGGAGAAAAATTCTAGCATTTGGCTATGGAAAGGGGACAGTCATAGTACTGTTCTTGCTGAAATGCCCATGAAAAGCTAGAAAGGTATTTTTTATGCCTATTTGTATTACAAGTTGGTCAGAGGGCTTAGATTTAAAGCTTGTCCTAGGAAATTTCATTCATTTAGTCATTCAACAAACCTTTATTTTCTACCAGGAACGATACTAGGCACTGTGGCCAAATAAAGAATAAACCATAACCATGCTCTCCAGGTGTTTAGAGCAAACATCCAAAGGAAAATTAAAGGCAGCTTGGAAGAAGCATCTTAATCAAAGTTTGGGAATAAGACCAAATTTAGATTAAATTGTGATTGATGACAGTTAAAATTACCCAATTCTGTAGAGCTGTTCCCCTTAAATTCTTTTTGGAGCTGACATAAGTCAGTAGATAAATATCACTGCCTATGTGTTTCATTGAAATGCTTGTTTCCTGAGCATCTTCCCCAAGTGGAGTGTTTGTTTCATATGCATTAGCAAAAAATTACATTTTTCATTTAAAAAATATCTAGAAATGTTATTCTAAACTAGAACTGAGGTACAACACACATACTGTGGTTTGGAATGTGATATCAAGGAATCTATCACCAGCTCGGCACAGAGCATTCCAACTCTGGGAAAAATACAGCATCCTAAATGACGAATTTGCCAGTGGCACCCTTATTGACCAATTATTAGGTTGGTACAAATGTAATTGCGGTTTTTGTCATTAAAAGTAATGGCAGGCCGGGTGCAGCGGATCATGCCTGTAATCCCATGACTTTGGGAGGCTGAGGCGGGCGGATCACCTGAGGTCAGGAGTTCAAGACCAGCCTGGCCAACATGGTGAAACCCCATCTCTACTAAAAAATACAAAAATTAGCCGGTGGTGGTGTGGTTGTTGATGCCTGTAATCCCAGCTACTCGGGAGGCTGAGGCAGGAAGAATTGCTTGAACCCGGGAGGCAGAGGTTGCAGTGAACCAAGGTCACACCACTGCACTCCAGCCTGGGTGACAATGAGACTCTGTCTCAAAAAAAAAAAAAAAAAAAAGTAATGGGAAAAACTGCAATTACTTTTGCACCAACCTAATATATTGAGTGTTTATTTTAACCTCTTTAAAACAAAAACATAACTCTTCATTTTCTTCCCCAAACATTTGTTTCCATGAGGGCAAGGACCTTTTCTATTTTGTTCACTGCTGTATCTCCAGCAACTAAAAATAGACTCTTGCACACAGCTGGGCTCGATCAATATTATTTGAATGTTGAATATATCTTTTTAAAAGATTTTCTGGGCTGGGCACGGTGGCTCACACCTGTAATCTCAGCACTTTGGGAAGCCAAGGCAGGTGGATCATGAGATCAGGATATCTACAGCGGCCTGGCCAACATGGTGAAACCCCGTTTCTACTAAAAATACAAAAATTAGCTGGGCATGGTGGCAGGTGCCTGTAATCCCAGCTACTTGGGAGGCTGAGGCAGGAGAATCGCTTGAACCCGGGAGGCAAAGGTTGCAGTAAGCCAAGATTGTGCCCTTGCACTTCAGCCTGGGAGACAAGAGCGAGACTTCATCTCAAAAAAAAAAAAAAAAAAAAGATATTTTCTGGGCCAAGCTCAGTGGCTCATGTCTGTAATCCCAGCATTTTGGGAGGCTGGGGCAGGAGGATTCCTTGAGGCCAGGCATTTGAGACCAGCCTGAGCAACATAGTAAGACCCCCATCTCTACAAATTTTTTTTAAAAAAATTAACTAGGCATGTTGGCCTGTGCCTGTAGTCCTAGCTACTCAAGAGGCTGAGGTAGGAGGATAGCTTGAGCACAGTGGTTCAAGGTTATAGTGAGCTATGATTGCACCACTGCCCTCCATCCAGCCTGAGTGACACAGCAAGACTCTGTCTCTAAAAAATAAAAAAAGATCCTTCTGGCTAATGTGTGAAGGATAGGCTATGGGGTGCAAGATGGCAAGCAAGGTGGCTACAGTAATCCAGGTGGGCAGGTGAGAGATGGTGGTGGCTTGGATTAAGGGTCTTTGGTGGAAGTGATAAGAAGTAGTCTGATTTGGGATCTCCTTAGAATGGAAACCAGTCAAGACCTGCCAATGGATAGGCTATGGAGTGTGAGAAAAAAAAAAAAGGAATCAAGAATGACTCCTAAATCTACTGCTAGAGCAATTGGAGGAATCACGGTCCATTTACCGGAACTCTCGGCATAGGGACAGCCCAGGCAGCAGCCTAGGCAGGTGTGTACATGGCCTGTTCAAGGAAGAGCAAGGAGGCCAGTGAGCAGTGAGCCAGAACAGGCAGGAGCTGAGGTCAGAGAGGTGTTTGGCACAGATCATGAGGATCTTGTCAAGGAAGGTGAAGACAGTTGATGTTGTTCTGAGTGATGGGAAGCTCTTGGAGGTACAAACTGCAAGTGTTCTAACACATGATCACATTTGCATTTTTAAAGGTGACTCAGGCTACTTGTGTAGAAAATCGACCACAGAAATGAAGAAATAAAAATGGAGAGACTGGTTAGAGCTATAGCAGGGGAGCAGGTAAGAGACAGTGGTGGCTTGGACCAGGTTGGTGGCTGGGGTGGGGATGAGACCAGTGAGATCATGTCTGCTTCTGAAACATGCCAAGCTCATTCCCTCCTCCTGGACCCTTCCCTGGTTGTTCCTACTAACTGGGCTGCGCTTCACTCACTATTCCACCTCATGCAGGTCTCTTTCCAATTATCACCTCCTCAGAGGTCTTCCCTGAGGAAGATCCCCTTTAACATGGTGCCTGGTGCCTCCTCTCTCACTCCCCTTTCTTTGCTTTATTTTACTCACTCTGTGTCATCCACTGTTTTTATATTTTACTGATGTATTTTTATCATCAACTTCCCCCACTAAAAGGTCAACTCCATCAGGACAGAGGCTTTGTTGTACCCACTGCTGCATCACCAGCCTCTAGGTCCGTGTCTGCAAACAGGTATTTGTTGAATATAAACGAAGCACTTAGGTAGGTGCTGGGAAGATTTTCTTTATATGACAAAGGGTTTCCTATGCAAATATTCAGTGTAAACATGACTAAAGGACAGGGAATATTCAAACTATGTTAAGGAACATGCTATGTTAGGGAACTTTCTACGTAGGAAAACTTTTTTTTTTTTGGAGACAGGGTCTCACTCTGTCACCCAGGCTAGAGTGCAGTGGTGCGATCATGGCTCACTGCAGCCTCCACCTTCAGGGCTCAAGTGATCCTCCTGCCTCAGCCTCCTGAGTACTGGGATTACAGGCATGCACCACCATGCCCAGCTAATTTTGTTCATTTTTTATAGAGACAATGTCTCACTATGTTGCCTAGGCTGGTCTCAAACTCCTGGCCTCAAGCGATTCTCCCACTTTGGCATCCCAAAGTGCTGGGATTACAGGCATGAGCCACTGGGCCCAGCCTACACGGGGGAACTTCTCATTGACATACAGTCAACAGGTGAGGGGCATAGCAGCAGGTCGATTCTTATGTATGTGAGTACTCTCTTGCACCAAGATACAGGTCTAAACGAAAAAAATTTAGTTATTTTTAATAAAAATGCCTGGTTCATATTTAAAAAAATAGAACTTCTGGGGGGTGTAATTCCTGTAATTCCTGTTAAAAAAAAAAGTAGCACGTATTCACAATATAGATCTTTACACAAACACATGCATTGAGCAAATACATGTTGTCTTATTATTTTTGAATGCAGTCTTTTCTCCCCATTTCCTTTTCTATGGTCAGCCCTCGCCCCATTTTCTTCCCACCATAACACCTTGAATATGGAGTATACTTTTTTTTTATGTAATTCTGTATAGAATATATACCTATACACATACCCAGGGGAATGCTGTTTATTGTTTTACAATGTGGGATCATTTATACATCTTTTCTCTCCTCATCTCAACACCACCTCATAGAAACTCCTCCAAGCTATCTGGCATACTCTGATTTTCCATGTTCATTGGTTACATACTATGCCATGGTGTGGACGTGTAATAATGTGTTCAGCTTTTCCCTCTTGGGAGGCAACCCTCTGTTTCCTGGCTTTTGCTCCAACAAACTATGCCATAACACCCATCTTTGAAATGTACAGTTTCAGAGCAGGAGGTGAAGTTGGATGCTCTTTCATTCAATCCCACAGTTAAGATAAATAAGGATCAGAAAAGTAAAAGAACATGCCCAAGGTCACACAGCTATTTGCTTGGTGCTTTGTAAAAATTTGAATAGCTATTATTTCACATGCTCTTCACAAGCAGGGCAAGTATTATCAGGTCAACCTTAAAAGTGGAGAAACTGAAGTCAAAGAGACCAATTGCTTTGATTTTATTACCAGTGAGGGCTAAAGCTAGGGCTTAAAGCCAGGACTTCTGATTCCTGATCCCCAGTAGCTTCTTCCACTCCTGCGTTGATGGAAACCATTAACTCAAAACTTCTACAGGGCAGCCTTCTGTTAATATATTCTAGACATCAACTGTACACCAAGCCTGAAAAAAAAAAAAAGTTTCGTTAAGAGAATGACACAGTGTGGATTTACCCATAATTCATAGCATACTTTCCTTACCTATTAGAATAAATGATAGTTGAGGTTGTTAAAAGTCTTTAAAATTAAATAGATTAAATTGTGAGTGCTGGCTCTGCCAGTAACTCTGCAACCTTCAGCAGATTACCCAGCATCCCTAAAACCCAGTTTCCTCATCTATAACCAAGGATATAATTGCACGGCACCTGCCTTCTCAGGTATTGTTAAGATTAGATGCCACAGGTGTAAGAGCAGATAGGATAGTAGGATCTTGATAAAGATTAGCTATTATTTTGGATGCTGTAATTCTTAGGTCTCACCCAACTGAACCGGTAGATATCTTTGATATCTTTCCTTCTTCACTCTTGTCTAGGACAGGGAAAGCCTTTCTTATCTATGGGTCCAGGGCAGTTCGATATCCTTGCTGGTTACTTTGTTATTTCTTCGTAAGTGTAGGGTTACAGCGGGAAAGACCTTGAGAGTTGTCTCTTTTAGCATTGTACATTGGCTAAAGTGGAGGGGAATCTGTCCCCAAAAATGGCAGAGTGGGAATATTCTGACCCTTCTGAGCACGGCTGACAGTGTGAGCCATGGAGAATGATGACATTTTTCAGCAACAGAACTGTCAATGGATGTGTTACAGCTATTTTAGTGCCTTCTCCCCTCCTGGAGAAAAGCCATTTTCAAACCCGTTGCTTGCAATGCATTAAGTGATGAAATACAGATAACAAATTGCGCATTTGTTTGGCTTCATGCTTATTACACCCCCGGTTCTGGAAAGCATTGCACTTAGCCCCTTAATAATCCCTCTCCTGAGATCAATTACTAGGATTTATCTGGTTCCTCGAGCATAAAAGTGTTTTATTGTTTTTACTTTTGCTCCAAGTGAAGTGTGAGTGGGTAGGCCAGGTTAAAATGGACTGTCCCAGACAAGAATATGAAGCTGGGATCATTGGCCCTGCTTTTACTGTCTACCAGGTCCTCATGACCAGGAAAGGGGGGAATATTTGGAAGCCACTTCCCTGGGGAGGCACCAGGTCCAGATGTCCTCATCTCTGGCTATTTGCACGTATATAGAACACAGGTCTGCAGGTGCCTAGGAAGGTGGGTGCTGTTCCACGGGAGAAGCTGGAAAGCAGAACCAAGTTACCATCTCAGACCAAATCGTTTTTCCTCTAGAATTTCACTGTAATCCAAACCAGTTGAACATTTGAGAAGAACTGGGTACCATGAAAAGGGGTAATGGAATTAGCTTTCATGTTTTTCCAGGACTCTAAACCATATTTCCTGTCACAACTGTACATTATTAATACAAGGCATCTGTTAGCGCACAACTGCCTGAAAATGTGCACCCAAAAACCTTACATCTGGTTTCAATAATTTATTTCTGACATTTGTAGTTGGTGGTGGTGGGGAGTGGGGGGAGGATGGGAAAAAGGGGGGAATTAAAGCAAGATGTTGCCTTTAACCCATCAGAAGCTCCTGTTGGAGCCGAAAGCTGGAGTTCTTAACGTGGTTTCTGCATTAGGTAATATATTAATTTAGCAGCAAATAGCAAGACTCCGGGCCTGGTGGGTGTGGGTGCCCGCTCGCTTTTATCCTGCCTTCTCTGGCTGCAGCAATTAGCTTCCTCTTGCGAAGGGGATTAGGAGGACCACCCCCCAGCGGCGGGGGTTGGGGGGCTCTCGCAGAGCTGTCAGGTGTCATTCGGCTTACCCAGCCCCCCCACCACTCCCCGCCCCTGCAATTAACTCCCTCTCCCGCTTTGCCAGCCCCTCACCCGCACAGAGACAAAGAGGCCTGTTCCCGAGGTGTCCGACCTCCTGCCCCCTTGGCGGGCCCCGCCCGGGTTCCTCCAGCAGGAATCGCCCCAGGCGCTGGGAGCCAGAGCTGGCCGGGTCTGACACCCGCCCCAGACTTTCCACGATCAGGTTTCAGCTCGACTAACGAGGGGGAAAGAAAGAACGCGCGACTTCCGCGGGCCGGAGCCGCGCGGGGGCCCGGGGGAAACGCCGGCCTGGTCTGGGTGGGAGGGGACGCGAAGAGGCTCCGGGCTCGGCCAGTGTCTGCCCCGGGACTGGGCCCTGGGACTAGGCGGGGCACAGGTGTCCCAGGAGGGGGCGCCCTGACTTGACGCGAACGGGCCACCTGTCCCTCCCACGCCTGCGCTGCCACCCGCCCTGCTCCGCCATCGCCTCCTCCAAAGCTCCCCGGATCCTCCGAGGCGTCGTCGTCCGAGTTGTTCTGCGGGAGGAACTTCTGCTAAAGCCGGTCCTCGAGTCCCCCCCGCCTCAGGAGGGGCAGCGCCCGGATTGTCTTAAGTACAACACTTGCCAAAAGGGGCTCTTTGGGATTTGGGACTTTTTTTCCTAAGCAACAGACGTACCTTTCCAGACTCACCAACTTAGAAGCACAGGTTTTCTGTTTGTTTCATTATTAGACTTTCAAAGATCATCATGTCCCACAGCCTCCTCCTTTTCCAGATGAGGGGACTGAAAATCAGAAACATTTTGCCTTTTGCTCAAGGTCACACAGCTCAAGTTCACTGGGCGGCTGGGACTAGAGGGTCCGAATATTCTGCAGCTATGATATGAAAAAAATAAGTTTGGCTGGAGGGTGGAGGGCATCCAGGTCTGTCCTGGCCAGCCGGCGGGGAGGCTCAGCCCAGGGTTCAGATTTTCCTGGAGCCAGTCCACCAGCGGTCAGGCCACATGTGAGTAATGAAGAATTGAGTGTTGTGTACTTTAGGCTGGTCTCCCTCTTCCTGGCCCCCTTCCCCGGCCTTAACTTCCTTTTGGAGTCCCTACTGACTTCTGGGTGTCCACCATGGGCCCTGTTGGAAAAATTTCAGCTCCATCCCAGAATAAAAGGAATGAAAACCTGGGGAAAGGAGCCAAGAAGGAAAAGCCACAAATTCGCATCTGGCCGAGGCAGAGGGAGCAGCTCCAAGAGCCTGCAGAAATGCACTGTGACTGCTGTTTGCAGAGGTTCAGCTGCCAGAGGCTCGGATGCCCTCCTGGGTCCTGCTCCTGAGAAATCAGAGCAGGCAAGAGAGAAGACACATGTTCCCCACCAAATTTTTCCTGCCGCCAAGTCCTTCAGGTTTCTGCAGACCATGGGGAAGAACAAGAACTATGGAGTCAGGCAAGAGGTAGCTGGAATTCCAACTCCCCAACCCATTAGATGGGGCCTTGAGTAAGTGACTCAACCTCTCTAAGCCTCAGTTTCTTTGCCTGTTACATGAGGGGAACAACAGGACCATTATGAGGACTTATATAACGTGTACTATATAAAGCACTTAACACAGTTCTTGTACCTAGGGCTACATTGTAACTTTTGTGGGTTTTAGGCATTTTGGCCTTCGCGGCCATGAGCCCTTCATCAAAAACAAAAATTAAAAAATACAAAAATATTTTATGGCTGCATTTGTATAAAGATGAACATAATAATATTATGTAGTAAAGCATTTTTTTTTTTGAAATGGAGTCTTGCTCTGTGGCCCAGGCTGGAGTGCAGTGGCACGATCTTGGCTCACTGAAACCTCTGCCCACTGGGTTCAAGCGATTCTCCTGCCTCAGCCTCCTGAGTAGCTGGGATTACAGGCACCTGCCACCATGCCTGGCTAATTTTTGTATTTTTTGTAGAGACGGGGTTTCACCATGTTGGCCAGGCTGCTCTCGAACTCCTGGCCTCAAGTGATCTACCCACCTTGGCTTCCCATACAGGCTTGAGCCACCGTGCCCAGCCAGTACTAAAGCATTTCTTAATCTAAAAATATTATATATTGTTTTGTTTCTACAAAGAAATTAAAACATTTCCATGGGCCCCCAAAAGCACTGTGGGCCCTCGGCACTGTGCCTAATGGATGTCAGCCCTGCTTGTCTCCCAGCTCAGGATCTGCTTTTAGGGTAGCCCAAACAAAGACACAGGGGCATGTCTATGACGTGTGAGGAGCCACAGCAAAGAGACAACCGAGAGAAGAGTGTAATGAGTGAGGGTGGGGGGAAGGAGGAGAGAAATAGCTTTCATAAACTCAGCGTCCTCCCAATCCTCTTGCAATCACATGGGGTTGCTGTTGTAGCCCTCCCTGCAGGATCTGTCAGGACTGTGCTTCCCGTACGTCAGGTCTGCCCTCTGCACCATCAGCCCTCTATCTCCACTCCCTCTGCTCATACCCAGGCAGGTAGGTAGTGTAAAGCCCACCTTCCTCTATAGGCCCCTCTCAGTAGTTCCTCTTCACAGACGGGCATTTATCCTACCAGGATTCTAGTCCCTCTTGCCAAGGAGAGATCCCAGGCTTTGGGGCAACACTGCCCTAGCCTCCTGAGCCCCACATGTGGAATATCTGGCCATGCCTTCCCACCTACTTTTCTCCTCAGGGCAGGCCCACCTCCGGGGTACTTTTCAACGCAGAGAGCCTCAGAGATTGGACATGAGAGAAAAAGGTGCTCTCCTGCATGATATTAGCTTTTCTTCCATCTGAAGTCACAAGGCTGGGTCATACAGTCAGTCCCTGGGGGCACATAGCTCTTAGGATTCGCTCCTAGCTACCAGGCAACTGGCAGAGACTAAACAGCTTATGTTTCTAAGAGGGAGTGGCTAGTGTTTATCAAAGACTGATGTGTGGGCTCCAGCAGCCTCTCCAGACAGTGGCTGAGGCCTGTCCTGAGCTCTGGGAAAGCAGGAAGTCCCCGGCTGGGCTGGGGCTTGCTGGCTTTGCAGGAGCACTGGCAGGATCTGAGGAAAGCGTTCCTCACAGATGTCTCCTTCAGAGGCTGGTGGATTCCTTAACAGCTAATTAGTGAGAAGTCGCTACCATGATGGGGGCTGACCTAGGCCTTCCTCCACCTCCTCCTTGGGGTTGAGACCCCAGGAGAGACCAGCAATGCTTTACTATGGTCGTATTTCCTCCCCGACGTCAATGCTTTCTTTAGGAATCATCTCTTCAGTTTAAGCCTTTTCTCAGAAACCAGCTTTTCTCTGACAAGTTTGCAGCTCAAAAGGAACTGGCTCCTCTTACTGTTGAAATCGGGCACATCTGGAAGCAGTAAACTTTTCAGCAGGCTGAGGGGGAAGAAAAGATGTCTTGTAGGGGACAGATTCACCTCTGGGACTAATTATTCTTTATATTTCACCCGTCACGTTTACTATCTTTGTCAGAGCAAAGAGACAATAAGTGATCTCATTAAATCCCAGAAAGATGCTTCTCCCCTTCAAGGAGAACCTCTCAACACCCTGTCCTCTGACAAGGGCCATGTCACTGAGGTTGGCACAGGGGCCTGGGAATCAGGGATGGGTGGGGCAGAGGCGCTTCCAAATGCTTTTCTTCATTTGAATATAGTGTCTGTGTTTTCTATTGCTGGAAATACCCTTGTGGGTCTGAAATCAAAGTCTTCTCTGGCCACATTTTCCCCAGACGTAGGCTCCCTTTGGAAAGACAGAAATGAGAGGGGATCGGTCGTGGGGTTAAAAAAAATCATTTTGGGGGAATTCTGAACCAGCTCTTCTTCTCCCTTCTTCCTATCAAAAACTCATCCTGTGGCTGGCTGCGTTGGCTCACACCTGTAATCCCAGCACTTTCGGAGGCTGACGCAAGAGGATTGCTTGTGCTCAGGAGTTCAAGACTAGCCTGGGCAACATGGTGAAACCCTGTCTCTCCAAAAAATACAAAAATTAGCCAGTAGTCTGAACTGGGAGGCTGAAGTGGGAGGATGGCTTGAGCCTAGGAGGTTGAGGCTGCAGTGAGCTGAGATTGTACCACTGCACTCCAGACTGGGTGACAGAGTGAGACCCTGTCTCAAAAACAAACAAATGAAACATCCTGGTAAAAAGACCAGAGAAGACACTGAGTCAGATTCTTCCAGGGCTGGGTGACAGTTGTATGAAACCCCTATTAACCCCAGTGAGTAAGGCACCAAGTTCAAGAGGCTGAAGATGAGACCCAGAGCCAGCAAATGAGACATGGGGTTTTATTAGAGGCTTCCATACAGGGGGACATCGGGCCGGACAACATAATCGAGTGGCCTAGTGGCAGTGGGCTGGGCAGGAAAACTGCAATGGCCTCCAAATCTCATGCAGTTTGTATAGCATTTTCACTTAACACCCTCCCCCTAACAGCTTTCACCCAGCAGAGTTCATTTAGCCCCAAAACTCAGGGCCTTAATCCCCTGTACCACCATGTCCCATAGGATGGGCCAGGGACTCAGATGTTCTGCATAGACAAGGAATGAATCTCCTGGTTGGCTACTCCCAGATTCCCTAGCTCAGAACACACATTCTGGTGCATCTGCCATACAGGGTCATTCTGAGGATATGCTAAACTTAATGCTGACAGGTGCGTTTACCCTACAATGACCCTCCACAAAGCCATCGCTGTGATACCAGGGTTCAGGAGTTGCTGTCACTTCCTTTCCCAACCACATAAATGAGCAGCTCAGACAGGGCCCCAGCATCCGATTGATTGTCTTCCCAATCCACACCTTTTAACCCTTCAAACAGATACACTCAAGTCAAGGGGATGAGTGTAGGGTGAGAAATTCTCTCCCTCTGCACTCTTGTCAGATGTTGGCCTGAGGTGGCCCAGAAGGGTCTGAACCGCATCTTCTGAAGGATGCCTGGTGTCTTTCAGGTCTTCCTTACTTAAAATGTGCTTGACAAAATTAGCATCACTTGAAATCTCCTTCAAAAGTACACAGTCTCCTAACCCTTTCCTGCCCCACATCCCAGGCATTTTAACAAGACCTCCAGGTGATTTGTATGAATGCTGTAGAATGAGACGTTGTGTTCTAGATCAGTAGTTCTCAGTAATTGGCTTGGCTCAGAATCACTGGCAAGACTTGTTAAAATGTTGACTGCAGGACCCTGCCCCAGAGTTTCTGATTCCAAAGGTCTGGCATGGCTGAGAATGTACATTTTTAATAAGTTCCCATGTGGTGCAGGTGGTGCTGATCCAGGGACAACACCAACATGGTTCCCAAGCCTAATTGCATAACACTTAAGGAATTGTGTTTAAAAATACAGATTCCTGGGCTCCACTCAAGAAATTCAGATTCTAAGGTCTTATAATCTAATAACAGGGTTTTTACAACAAAGTACATTTATATAGCACTTTAAAGTTTACAAAATGCTTTTGTCAGAGGCTTTTGAACCAGAGCAACTCCATTTTGAATAGGAGTTGGGTAAAATGAGGCTGAGATCTACTCGGCTGCATTCCCAGAGAGTTAAGGCATTCTAAGTCACAGGATGAGATAGGAGGTCAGCACAAGATATAGGTCATACAGACTTTGTTGATAAAACAGGCTGCAGTAAAGAAGCCAGTTAAAACCCACCAAAACCAAGATGGTGACAAGAGTGACCTCTGGTTGTCCTCACTGCTACACTCCCACCAGTGCCATGACAGTTTACAAATGCCATGGCAACATCAGGAGGTTACCCTATATGGTCTAAAGGGAGGCATGAATAATCCACCCCTTGTTTAGCATATCATCAAGAAATAACCATAAAAATGGTTAACCAGCAGCCCTCAGGGCTGCTCTCCCTGTGGAGTAGCCATTCTTTTATTCCTTTACTTTCCTGATAAACTTGCTTTCACTTTGCTCTGTGGACTTACCTCAAATTCTTTCTTGCGTGAGATCCAAGAATCCTCTCTTGGGGTCTGGATCAGGACTCCTTTCCGGTAATGAAATGAGAGAGTTCCCTGACCCCTTTGCAGGATGTGCAATAGGGGTGTGGCTCATTTATTCGGCCCCCCCAAATACTCAAATCCCTTAAGGTAGCGGGAGCCTGCAGGTGAGCAGGTGCAGGAGCTGGGGTGAGCGCTTTTGGGCTCCAGCCCCACAGCAGCGTCTAGGGGTGTTACAATGCTGTTTTAGCCCTGCCATATGGGGATGACTTAATTGTTAAACAGCTGAGTGAAGAGTCAGTATGACAGCCTTTTTGGCTTCCTGCATCCAGTGCATCCCGAATTCTTGTCCAGTGTCCAGGAAGAATCAGGTCACACAGACTTGAAGGATGGTGAATGCGGGAATTTTATTGAGTGATAGAGGTGGCACTCAGTGGGATGGGGAGCTGGGGAGGGGATGGAATGGGAAGATGATCTTCCCCTGGAGTTTAGGCATCCTGCCGCCAGGATGCCTCCTCTCCAACTGCTCCCAGCTGAGCTCTCGACATTCAGATGCTTTGTCTGTTCTCGCCGTCTCTGCTGTGCTGCTCTGCTGCTCTTCTGCTTGTGGAGCCTGGCATTTGAGGTTTTTAAGGGTACAGAATGGGGGACGTAGTGGGCCAGGGTGGTTTTGGAAAACACTTGGGCAGGAGGTCAGGGATAACTGTTCTCATTTAGGGCCATGGTTTCCAGCCTTTGCCGGGTAACCACCCTCTTCTACCCAGTATTTCCCTGCCTCCTGTCTGTATCAGTAACACTTTTATAAGCAATATTCCATTTACTCTTTGGAATGAAGAATCTTCTTACAAATAAGGAGGAAGCTCAGGTTCTGAGAGGTTAAGCAATTTATCTAATATTTCTTAGTGAGTAAGCCAAGATTTGAACCCAAGAATTCCAAAGCCACAACCTAAACTTTTCCATCTCATCACAGCCTGTTACAAAATCATTGTAAAGACTGAGTCTATTTCAAGTATTTTTAGTTTCATGATCACATTTGAGATAACTGTTCATAGGATTTTTCAGAGGCAGTTTTATGGTTTTGTGGAAACTGGTTAATGAACAGATAAGACTGTTTTGTACAAAGCAACATCTATTCCCATGCTGGTAATATCCTTGGGTACTTAGAAGCATGCCAAATAGATTGAACGTGCCTTCTCTGGTCTTAACTACCCTTTCAATTACCTTTTTTTTTTAAAACAGGTTAAAAAAAAAAGTAAAAAGACCCAACCCTTTCTTCAAAGGTCAAACTGATCAAATTTTGATTTAGCTGAGCCTGAATCAATGAGTTTACTGTGTGTGCAGACTCCCAGTCCACATCACTGCCATACTGCCCAACTAAGCTTTTTCAGTCAAAGAAAAGGCATCTGCTTGCATTGTAAGTACTAGTTGTTGATGACAAAAAAAAAAAACATTGTATGCCTCAGGCCATATCTACGAAAAAAAAAAAGAAAAAACTCTTCCCTGAATCTGTCCTCAGATCCTTTTTAAATGCAAGTTGAGACGAGAGGTTTCCAAGCTGGCTGGGACCAAGAACAATGCCCTGTAGCTGTGGGTGTGGGAGTGGGTGCGGCTTGTCATCCGGCAGCTTTTGAAGAGGTGTCAAAAAAAGGCCATTTTGAAATAAGTGCTCCAGTTACCTAAAAGAGGGCAGCGCCTAGGTCAGAAATGTCCAGAGGTCTCCTTGAAAAAAGAAAAAGGGAGAAAACAGCCTTCCTAGCTGGGAAGCAGAGCTGATATTCTCCCATGCGTGAACCCCTTTCCCAGAGGTGTTTCTGGGAGCACCGAAATCAAATTACAAAACCATTTTCTGCCTCACAATTACTCAGTTTTTTTTTCTTTCTTTCTTTTTTGAAATAGGGTCTAACTCTGTCACCCAGGCTGGAGTGCAGTGGCGTGATCTTGGCTCACCGCAGCCTGCACCTCCAGGGCTCAAGCGATCCTCCCACCTCAGCCTCCTGAGTAGCTGGGACCACAGAAACATGCCATTACACCTGGCTACTTTTTGTATTTTTGGTAGAGATGGGGTTTTACCATGTTGGCCAGGCTAGTCTTGAACTCCGGGGCTCAAGTGATCCACTTGCCTTGGCCCCCCAGAGTGCTGGGAGTATGGGCGTGAGCCACCATGCCTGGCCTTAGTTGAGGTTTTAACTGGCAAAACTTTCTTCTTTCAAAGTCCAGTGCTCGACTGATTTTCTCCTTTCCTCCCTGTCTGGCAGGGATGGCAGTGGGGAAGTTGAGGTGCTGCAGAAGAGTGAGCCGAGGGTGCCTGTGTCTTAGATCACATGCCATAACCAGGAAATATTTTTAGAAATCCAGAAAAAAAAAATCTCCTGGGCGAATGCTGTCGATTTTGTGCTGTTTGGGGAAAGTGGCTCATCAGAGTAAATGCCTCTCTCTCTGATGCCTTAAGTATCCTCCCTGCCTCAGATGAGCAGGTTATTAAGGTAATGTTACCCTTTATTGCTGAAAAGCAGTGTAAATAGACACCCAGACTACAGAGATTAGCTGCTTTCAAACTGCAGAAATGAGACACTTTCTCCTACAATTTCCGTTTTCACCAAATAGCATACCCTATTTACTTGGGGGAAATAGTCGCCTTCTTATAATGACCACACCCATTTGCTCAGATGGAAGAAGCTGGCAAAGTAAGTGCTGTTATTATCTGGGCAAATCTTTGAGAGTTTTCTTCCTCATCCTGTGTTGTTCTGCTGTGAGCTTACTGCCTTCCCTTCATTCAGTCACATGCAGAAGGTACTGCCCCTTCTGCTCCCCACAAGGGTCAAGGAACTCCCAGTCCTAGGATAGAGGGTGTCTCTTGACTGATGGGGATAGGGGTAGGGGTGAGAATCATTTCAGGACCATCTGATACTGACAGAGGAGACCCAGCCTGCTGCCCTTGGAGAGCTCTCAGCTGATGAAGGCACAGCCCTGACATGAGGAAATTTACACACACACATGCACGCATAGACACATACATATATACATTTACACATGTACATATGTGCACATATATACACATACATTTCCACCAAATATTATATATTAATATATTTTTTCTGGGAACACATAGGGAAAAGTAGCATTTGGTGAATAACACTGAGACTAAGAGACAGCATAATTAGTATTCATTGACCCAAACTATGGAGTTAGTGCTGGGGAAAAGAGATCTTAAAAGGAGGGGGTGTCCCTCCATGTAGAGTGAGTCAGTGTGACCTAGGTATACTCCGAGTGCTTAATATTAGCCTAGGAAAGAATAGCAGAGACTCCGCCTGCTGCTTCCCGACAGGGATTTCTTTATAACCAAAGCACAATAGCTTTACCCAGCCCACTGTAACAGGATAAACAAGTTTGATGTAACTTCCAAATCTATTTTCTATTGTAAGTTCGTTTATTGAATAAAATAGCAATTCAACATGTTTGCAAATCATGGTGCTGTTAGATGCCAACGCTGGCAGAGATTCATGTGTTTACTGTACAGCTCGCCCAGTTAGGCTCTGCTACTCAGCAGAGCAGCAATGTGGAATTCCAAACAGCTGCAAGTAGTAAGTGGAAAGCGATTTTTGCTAATCATCCAGGAGGTTATGTGGCATGGTGGAAACTGGTTCCAGACAACAACTTGCGTGTAGAGTCAGGACTTGGAAGCAGCTTCTGGATATTTGCTTTTTGGACTGATACAAAGTAAGAGCGAAGCGGTGACGTGATCTTGCACACTTGCATTTAGTATTCTCTAAATGTGAACCTGAATTTGTTTTACATTAGAAAACCCCTTTTCAACAGTTTTTGGGCCTGGTTCCCAGCATCTGAAGAAAATGCACAAAAGCAAAGATGTGGTCCGCTTATGGGGGAAAATGGGAAAGCTACCTCCTCATGCTTCTCCAAAGGACTTAAACATTCTTCTGAGGATGTGTGTGGTTTTTTAAAATCTATGTTGAATGTAGAATTAACTTACATCCATTCAGCCAGAGAAAAGTTGATCTTGGTTTCTCAGTAAAAGCACATTTTCAAGATATCGATGTGGAATCAGGGGCTTTGGTGGTGGTCTACCAAGAAGTATACCTAATCTGTGAGTATCCCTGCCCAAGTTGGCCACTCTAAAACTCAAGATTTCCTAGGTCTACCATCACCTTTTGCCGTGCAATGATCCCCAGCCCTGTTCCTCCCTGTCCTGGCTAGAGCTTAGAATGGGCTTTGGAAGCCCAAGCTAGAGGTTGCATTTCTCTCCCATCAAGAATGGGAAATGAAGACCCTCTGCTGCTGCTTTTTATCTGCAGCTAGAGCACTAAGAACATGGCCTCAAAGCTGGCTGCCAGGTACACAAGTAGCCAGGATCTCTGCTAGGTCCCTTCTGTCCTGGTCTTTGGCATCCGAGGTAGACCTAGCCTGTGTTCCAGCCGCCTAGCTGTTTGCTGCCAGCTCAGTTTCCCAGGACTTGGGCCTAATCCCGGTCTCACGCCTCACATGGAGCTGGCTGGTTCCCGTTAGCATTTCAGTCTACCCCTAATGGCGAGCACCGTTGCTGCCAAGAACTCATGAAACTGGATTCCCATTTGGCCCCTTCTGATCAGACTCTTCTGGACAACTTTGCCTGCTTGGAAACAGGCGGCAGTTATGCCACGTCCCTTGGACTTGTCTATGGCTGCTCAGGGAAGGGCTGTGTCTGGTCCGTATGTTCTGATTCATGATATCCCCTCCCCCCAGCCTGTAGTGCAATTGGCTTCAATCTGGAATTCTAGGTAATGCTAACCCCTTTTGGAATAGCTCCTTATAGCTATGATCTGTGCTGAACGAAATAATCTTATCAAGTGCAGAGGCTTTCAGAGAATGTTATCTACCTTTCAAAGTAAAGTTCTCAAGAACATTCTAGAAGATCACATGTTTTGTTTTTTCTCCACAGCCTAGCTCAAGGAATAGGAGATTTGATAGATTTATGACAAGGCCTTTTTCAAATGCATTGATCTGGCTAGCTTTGGTCCTCAAAAGAATGTTCTGCCCTGGAGCAGGCCGGTCTTATCAGACACAGCTACGCAAATGGGTTGGTTCTTGCAAATGGTCCAACTGACCATAGAGAAAAATAATTAGCCAAGTCTTTAGTTATGCCTAAGAGTGTACTTTTTTTTTTTAAGATAGGCTCTCACTCCTGTCACCCAGGCTGGAGTGCAGTGGCACAATCTGGGCTCACTGCAGCCTGGACCTCCCG
Source organism: Homo sapiens (assembly GCF_000001405.40). Taxonomy (NCBI): domain Eukaryota; kingdom Metazoa; phylum Chordata; class Mammalia; order Primates; family Hominidae; genus Homo; species Homo sapiens. The sequence goes on from NW_011332687.1 coordinate 83,157, forward strand.
GGCTCAGGTGATTCTCCCACCTCAGCCTCCACAGGTGCAGGCCACCATGCTCAGCTAATTTTTTGTAATCTTTTTAGTAGAGATGGGGTTTTGCTATGTTCCCCAGGCTGGTCCCGAACTCCTGGACTCAGGCGACCCACCCGCCTCCACCCGCTAAAGTGCTGGAATTACAGGCATGAGCCACCGTGTCCGGCCTCAGAGTGTACTTTTACTGAAGCTATTTTCAGTGGGCACTGTTGGGGTCACACTGATGTGAGGTGAGAGTGAGCCATGTGCCAGCTTCTGTCCCTGGCCCACAGAGTCACCTTGATAGCTGTGCGCTGCCACAGGGACTGCTGCAGCCTCAGGATGGTCTATGCTGTGGGGAGGGCCTGCAGGACTGGGGTCTTTCTGACCTGGAATGAATATAGAGCATAGGTGGACCTATTTCCTGCTGCCAGATTTAAGAAGTTTGCCACAGAAAATGAGGCCTGGGCCTTTGTCAGGAAATCTGCAAGCCCAGAAGGTTCAGAAGGGCAGAAAAATAAACATGTACAAGAATCACAAATGAAAGCCAGCAAGGGACTCTGTGAGCCACTGAATGGAGATGGAGATGAAAGTGCAGAGTCTTGTGCAAAGCCTGTGAAGCAAATCATAGAGCCGGCACCTCGAGTGAGCAGAGACATTTTCTTACATCGGAGGCTTTGTCGTCGTCTACACTGATGGCTACTGCTCCAGTAATGGGTGGAGGAGAGCACTAGTGGGAACTGACGTTTACTGGGGGCCAGGCCATCCTTTAAATGTAGGCATTAGACTTCCTGGGTGACAGACAAACCAAAGAGCAGAAAATCATGCAGCCTGCAACACCATTGAACAAGCAAAGGCTGAAAACATCAATAAATTGGTTCTGTACACAGATAGTATGTTTGCTATAAATGGTATAACTAACTGGGTTCAAGGTAGGAAGAAGAACAGGTGGAAGACAAGTACAGGGAAATAGGTGATGAACAAAAAGGACTTTGTGGCACTGGAGAAGCTCAGTCAAGGCATGGACATTCAGTGGATACTTGTTCCTGGTCATCCAGGGTGTATTGGCAATGAAGAAGCTGATAGATTAGCAAGAGGAGCTAAACATTCTGAAGACTAAGCAAAGTGAATTTATTACTTGGGAAAAGTTGAGCCAGTGGCAGTTTTGCTACTTTTGCTTACTGGTACGGAAAACAGACTGCAGGCTGGACCATTGCAGTGGATGGGCAGATGTGGCTTTCACACTGAATCACGGTGGCACAGTGGCATTCTGTGATACATTTTGATAAAAAGTGGTTAAATATATAATAAATTGAACATCTCTGAGATTTAAGAATTATGTGAGATTTCAGCATTATGCTTACTAGGTTTGACACTTTTCTTGCTTATTTTATTGCAATCTGGTTTAAAATGCTACAGGTTTGATTTTTTTTTTTTTTTGAGACGGAGTCTTGCTCTGTTGCCCAGGCTGGAATGCAGTGGCACAATCTCTCAGCTCACTGCAACCTCCGCCTACCTTGGCCTCTCAAGTAGCTGGGACTACAGCCATGCGCCACCACGCCTGACTAATTTTTGTATTTTTAGTAGAGATGGGGTTTCACTGTGTTGGCCAGACTGGTCTCAAACTCCTGACCTCAAGTGATCCACCCACCTCAGCCTCCCAAAGTGCTGGGATTATAGGTGTGAGCCACCGCGCCCGGCCCACAGCTTTAATTTTGATAAGAAATCAAAAAAACATTGGTTAAAAGATGCAGGTCAGAAGTCTAGAAATATTCTGAAAGCATACATTTATCTTCCAGTTCACAGACTTGAGTCTCCTGCTTTTACAGGTCACTTGTGCCTGTGGGCACATTAGAGACAGATGCAGCCCAGGGCCTGGGCGGGCTGCTCAGCAGAGAAGATGTGAGCTGGTCTCAGCCTCACGTGCCTGCCTGCTGGGCACTGACATAATAGGTGAAGCCTGCACACAGGCGACCCTGGCTGCTAGGCCACTCTCTAGGAACAGTTACAACTTGTAAAGACCAAGATGAATACATAAATCTTTCCAAAATTTCTTTGGCTCTTTTGTTGAAAACTGTGCACACTTAAAAAAAAGTTTGACATGATCATTTATTTAGTTTTAAACCTTTTTATCATAAAATAAAAACACACAGGAAGACAGACACAGACACAGACACACACACACACATGCTATTTTCGTTGGGACTTCTGCCTAGAAGAAAATCCTTATTGATCTGTATGTTATGAAGGCTAGTGGCATTCAAAACTGTTAGCTGCATTCAGACAATTTTTATTTATTAATGGAACCTTAATTTTTAAAAACATCCCTTATTATTTTTTTTTTCTTTTTCTTTCTTTTTTTTTTTTTTTTGAGATGGAGTCTTGCTCTGTTGCCCAGGCTGGAGTGCAGTGGCATAATTTTGGCTCACTGAAACCTCTGCCTCCCAGGTTCAAGCGATTCTCCTGCCTCAGCCTCCAGAGTAGCTGGGATTATAGACGTGCGCCACCACGTCCAGCTAATTTTTGTACTTTTAGTAGCGGGATTTCACCATGTTGGCCAGGCAAACTCCTGGCCTCATGTGATCCATCCGCCTCAGCCTCCCATAGTGCTGGGATTACAGGCGTGAGCCACCGCGCCTGGCCAAAACCTCCCTTTTTAAAAAACCAATAATAATCTGTTAATCTAAATGCATACAGAAACACAACTTATGAGTTGGCCATTTTTTTCTTGCTATGGAAAATTAGATAACAACTACTGAACAAGCTCACAGATAGTAACTTGGAAATATACTTAAAACAGAGGTACATATGATCGTTTACTACTATTTTTCTTATTTCCAATAGATAGAATCACTATAAATGTCCCACATTAAGATTTGTGTTCGTTCATTTCTGGTGTGTCCAAAAGGAATAAAACAGTATTCCCAAACATTTAATATTTTAATTGTTTTGTTATTTTCAATGGGTTTTAGAAATAAATCACTTACTCTGGCCTCATCCATTAGTACAAACTTATTACTGCTTCAAATCATCTTTTGGCTAGATTGTATATACAAATAAATATGTAATTCACTGAAAATCTACTCAGTACATGTTGCCAGGCTTAGTCAAGGGAGCCCTAAAGCAGAGGTGTTTGAGACCTCTCCATTAAGCTATGAAGACCTTTTTGTTAGTTACAAAACTCCTCTTACTGTAGGTAAAATAGGTGAAATAGTGGCTGATGTTGAGTCGGTGGTAGAAGGCCCAGATCCTGCTGTGAGCCACTCCTCCAGTCTCAAGGGTCTCCTCAGTATACCTAGACTACTATGAAGCACAGTTTGAAAACATGGCCTATTAGATGAGGTGTAATTTCAACCTTAGTGTTTCTTGGGTACCGAAGTGGGTCACCTTAGTAGTAGTAACCCATGCCAGGCACTGTGGTGGACACCTGTAATCCCAGCACTTTGGGAGGCTGAAATGGGTGAATCTCTTGAGTCTAGGAGTTTGAGACCAGCCTGGGTAACATGGCAAAACCTCATCTCTACAAAAAATACAAAATTAAAAAAAATAGTAATAACCCAAGTTTTATTGACTCTTCTTACCGCATGCTCAACTAGGACCTTCTATTTGTTTCAACAAAGTTCTATCCAGACTTCATTGAGGATGTCTCACATGTCCTTATGAATGGTGACCATGTTATTATAGTCAACGCACAGATTCCTCTAGGCTCGTCCCTCTTCTTTGGCCTCAGCCCCATCCAAGTTTGCTGTCCACAAAACCTCTTGAGATGACTCTCCATTGCCCTAGCTTCTGGCCACCACAATCAGAATTTCAACATCCAAGCCAACTAAATCCAGAGGCCAAAGTTTCTAATCCATGAGGGCCAGAACAGCACTATGTCCTGGCCCATCTGTCTGGCAACCTGTGTCATGCGGGTCCCTCAGGAAAGTAAGAATGATACTCTTGCCTCAGGCCTCACTGAGTCCCTCACAAAGACCAATAGTATAGCTTTAGCTCACAGCCCCTTTTCTACCAGGCTCAGACATCAAACTGAGGTGCCAGGTATGGAACAAATCCCACTTTGGCCTTTCATTTTTACCTCCAACCCGATGGCCACTAAACCTCCTCCCTTCTGTTTCTACTCCATATAGCAAACCTACAAACTGACTATTCTTGTCCACCCACCAGTTTAGGTCCATTCTCTGACATGTTTAAATCTCAATTTGGGCTTAAAGTGGAATTAATTCATCAGATGACATTATTCTAAACAAGTTTGATATCAGCTGCCTTGTTTTCCTTAGGTTGACACCATTGACTTCTTTATGCCGTGGCTCTGAGCCCAGCCCTGGGGTGCCATGAGCTTAGATGGAGAGATTTGCTCAGGACATGAGACAGCTTCAGCATATGCACCAATATCTTTGGCCCTTGGAATGAATGTGTTATCCAAAGGGCAGCTACTGTCTTTAATAGATTTCCTGGAAAATTATGGAGAAAAACAAACAAACAAACCACAAAAGCTATTTCCTGATTTTTCCAGCAACTCTGACTAGTTTTGAGTAGGTTGTTTTTATTATTTCTTCCTTTGGGGAACGAATTAAAGTTGTGTGTTTATTTCTGCAACATTGAGAAACACAAAAGAAAGTCTCCCAAAAGGATGATCCTCTTTCCCATTGCAGATATTTGCCAACAACCACATGAAAAGGAAAAATATGCTTGAAGACAATGCATTATGCAACAGATTTGCCTTATAATATTACTTATAATTCCAATTCTATTTTAAATTCATTTAAGGTGTGACTCCCCACTCCCCTGCACCATCCAAAGTCATTTAAAGACCTAGGTGGGCTGGGCATGGTGGCTAATGCCTGTAATCCCAGCACTTTGGGAGGCCAAGGTGGGTGGATTGCTTGAACCCCGGAGTTTGAGACTAGCCTGGGCAACCTGGGGACAAACCCTGTCTCTATAAAAATGATAAAATTAGCCAGGTATGGCATGCACCTGTAGTATCAGCTACTCAGGAGGCTAAGGTGGATGAATTACTTGAGCCCAAGAGGTCAAGGCTTCTGCTAGCCGAGATTGCGCCACTATAATCCAGCCTGGGCAACAGAACGAGACCTTGTCTCAAAAAACAAACAAACAAACAAAAAACCAAAAAAACCTAGATGATAAATAAATAATCATACTGATAACAGCCTCTCATATTACCAGAGAGAACACGATTCTAATAAAAGCCAGTCATGACCACACTCAACATCTAGGATGGGGAAAAACTGTTGTGTTCTTTTCCCATTGGCTCTCCTTTTGGTCATATGAAGACAGCTTTAGGGCATTTGGAAGGCCCGTCTTGAGAACTTCTCAAGGCTGGTTTTAGTTAGTGGCACTTAGAGTACAACATGTTTAGATTTTTCCAAGAGGACCATCTCTAAGCAATCTTTCGCCTGCCAATAGCAACAGCATCTCATAACCATGATGTGCTACTATGCTCAAAGAATGCTTCCGTCTTCAAGGTAACAAAAGAATAGAACAAAGGCAGTTGAAGGAACTGAGACATATAAATGTATTGGTTTCCTACAGCTGCAGTAACAAAGTACCAAAAACTTGGTAGCTTAAAACAACAGAAATTTATTCTCTCACAGTTCTGGAGTCACACGTCCAAAATCAAGGTGCTAGCAGAGTTTGTTCTTTCTGGAGGCACTGAGGGGAAAGCTGTTCCGTGCTTCTCTCCTGGCTTCTAGTGGCTGCAGGAAATCCTTGGGGTTCCTTGGTTTGTAGATATATCACCCCAATCTCTGTCTTCACATTGTCTTCTTCTCCATGTGTCTTCTTCCTCCCCTCTTCTCCCCTCCCTTTCCCTCCCCTCTCCTCTTCTCCCCTCCCTTCCTCTCCTTTCCTTTCCTCTCCTTTTCACTCCTCTTCTTCTCTTCTCAAGACACTTGCCATTGGATATAGGCTGATCCTAATAAAACATAATCTCATCTCAATATCCTTAATTAATTACCTCTGCAGAGATCCTTTTTAAAAATAAGGGGATTCGAGACCAGCCTGGGCAACATGGTGAAACCCCATCTCTACAAAAAATACAAAAAATTAGCCAGGTGTGGTGGCGTGCACCTATAGTCCCAGCTACCCAGGAGGCTGTGGTGGGAGAATCACCTGAGCCTAGGAGGTTGAGGCTGCAGTGAGCCATGATTGTGCCACTGCACTCCAGCCTGGGTGATAGAGTGAGACCCTGTCTCAAACAAATAAGTAAATAAATAACATTTAAAAATAAATTTAAAAGTAAGGACATATTCACAGATTCTGTATCTTTTTTGGGAAAGGGATGGTGGCACCATTCAACCACCATAACATGTAAAGGTAAGTCAAGTAAATCCAAGTGAAAAAGGCAACAAACATGTCTATGATCCTTTAAGAAGAGATAAAATGACTGGAATTATGAACTGGGGATCAAGATATTGAGTTATATAGTCTTAGTTCTGTCAATGGTGACTCTGGGATACTGGGCAAGACCTTCTCCTTTGCAGGCCTGGTTTCTGCATTTATAAAATGAGAGGATGGATTAAATTAGTTTGAAAGTATGTTCCAGCTCTGGTGTTCCATGATTCCACATGAACACCCATTCTCCTAGTTCTCACATGTGCTTATGTGCACACATGGGTGCAAGTCATACCCCACCCTCTTGCAGATCAAGCCAGCCACCTCCCAAACCCAAATGTGATTTCCACACTGAATCTATAATCTATGCTTTCTCATGTGGGGCATCTGGGAGCTGGCTTCCATTGTGTCATGTTTGACTTGGCTGGAGAAATAAATTTGGCAGTGCTTAGAAATGCCACACCTTTATATTATGAGTTTTTCCACAATCTTCTTGGTGTCCAGGACTTGTGATCACTTTTCTTTCTTATTTTCCAATTGCGTATTTCAGCCTGTGGTCTTCAGCCTGCCCACCGCTTTTTCTGCCGCAGGAGCGGCCCCTGTCTCAGATGATTGTCCTGGCACTGGCAGATGACCTAAGTAGGTAATAAACAGATAAAGAAGAGAGACTTGGAAATTCCATGGCATCACTTCTTATGGAACTTTTGATGGTAAAATGACCACATGCTGGAAATCACACTGCAACTCTACTCCAGAAAATCTGTGTGGCATCTAATTTTGGTGGATTAACTGAGTCTTACTATCCCATGCTTCATGTGAGGGCTGTGCAAAGGAAGGGTATAGTCATGGAATCGTAGAATGACAGAGCTGGAGAAACTGTACCCTTTTTTTTCTATGTACAGTGTATATGCATTTTTCTACTTAGGTTCCATGAGGGTACAGAGTGTTGTTCACAGCTCTCTCCTCAGCACCTAGCCCAGGGTGTGGCAGGTAGTAGGAACTCGTCAAATTTCTGATTATGAATGAAAATGAATGCAAATCAGATGCAAAGAAATCTGATTCTTAGAAGAATTCAGATCTCATGCAACCTTCTCATTTCTGATTCATTTTCAGTAGCCAGAAACGTTAGTAGGCTAACACTTCAGTTTCTCTGCTAAATAACTGATGAACTAAAAAGGACTAAAAATATCAAGAGAATTCTCCTATAAGGAGGAGCTCTGCACTCCTTCCACTGTGGGCATTAAGGATAGCCCTTCAACTTACCTGCTTTGTAAATTTAGGCTTTTTTAACATTGGGTTTTCTTAAACTTCTGTCTCTGCCTCCCCATTCTCCCCACTGGGCACCTCCCCCCCCCCCCCCCCCCCCGCCACGTGCGCGCGCACGAACACACACACACACACACACACACACACACACACACACACAGTGGCGGGGGGCGGGGGGTCTCATCTCTCTTTGCCGCCAGCCTGGCACCTATGGAAACAAACAAGGTCTTGTGCAGCCACCTAGTGGTGTCTCTTCACCCCTGCAGTTCCCCATGACTTCTAAAGGAAATATCAGAGGGCACTGGGAGGCACTGAGATACTTTGAAGACAACCCACTTCTCAAGGCATCTGGGACCGCCCCCAGAGGTGAGCCAGAGGGAAAACAGGAGAGCGAGCTCAGGGCGTGCCCGGCTCCGGCCGCTGCCTCACTTCCTCGGGGGTCAGCGGCCAAAGGCAGTGGGCGTGAGGCCAGACGACCCTGCACCACCCGAAGGAAGTGATGTCATGGTCTCCTTCTCCGAGAAGCCTTTGACACGGAGGGCGGGGGCGGGGGGATAGGAATGAGTGCCAGGGTGGGACAGACAGCCCTTGTTCCGTGGGAAACGTCAGGCTTTGAGAGACTTGTTTCATAAACATGCCTTGCCTCAGTTTTGAACCCTCCATTCGAGTTCCTTTACAGAATTGTCCCTTGAGAACGATAAACTGTTGTGATCAGAACAGAAAAGGGTCAGCCAAGCAGTGATCAGAGAACAGGGGCAGGCAGAACTCAACAGCCACTGGGCAATGGGGTTTAAATGAAGAGCCATAACATTGAACGAGGCTCCTAGGAGCTCCTAAGGACTCTGGAACCTTTCCACGGGGTCTTCAACCTTCACAGGTCCCGGGGTGCTGAGCCCAAGAAAGAGATGGAAGTCAAAGACCAGCACGATCAGACACACACCTTTCTTCTCATTCCATACACCACCCTGCAGTACCACCGTGACTGCTACCATCCCGCGAGCACCTTGCCTTTGAGGATTTGACCAGTTTTCATCCGAGTAGTAATGTATCCGATGTCCACTGGCTCCTTCCTTTACCCACGGACAGTTCTGTGTAAGCCTTTCTCATCTGCCTACAACGTCTGCCTATAAATTATTAGGTTTCTCCATTTAAAATAAACGGAACTTTCCCTCAAGCCTGCGATCCATACTCACCCACACCCACACTCCTCACGGGTGTCTCCAAAGAGCAGTTTATTCTGACCACTCTGTTCTGACCCCATTCCCATCTGGCTTCTGTCCTAACCATGACGGAAATTGCACTTTTGGAGGTTGCTCACGACTTTCTAGTTGCCAAATCCAAAGGCTTCATTAATAATAACATGTCAGTTTTGATATTTTATACAGTCACAGCTCCTGGTGTTCGAAGATGTAACTTAATTTTCCTAGAACTGACCTCAAATCATTAACTCAACCTCCAATGTCTGTGGTCTTTCTAATTCAAGATAAATCCAGCCCTTTCTGTTTTTTATCTTTTGTTTTACAGAGATGGAATCTTGCTCTGTCACCCAGGCGGGAGTGCAGTGGCACGATCATAGCTCACTGTAGCCTCCTGGGCACAAAGGATCCTCCTGCCTCAGCCTCCCGAGTAGTTGGGATTACAGATGTATGCCACCACACTTGGATAATTTTTAAATTTTTTTTGTAGAGACAGGAGTCTCCCTTTGTTTCCCAGACTGCTCTCAAACTCCTCGGCTCAAGCAATCCTCCCACCTCAGCCTCCCAAGTGCTGGGGACTGCAGGTGTGAGCCACCGCACCTGGTGCCCATTCTGTTTTTATTTTGATTTTAAATTTTTATTTTCATCTAACTTGTTTTTGAAATGTACCATCAGACCCATTCTGATTTTTTTTTTTTTTTGAGACAGGCTCTTGCTCTGTCACCCATGCTAGAGTACAGTGGCTTGATCTCAGCTCACTGTAACCTCTGCCTCCTGGGCTCAAACAATTATCCCTCCTAAGCCTCCCGAGTAGCTGAGACTACAGGCGCACACCACAAAACCTGGCTAAATTTTTGTATTTTTAGTAGAGACAGGGTTTCGGCATGTTGCCCAGGCTGGTCTTGAAGTCCTGGACTCTAGCAATCCACTCACCTCAGCCTCCCAAAGTGCTGGGGTTAAAGGTGTGAGCCACCACACCCAGCCCCATTCTGTTTTAAAACAGAATTGAAACATAGTCTTTGAATAGCGAATCAGAAGTTCCCTCCCCTTATTCCCCGACATTTTTTCAGTCTCTGCAGCTGCAGGGGGCATGTGTCTGTGGGGCAGGGTTCATGCATCATGTTGGTGTGGGGAGAAAAGCAGCGTCTGGCCCATCATGACATTCTGTCTACAACAGTTTCCACTGATTGGTAACTCTTGCAACTTGGTCTCATTGTCCTGAGCCAGCACTAGTTTCTGATGGCCAAGTTTCCACTGTCACCTCCCTTTGCCTACATCCTTATAGTCCAGACTGCAGCTCCTTTGGATCCTTTTGGCTTGTCCAGGGCCTCTTCTGCGTCCCTTTTGGTGGCCATAGAAACTTTTCAGATTTTTCCCCAGCCTCGCCAAGATGCAAGGGGTTTCTGTGTGGCCACCCTGGATCATGGTTGCTCTGTTCTTCTGATGCCATTCTGGTTGTGGAAATTCTCCCAGGAACTATGATTCTCCCTGGTACATTCTGAGAGGAGAGACACATGTGTCCTCTGCTATGGAGAGTCTCTGGTGATGTACGAATTTCTTTGACTATGACTATAATAGAAAATGCATTTTACATCACGGCTGAGCACACGTACACATCACACATGAAACAACAACTTCACCAAACAACATTGCCATTACCTGGCAACAAACTCTGGGATTTCCTAGTCCATTGTATTCTCTTTCTTTTAATGCTGGTTTTATCCCGATAAACCAATTTTATGATGCAAGAGGTCTCAGCCCACAGTTTAAAAAATATTGCCTTGATAGTGGGTTTACTTGGTTCAGAGGGTGGGCTCTGGGCTCCATACCAAAACTTAGGAAGCAGCTACACACTTGTTTTGCTCTTTCTCAAAATGCACAGCTTTCAGAATCAAAGAAAGTCCTGCCTCTCAAGCTGTTGTCTCTACTATGGGTTTAAAATAAATCCATTCAGACATTCAACAGATTTTTTCTTCTCAGCTTTATCTACTTTCTGTCTGAGAACAATGTGTATGGAATATGACAGAATGATAAAGAAAAGAGTAATGGTTATAAAGAAGCACAAGGGAAAAAAACCTCAGTTAACATTCCCAAATACACCTGTAATCCCAGCACTTTGGGAGGCCGAGGTAGGTGGATCATTTGAAGTCAGGAGTTGGAGACCAACCTGGCCAGCATAGTGAAACCCCATTTCTACTAAAAATACAAAAATTAGCCGGGCATGGTAGGAGATACCTGTAATCCTGGCTACTTGGGAGGCCGAGGCATGAGAATCACTTGAACCCGGGAGGTGGAGGTTGCAGTGAACTGAGATTGCACCAGTGCACTCCAGCCTGGGCAACAGAGCAAGACTTAGTCTCAAAAAAATAAATAAATAAATAAATAAATAAATAAATAAAAAATAAAAAACCAAGCATTACATATTCTGTTGGTAATAGTAATAGTAACTAATTATGATTCAGTATGTATTATGGGCCAGGCATGATGCTTAGCATTTCATGTTTATTATTTCAGTTAATCCTTATACCATCCCTATGATATGGTACAAATAGTATCCCCATTTTATAAAAAGGAAGTTAAGGCTAACCTAAATTTGACTGTTTCTCTGCCCTTTACATTCAGAGACCATTTCTCATGTCTGTTAGTTTTTGTTCTAGCCCTACCTCTATAAAATTAGGGATGAAAACTAGACCATCTCTCTCAGCTCAGAAAGAGTCCAGCAACCTTTCAAAGGCAAAGCTGCTTTCCACTAAGTTGGAAAAGTGATGGTCTTGCTGCACAGGCCTGCAGCTTGAACTGCACCCATCCCTCCTGCTGCTCTTAGCCTTTCTCCATCTAGGGCTTTCTACGGCCTAAAACTCAAGATCATCTTCTTCCAACCAGAAGGGATTAGGAGTCCTTCCTTCTTATTAGCAACCTGCAGATCCTCATAGGAAATGACCACGGTAACTTCCCTTTATCTTTTCTAAAACCCACATCTATAAAAGGGAGAAAGTGTCTCAAGAATGCAAACAAAACATAACTATAAACTTGAATTTTCTCCTTTGATTTGGTGAGTTCCTTCTTTATCCAGCAAATATTAATATTTATTGAAGATGTACTAGGCACATTTCTAGGTGCTACTGGAGATCAGGTGATGAACAAGACAGATCAAATTCTTCCCCTTCTGAAATTTACACTCTATAGGGGCTGGTTTCTGGGGAGTGCAGACACTGACTGGAGGTTTTCAGCTTTCTTTTATGTCACACTTCCTAGTAAGAAATGTGTCTTGCACAGCAATGTAGTATATTCCTTCTCCCTTCTGCCGCCACACAATAGAATCAAAGTTTTGTAGAACACTTGCTCTTATTAAATATAAAAACTAAAAACATAAAGTTAATATTGCCTTATTAATACTTGAATGCAGCCGGGTGTGGCGACTCACATCTGTAATCCCAGTACTGTGGGAGGCTAAGTCAGGCGGATTGCTTGAGCCAAGGAGTTTGACACCAGCCTGGGCAACATAGTGAGACCCTGTCTCTAAAAAAATTAAACAAGGTTAGCCAGGCTTGGTGGCATGTGTCTGTGGTCCCAGCTACTCAGGTGGTTGAGGTAGGAGGAGTGCTTGAACCTGGGAGGTTAAGGCTGCGGTGAGGTATGATGGTGCTACTGCACTCCAGCCTGGGCGACAGAGTGAGACCTCATCTCAAAACCAAAAAACAAAAAACTTGAATGCAGCATAAGAAAAATTTCCCAAATAAGCAATACAAAAACAAGAGTCAGGCAAGACTGTATTTAATGCACTAGGAGTACTTGTCTGCTTCTAAGTTTATTCCAGTCCAGAACATACAAGGATAATTCTCACTGTGCATACATTCATGCGCCTGTTTCTCTCCTTTGTTTTAATTGACTTTAAAAGTTGGAAATCCTTGTTCATACAAATAGGTAATTGTGAATGGTGATAATAAAGATGCATTCTTTTTGCCTAGGAATGGAGATTCTTCTTTAATCTTACCCTACAATTATGATTCATTTAACGTCTTGTGATTAGTCTTTCGTGCAAACGTAGAACTGAGCTGCAATAATTCATTCACCTCTTTTGGGCACCAAGTTTAGGTCAATTATTGATTCAGGGTTCTGAAAAGAAAATGAGTCTTTCATTTGAAAACTTTTATCTTGTGTTTATAATTTATCATCTGGAAAATCATGATTGCATCTGGAAAATCACTCCAAGTTTGAAACTGAGGAGTGAAATATAACGATCTCCCTAATTTTATTTCCATCATACTGACTTTACTAATAATACCATTTTCAATATGTTGTAACAATATGAGGAACAAATAGGTGCTAGGGTGATTGCTTTTAGGTCTTGCTTGCCATAACAAAATGTCTTTGGAATCCTGGATGTGTTGGACTTGCTGAATTATATTGTTGTTTTCTCCCTGAAATTATACATTTAAGTTCATTTTAAAAAATCAATAACCTCCATTAAATATACTAATTAAAAATGGCAAATATTGTCTTTGAAAATGAGATTGCTTGCCAAATGAGATTGCTTTCCAACTAGAAAAATGTGACTGTCATTTCTGAGTTTATTCATCCTGCTTAATACTTTCCCTTACGTGGTTATCCGTAGATAACAATGAATTTCAGTGAGCTTCAGTGTGAGAGTATGGTTCATTCAAATCTCACCAAAACACATCAAAATTTTGGCTATTGATGAGCTCTCTTTAATACATTTAACAACCTTCATGATGTTTTCCAATACTTCTATGAGATTTAGCAGACTTACTTCAAGAGATGGCACATTTCTATTGATTCTGATTTCTAAACACAACTGTCATGAATAGTTTTTACAAATATTTTAATGGCTTTGCTGCTTTCTAGCCATATCAGCTGGCCCTGTCACTCATAATTCCATTATTACATTTTATTTTATTTTTAAATATAAATTAAAATAATTGAATTTATTATTTTCTTTTAGAGATGGAGACTCCCTATGTTGTCCAAGCTGGAGTGCAGTGCTATTCTCAGACATGATCATAGCATGCTATATCCTTGAACTCCTGGACTCAAGTGATCCTCCCTCCTCAGTTACCCAAGTAGCTGGGACTAAATGTGCTGCCATCATGCCTGGCTCTATTTTTCCATTTTAGTAGATATTGACCAACAAAGCATTTTTCCACTTTTGTAAATATATACAATCCATTGTGTGTGAGGTTAAATTTAAACAACACAAACACCCCCACACACTCACACGCATCTTGTTGTTTTGCATACATGAGAGGAGTTTAACAACTTGCAGTATCTGTGCTGTTTTCGGGATGGATCTCAAGCTCTATACTGGATTTTAACCACATGAGAAGCATGGCTCTAGAAGGTTCTGCAGTAGCACAGATTTGACTAGAAATACTACTATCCCAAAGAATTGTACATTTCAATTTATTAGCTGATTTGGTATTAAAATCATATTCATCATAGCTATTTGTATTAGAGAATAATTTTTATTTTTTTATTTTGAAAGATTGATTTTTTTTAAAGTTGTTTCATTTTGAATTAGCATAGGTACATAATAGTTGTATATATTTATGGGGTACATGTGATACTTTGATACAGGTATGTAATGTGTAATAATCACATTAGGGCAATTGGAGTATCCATCATCTCAAGCACTTATCATTTCTTTATGTTAGGGACATTCCAATTCTACTCTTTTAGTTATTTTAAAGTAGACAATAAATTATTGTTAGCTATAGTCACCCTATTGTGCTACCATATACTAGATCTTATTCATTTTATCTAACTGTATTTTTGTACCCATTAACCATTTCCACTTTGTCACCCTATCCTTGCTATCCTTCCCAGTCTCCGGTAGCCATAATTGTACCCACTAAACTCCCTGAGTTCAATTTTTTTTTTTTTTTGCTCACATTTATGAGTGAGAACATGAGATATTTGTCTTTCTGCCCCTGGCATACTGCACTTAACATAATGTCCCTCAGTTCTATCTGTGTTGGTACAAATGGCAGGATTTCATTCTTTTTAATGGTTGAATAATATTCCATTGTCTGTATGTGCCACATTTTTTTTATCCATTCATTCGTTGATGGACTCTTAGGTTGATTCCATATCTTGGCTATTGTGAATAGCACTTCATTAAACATGGGAGTGCAGATATCTCTTTGATATACTGATTTCCTTTCTTTTGGATATATACCCAGCAGTAGGACCGTGGGATCATATGATAGTTTCATTTTTCATTTTTTGAGGAACCTCCATAGTGTTTTCTATAGTGGTTTTACCAATTTACATTTCCACCAAGAGCACACAAGGGTTTCCCTTTCTCCACATCCTTACTAGTTTTCATTATTGCCCGTCTTTTGGTTAAATGCCATTTTAATTGGGGTGAGATAATATTTCATTGTAGTTTTCATTTGCATTTCTCCAATGATTTGATATTGAGCATTTTTCCTGTACCTGCTTGCCATTTGTATGTCTTCTTTTGAGAAATGTCTATTCAGATCTTTTACCCATTTTTAAATTGGATTATTTGTTTGTTTGTTTTTTCCTATTGAGTTGTTGGAGCTCCTTATATATTGTGGTTACCCTTTGTCAGATGGGTAGTTTGCAAATATTTCCTCCCATTCTGTGGCTCGTCACTTCACTTTGTTGATTTTTTCCTTTGATGTGCAGAAGCTTTTTAGCCTGATGTGATCCCAGTTGTCCATTTTTGCTTCGGTTGTTTGTGCTTCTGAGGTCTTACTCAAGAAATCTTTGCCCAGACCAATGCTCTGGATAGTTAGAAGAATAATTTTTCAGCAACTGTGTGAGAGCCATTTTCTCTTTTGTCCAACCATATGTAACTAAGTCTCGTTAACAGTTTATAGAACAGGCCAGGCGCGGTGGCTCATACCTGTAATCATCGCACTTTGGGAGGCCGAGACGGGTGAATCACTTGAGGTCAGGAGTCCAAACCAGCCTCGCCAACATGGTGAAACCCCCTCTGTACTAAAAACACACAAAAAAATTAGCCGGGCATGGTGGTGGGCACCTGTAATCCCAGCTACTTGGGAGGCTGAGGCAGGAGAATCTCTTGAACCTGGGAGGTGGAGGTTGCAGTGAGCCAAGATTGTGCCACTGCACTCCAGCCTGGGCCACAGATTGAGTCTCCACCTCAAAAAACAAAACAAAACAAAACAAACAAACAAAAAATAGTTAATTGAACAACAGAGAAATTGTGCCAGTAATTGTTTGTCCTTTGTTTTCTTTTAAAAATGTTTGAAGGGCTTGTTAATAAGTCCAGCATGCTGTGTTTCCAAGTGTCCTTCTAGTTTTGAAGTTGTCATTACAAATAATACATTGGGGTTTGTCACTTTTGTTGGATTTTATGCACTGAAAATTTTTTTTAAATAATCCATCTTATAAAGCTGTGAATTCTCTTTTTCTTTTTAAAAGACATCTCAAATGAAGTTGAAGCTAACTAATTAGAATCAATAATTTTCTCAACCTTGTCATTATTTACAGTTCTAGGTTGAACTTGGGCATTTCTCTAATTTTTCCTTCATCATTCTTTTCTAATAAGGAGAAATCCTGTTAAAGGGAAATTCATGCTAATTTAACAAAATATACATTTGATGCAAACCTGAGACATATCTCACTTGACAATGTTCTTTCAGAAAAATGCTTTACAATGAATTCTGACTAATGTTAACATAAAATATAAACAGCTAATTATCTCATAAAGATGATGGGCATATTCATATCATATATGAGAAAATCAAATGAGATGTTTGTTTTTAGAAGGTAGAATGACTTGTACTAGCCAACTGATATTCATCGTAGTCTTTTTTTTTTTTTTCTTTTTTTTGAGACAGGGTCTCACTCCATCACCCAGGCTGGAGTGCAGTGGTGCGATCTTGGCTCACTGCAATTTTCGCCTCCCAGGTTCAAGCGATTCTCTTGCCTTAACCTCCCAAGTAGCTGGGATTACAGGTGTGTACCACCATGTCTGGCTAATATATATATATTTTTGGTAGAGATGGGATTTCACCATGTTGGCCAGGTTGGTCTTGAACTCCTGGCCTCAAGTGATCCACCTGCCTTGGCCTCTGTAAATTTTGGGATTACAGGCGTGAGCCATTGTGCTTGGCCCATCATAGTCTTTTATTAGCTTTCTTAATCTTGCTCATAGCAATTGGATGCAGTATTTCTTACAGTGTTCACAATTCCTAATAAAAGTCCAGTGATGTGTTCTCATGTTTTCTATTTTATTCTAATTGTTTATTATACTCTATTTCATTTTGTTAAAAAATAAGTAAAAAAAAATTAAATGTAGCTGTGACCCATTAAGTTTATTTTATAACCTACTAGGGTATTATGTCTTCCAAATAGTCTGAATAATGCTGACATAAATAATAAATGTATAAACAAATGAGAGAAGTTCAGAGAGTGGTAAGTGCTATAGGAAAATGGAAAAAGAATAATGTGATAGAAGAGAGAGTGACTGGGCAGAGATTAATTTTGCCAGGGATTGAATTTACCCTAGATAGGAAGGGTTCTTGGAGGAGATGATAATGAGTTGCACTCTGCATAGTTTAGGGTACTGATATGAGTCTGTTCTTCAGCATTAATGAGTAGTTTGAACTATATCATTTTAATTGTACTTCTGATTTGCCTGTTGTTTTGTGTATATCTGGTGAATCCCCAGCTAGACTGCAACTTCCTGCAAGAGAAGTCTTTTTTCCCTTTTTATAAAATCTCCCCCAATACTCAGTTTTGTGCTGTGTGTAAAGTTGGTGCTAGACAAATGCTAGTTCAATGGTGATTATTGAAAATCACAATAAACCAGGGTGGACATTCTTATAGGTGGAGCAGACAAAAGCCTATGCCAGGTGGTCAGGGTTGGGTAGATCCTTGAATCCTTCAAAATAGCTCGTGATTGCTCCTTGAGTGTGAATCTTCGTAATCAGAAATTCACTCCTTTGTCTTAAAGCCTTTATCAATGAAGTCTTAGCAACCATTTATGCCTCTGTTGAATGAGTATAATTGTATGGCTGAGTCACGGCTGAACTTAAAAGGAGGATTGGCCTGGTTAATCCTTCCTAAGCACCAGTTTTGCTGTCTGGAGAGTTGCTACCAGGCACTCAGGTCTGCCTGTCTGGATGGGAGGCCCCAGTGGAATACTTAGATTCCACTAACTGAGAGAGTCAGAGAGAAAACACACCCAGTGCAGGTGCCTGATTAATGACTTATGATTAAAATAATAGTATAGAGAGGAACTGACCATTAATTACTCACATTTACATACTAATTTTGGTATTTTTGCTTTCAAGGAAATACAATACCAAGGCACAAATTGGTTCCCTCCTTTAAACCTCAATTATCATAATTTTGCTCTATTTACTCTATTTCTAGTTTGCTTCTCAACTCCAGGGAGGACTCTCCTTGGCTTTGCTTGTAGTCAGAACTGAAGCGTTTCAAGCCAAGGCATGTCCGGTCACGTCTTGCCTCAGGGCTGGCTGCTCCGGCTCCAAGTCGGGAAGATCCAGAGGCCTTACTTCTCCAAGACAAGCAGAGATCCTCAACGTTCAGACACTTCTGCCGGTGTGTGAAGCATTAAAGGTGGGGGAGAATCTCCCTCTTCTCCCTCTCCTCCCATCTACACTCTCCCCAACCCAACTTTTCTCCTGGTGTTTAGACTTTGACGTTGGTTTACTCCATTGATCTTATTTCTCATTTCCAAAAAGAACTTAGTTTCCTACCATCCATTCCTTTTACTCCAATATCTGGCATTTGAAAGATGTTAATGCTTTTTAACAAGTGGTATTGGGAAAGTTGGATCACCATATGCAAAAGATTGAAGCTGGACCCTTACCTAACACCAAATACAAAAATTAACTTGAAATAGATGAAACCCCTAATCATAAGAATTAAAATTATAAAATTTTCAGAGGAAAATATAGGAAAAAACTTCATGACATTGGTTTCTTGGATATGACATTAAAAATACCAGCAACTGGCCAGGCATGATGGCTCATGCCTGTAATCTCAGCACTTTGAGAGGCCAAGGTGGGAGGATCACTTGAGCTCAGTAGTTCGAGACCAGCCTGGGCACCATAGTGAGGCCTTCTCTCTACTAAAGATAAAAACGGCCGGGCATGGTGGCTCATGCCTGTAATCCCAGCACTTTGGGAGCCCGAGGCGGGTGGATCACGAGGTCAGGAGTTCGAGACCAGCCTAACCAACATGGTGAAACCCCGTCTCTACTAAAAATACAAAAATTAGCCAGGCGTGGTGGTGTGTGCCTGTAATCTCAGCTACTTGAGAGGCTGAGGCAGGAGCATTGCTTGAACCCAGGAGGCGGAGGTTGTGGTGAGCTGAGATCGTGCCATTGCACTCCAGCCTGGGCTTAATAAGAGCGAAACTCTGTCTCAAAAAAAAAGAGATAAAAACAATTAGCTGGGCATGGTGGCACATTCTGATAGTCCCAGCTACTTGGGAGGCTAAGGCACAAGGATCACTTGAGCCCTGGAGACGGAGGCTGCAGTGAGCTATGAATGTGCCATTGCATTACAGCCTTGGTGACAGAGTGAGGCCCTGTTTCAAAAAACAAAATAAAAACATAAACAAAAAACCAGCAACAAAAGAAAAAATAGTTAAATTAGACTTCACCAAAACTAAAATGTCTGTGCATCAAGGGACACAATCAGCAGAGTGAAAAGACAAGCCACAGGATGAGAGAACGTATTTGCAAATCATATATTTGATGAGGGATTAATATCCAGAATGTACAAAGAACTCCTACAACTTAACAAGAAAACAAACAATACAATTTTAAAAATGGGCATAGGACTTGATTAGACAGTTCTCCAGAGAAGGTATGTAAATGACCAATAAGCATATGAAAAGATGATCAACATCACTAATCATTAGGGAAATGTAAATTAAAACTACAAGGAGATACTACCTCATACTGATTAGAATGGCTAGTATAAAAACACATCAAAAAATAACAAGTGTTGGTGAGGATATGGAGAAATTGCGCTGTTGATGGGAATGTAAAATGGCACAGCCTCTATGGAAAATAGTATGGCAATTCTTCGTAAAATTAAAAACAGAATTACCATATGATTCAGCAATTTCACTTCTGGGTATATACTCAAAAGAATCGAATGCAGGGTCTTAAAGAGATGTTTGTATATCCGTGTTCATGGCAGCATTATTCACAACAGCCAAAAGAAGAAAGCAACTCAAGAATCCATAGATAGATAAATGGAAAAAATGTGTGACATACATACAATGGAATATTATCAGTTTTAAAAAGGAAGGAAATTCTGACGTGTTGGCTTAAAAAATCACACATTTTTTATACATTTAGAAAGGAGACTTTATTTCTTATAAAGGGTTACATCCTGCAGGGTGGCCATCTGACAGGCTGAGAAGTGTAGCCTCTGGTTTTTTAAAGCCATTCAGCCACTCTTATATCTTTTGATTGGAGAATTTAGTTCATTTACATTCAGTGTTATAATTGATAAGTAAGGACTTACTCCTGCCATTTTGTTATTTGTTTCTGGTTGTTTTGTGGTCTTCTCTTCCTTCTTTCCTTCCTGTCTTCCTTTTAGTGAAGGTGATTTTTTCTGGTGGTTATGTTTTAATTTCTTGCTTTTTATTTTTTATGTATCTGTTGTATGTTTTTGATTTGAGGTTACCATGAGGCTTGAAAATTATATCTTATAACCCATTATTTTAAACTGATTACAACTTAACACTGAGTGTGTAAACAAACAAGCAAGCAAAGAGAAAACTAATGAAAACTCTACATTTTAACTGGCTTACCCCACTTTTTAACTTTTTTGTTGTTTCTATTTATATCTTATTGTATTGTTTATGTCTTGAAAAGTTGTGGTAACTATTATTTTTAATTGCTTCCTCTTTTAGTCTTTTTACTCAAGATATGAGTAGTTTACACACCACAATTACTGTGTTAAAATATTCTGTGTTTTTCTGTGTATGTACTATTACCAGTGAGTTCTGCACCTTCAGATGATTTCTTATTGCTCATTAACGTCCTTTTCTTTCAGATTGAAGAACTCCCTTTGGCATTTCTTGTACAGGGCTGGTGTTGATGAAATCCTTCAGCTTTTGTTTGTCTGGAAAAGTCTTTATTTCTTTTATGTTTGAAGGATGTGGCTCGCTGAATAGACTATTCTAAGATAATTTTTTTTTCCTTCAGCACTTTAAACATGACATGCCACTCTCTCTTGGCCTGTAAGGTTTCCCCTGAAAAGTCTGCTGCCAGACGTATTGGTGCTCCATTGTATGGCATTTTTTATATTTTTTATTTTTTATTTTTTTATTTTTTTTTGAGACATAGTCTCATTCTGTTGCCCAGGCTGGAGTGATGCAATCTCAGCTCACTGCAACCTCTGCCAACCAGGTTTAAGTGATTCTCTTGCCTCAGCCTCCTGAGTAGCTGGGATTACAGGCACCCACTACCACACCTGGCTAATTTTGTATTTTTAGTAGAGACAGGGTTTCACTATGTTGGTCAGGCTAGTCTCAGACTCCTGACCTCAGGTGATCCACCTGCCTCAGCCTCCCAAAGTGTTGGGATTACAGGCGTGAGCCACTGTGCCCGGCCAGGAACCTTTCTTTATCCTTGAGCCTTGGGAGTTTGATTATTTAATGTCTTGAGGTAGTCTTATTTACGTTAAATCTGCTTGGTGTTTTATAACCTTCTTCTACTTGGATATTGATATTTCTCTAGGTTTGGGAAGTTCTCTGTTATTATCCCTTTGAATAAACTTTCTACCCCTATCTCTTTCTCAACCTCCTCTTTAAGGCCAGTAACTCTCAGATTTGCCTTTTGAGGCTATTTTCTAGATCTTGTAGGTGTACTTCATTTTTTAAAATTATTTTTTCTTTTGTCTCCTCCCACTGTGTATTTTCAAATAGCCTGCCTTCAAGCTCACTAATTCTTTCTTCTACTTGATCAATTCTGCTATTAAAGGATTCAGATGCATTCTTCAGCATATCAATTGTATTTTTCAGCTCCAGAATTTCGGGCTTAATTCTTTTCAATTATTTCATTTGCTTCATTAAATTTACCTGGTAGGATTCTGAATTCCATCTCATGTTTTCTTGAATTTCATTGAGTTTCTTCAAAAGAGCTATTTTGAATTCTCTGTCTGAAAGGTCACTCTGGGATTGATGCCTTATTTAGTTTGTTTGGTGATGTCATGTTTTCCTGGATGGTCTTGATGCTTGTGAATGTGTGTCAGTGTCTGGGCATTGAAGAGTTAGGTACTTATTGTAGTCTTCACAGGGTGGGCTTGTTTGTATTCATCCTTCTTGGGAAGGCTTTCCAGGTATTCTAAGGGACTTGGGTGTTGTCATTTAGGTTTGGGTCACTGCCATCATATCTGCATTAGAGGGCACCTCAAGCTCAGGAATGCTACGGCTCTTGCAGACTCAGAGGTACCACCTTAGTGGTCTTGCATAAGATCTGAGAGAATCTTTCCCCAGCTGCTGCTGTAGGATGAGGGAGGGGTAGCGTCTGCAATTCAAGACTGTCTTCTCTACGCTTTTCAGTGCCTCTTTCAGTGATATGAAGTTAAAACTTGGTACTGCAATGGCCCACTTGATCTTTGGTTCTTATTAAGGTGTTTTTTGTTGATAGTTGTTCATTTTGTTGTTCTTGAAGGGAGGACAATTGGTGGAAGCTTCTATTTGGCATCTTGCCCCACCTCCCTTAGATTTTGATAAATTTTAAGTTTTCATACTGCCAAATTGCTTACCCAACTAAACATTGTGTGTGAGTGCTATCACATAGCACCCATGCCAGGCTGTAATGTTATTTATTAATTTTTTGCCAACTTAATGTGTGAAAATTGTGTGTTCTTGTTTTTTTTTTTTTTTTTTTTTTTTTTGAGACGGGGTCTTGCTCAGTCACCCAGGCTGGAGTGCAGTGGCACGATCTCGGCTCACTGCAACCTCTGCCTCCCGGGTTCACGCCATTCTCCTGCCTCAGCCTCCCGAGTAGCTGGGACTACAGACACCCGCCACGATGCCTGGCTAATTTTGTTTTTGTATTTTTAGTAGAGACGGGGTTTCACCACGTTAGCCAGGATGGTCTTGATCTCCTGACTTCGTGATCCACCCACCTTGGCCTCCCAAAGTGCTGGGATTACAGGCGTGAGCCACCATGTTCTTGTTTTACTATGCATTTCATTGAGCTTTTTGCAATATATTTTTGTTTCCTACTTTTATTTCCCTCCTCCTTTTTCTAGTGGGTTGTCTATAAATGTGTCTTGCTCATCTATAATTGATTTCTAATGTTTTCTTATTGATTGTATTAACTCTATATATAATTTTAAAATTAACACTTTGCAAATTTCTTGCAAATATCCCAGTCTATTGCTTATCTTTAAATTTTGGCTATTATGGCCAAGCATGGTGGCTCACACCTGTAATCCCAGCACTTTGGGAGGCTGAGGCAGGTGCATCACTTGAGGCCAGGAGTTCGAGACCAGCCTGGCCAACAAGGCAAAACCCTGTCTCTACTAAATAGCCAGGTGTGGTGGCTGGTGCTTGCCTGTAATCCCAGCCACTCAGGTGGCTAAGGCACAAGAATTGCTTGAATCTGCAGTGAGCTGAGATCATGCCACTGTGCTTAGCCTGGGTGACACAGTGAGACTGTCTCTAATACATACATATATATATATATATATATATATATATATATACACACACACATAAATTTTGGCTATTTTTATTTGATGTTTCTGATTGCCTGTGTTTAAATCTGCCTTTATCTCCTTTGTGTTCGCCGGTGAATTTAAAGTGCATATGTAGACAGGGGTTAAGTGTAAATCACACTGAACCTATATTAACAACAGCATCTTTTAGAAATAATATAGGAGCTGTTATCACATCCCTGTCCCTGAGTTTGACACTACCTGAGTTGAGTTCTTATTCTGCCACTCCCTCTGCCAAACCCTTGGATCTAGAGTTGACAGATAAAATACCCAGTTAAGTTTGATTTTCAGATACCCAGGATGTAAATTTGAATTTCAGATATACCATTTTTTTTTTTTTTTTTTGGTAGAGATGGAGTTTCATCATGTTGGCCAGGCTGGTCTCGAACTCCTGGATTCAAGTTATCTACTCACCTCGACCTCCCAAAGTGCTGGGATTACAAGCTTCCTGTAAGTACTTAAAAAAAATAAGTATATCCCAAATATTGCATGGGTCATAGTGATACTAAAAAGTTACATATTGTTCACCTGAAATTATTTACTTATTTTTTTGAGACAGAGTCCGGCTCAGTCACCCAGGTTGGAGTGCAGTGGTGCGATCTGAGCTCACTGCAACCTCTGCCGCCCGGGTTCAAGCGATTCTCGTGCCTCAGCCTCCCAAGTGGCTGGGATTACAGGTGCAGGCCACCACACCCGGCTAATTTTTGTATTTTTAGTAGAGACGGGGTCTCACCATGTTGGCCAGGCTGGTCTCAAACTCCTGGCCTCAAGTGATCCTCCTGCTACCGCTCCTAAAGTGCTGAGATTACAGGCGTGGGCCACCGCGCCCAGCCTGAAATTCAATTTTAATTGAGTATGCTGTATTTTTATTTGCTAAATCTGGCACTCCTATTTGGGGCTAGTTTACTAACACCTGCTTACTGAACACCATCCAGTACCAGGTTTTGGGGTGAGTGGGTTGGGGGGAAGCAGAAAGAAAAGATAGCTCCAGCTCTTGGAGAGTTCATACTCTGGTTTCCTGGAGAATTCTAAAATCATTAAAATAATCCTCTCGACCATTACAATGACTGCTAGATGAAATTTCTGAGAGCACAGCTTCCGAGTTTCCCTGCTGCCTAGGGCAGAGTTATCCACCTTCACCTTATCATAGAACCACCTGAGACGCCCCTGCCATGGACAGTCTGATGCTTTTGGTTTGGGGAGGGATCCAGAAGCCCGAGGTTTTAATGAGAGCCACGTGATTCTGCTGAGATAAGTCTGGAGAACTCTGGCAAGCCTGTCTCTTGGCTCAGGCTTGGAGGCCTCCGAGCAGCAACATCGTCCCAATTATACCCCGTTGGAGCATCTTCAGATCTTCCACTCTTTTCACAACGCAATCAAAATCTTCGTACCCATTTTGCAGTAGTGATCTCTGTAAGTTGCTTTACAATTCATAAAGTTTATTCTATTTGATCTTCACTCTAATTTACAAAGAAAAGCAGGGAAGTCTATTTCTGTTTTACAGAGGTGTACAGGGAGGCTCACAGGGGCTAAGTTCACACAGTAAGCCCTCGAAGCTGCCAGGGCTGCAAAGCCCACCCTCTTTCCACCGCACCGAACTACCTCCTTTCGCCTACAAAACGTAGGTGGGGACCACTGGTGTTGGAATGACGGCCCACCTCGAGTTTCAGGTGACTTCCACTCTGCAATTAACTTGCAGGCAGCCCCAGACCTGCAATGAACACACGGGTGGGGGAGAGATATGCACGCCAGGGTCAGTGGGAACCAACAGCCGAGGGGTGAGCGGGGCTAGGGGCCCCGGGCCGCCGGCGGGGCAAACGCGGTTCAGAAACGCAGGCCGCGCTCTGGCCCGCCCCCTGCAGCAGCACGGCCTGCTCGCCATCGCCCGGAGAGCGCCGCGGGTTCCCGAGTCCGGGCGCGGAGGGCGCGCGGGCACGGCGGCAGGGGCGTGCTCGGAGGACGCGCGCTGCGCTGCTCCTCCAAAGGGCAGCTCCGGGGGAAAGAGGGTGGCGTCCCGGGGAAGCCCGCAGCCGCCGCCGATGTCGCTGGGACTCGGAAGTGCCGAAAGAGGGGTGTTGGGAACTCGCGGCGCGCGTGAACGTTGCCGTCGCCGCCGCCCGGGACAGCCCGGAGGTTGGTAACTGGTGACCATAGGGGGTCCTGGGGAGGTTAGATGCTGAATTTTCTGCGTCAGTTTACTCTGTTAAAAAAAAAATGCACAAAACGCTTTCCGTTTCCTACCCAAGTTCCCGTGTGCGCGCCCGAGGGCGGGACAGAGGAAGTTCCCGGTCGGGCGAAGAAGACAAAAGCGGCGGGGGCCGCGCGCGCAGTGCGCCCGGGCAAAGGCGGGGATCTAGGCGCCGGGACAAGTCCGCGCACGGCCCTGCCCACGTCCTCTCTCCTTGGCTTCGTCCCCAGCTTCCGGAACTGCTGCGGGGAGTTGCGAACTCTGGTCCTCTTGGCAGTATCGGCGGTGCGCCTGCCTGCCTGCTGTGACTCCAGGGACTCTAAAGTTAGAGACTTCCTTTGCGTTCTATCTTCAGGACTCAGTTTTCTTCCTCTGTTCTGAGTCTAACCTTCAGGTGGCAGGTCTTTATGCGGAAAAACCCTCCCGCTAATCCTCACCAGAGGTACTTTACGGGTAGCATTGGTGTTAAGAAATGTGCTGCTACCTGTGTACATTGCTCTTGGATCAGGGTTGTAGGGCTAGGGCATTTGGCATCCTCAGAGGTTTGCATTACGTGGGAGTGAGACATTGCTTCTCTTTCTGTTTTTGTTGTTGTTTGTGTTTTTGAGGCGGAGTTTCGCTCTGGTCGCCCAGGCTGGAGTGCAATGGCACAATCTCAGCTCACTGCAACCTCAGCATCCCGGTTTCAAGCGATTCTCCAGCCTTGCCTCCTGAGTAGCTGGGATTACAGGCATGCGCCACCACGCCCACCTAATTTTGTATTTTTAGTAGAGACGAGGGTCTCACCGTGTTGGCCAGGCTGGTCTCGAATTCCTGACCTCGGGTGATCTGCCCACCTCGACCTCCCAAAGTGCTGGGATTACAGGCGTGAGCCACCGTGCCTGGCATCTCATTCATTCTCAGAGCTAAGGACCTATTTCAATGTGATTAAGTGCTATGGGAATGCAAGGAGAGGAGAGGGAAGGCTTCATTGAAGAGGCGGTAGTTCATTGAAGGAGACTTTGAGGAATGATTTTTTTCCCCTTCCATTCCTCATGTTCCATTTTCCCTGTGATTTTTCTCCCTCCTTTCTCGTTGCCAGTCAGTCCCTAATTGTGATTGTTTGATAAGGACAGCTCTGACCTGAGAGATTCAATTAATGTTAATTTAAGGAGACTGTGTGCTTATTAGGTGCTTTAGATACATTATTTCTAAACCTTACAGTAACTGGGAAAGATAAGTGTTGTTATCTCTTTTCACAGTAGGATAGAGAAAGCCTTGGAGGGGAGCCAAAGCCACAAACTAGTACATGTCAGGGCCGGGTTTTGGACTCCTCTTTTGGATCAACGCCTGTGCTTTATCTACTGTTTACTTTGCCCCCTCCTTGGAAGTAGGTTAGATGGATGAACTTAGGGTGAAAGTCAATTCTTTGGAGGGAGCAGCCGTTTTTGTGGGTGGCCAGATGTTGGTGGGAGCTCTGTAGGTAGCATCAGGAACTTGCGAGCATGGGCCTTACCTGCACCCCCTGCTTCCAGCTTAGGACCTGGCCCAGGGGGAATGTTCCCTAAAGCAGTGGTCCCCAACCTTTTTGGCACCAAGGACCGGTTTCATGGACAATAAGTTTTTCATGGACTGGGGGAAGGGGGATGGTGTTGGGATAATTCAAGCACGTTACATTTATTTTATTTATTTGTTTTGAGACAAGAGTCTCGCTGGGTCACCCAGGCTGGAGTGCAGTGGCACGATACTGGCTCACTGCAACCTCCACCTCTGGGGATCAAGCAATTCTCGTGCCTCAGCCTCCGGAGTAGCTTACAGGCATGCGACACCACATCTGGCTAATTTTTGTATTTTTAGTAGAGACAGGATTTCACCATGTCAACCAGGCTGGTCTCAAATTCCTGAGCTCGAACTCCTGAGCTCAAGCCATCCTCTCCTTGGCCTCCCAAAGTGCTGGGATTACAGGTGTGAATCACCATGCCCCACCTGCATTACATTTATTGTGGACTTTATTTCTATTATTATTACATTGTAATATGAATACAACTCACCATAGAGTAGAATCAGTGGGACCCCTGAGCTTGTTTTTCTGCAACTAGGCAGTCCCATCTGGGGGGGTGTGTTGGTAGACATTGACACCCAAAGTGTGTTTGCTTATGTCCAGCCTACTTCATAGTCTCATTTTGGTTGCTGTCACTGCAGAAGACCCTGCTTCACAAAGATAGGATGTTGGAAATGGAAGCAGGCTTTTCGGTGCTTTTGTGGCAATTTCAGGATACTTTGCCTTGACTTTAATCCAGAATGTATGGATATTTGAAGTTGTCTTAAACATACTTCTAGGGCCCGGTCATTTGCTATCTCAAACAGTTGGTCCTCTTCTAGCATGGACAAAGTCAATTCACCTGGCTTATTCACAAATGGATCTAGGATCCTTCCCAGTTCGGGTGTCTTTTGTAGTTGGGAAGTAATGCTCAAACTCTTTTGAAAGCTGAGATAGGTGATCATGCACCAGCTGGGAGAGAGAAGGCCCTGGCTTAGTCTCTTTCAAAATCTCTGCTAATGTTTGAAACGTGTCAGAAATCCCAGTGTTCACTTGTCGCCGCAATAATTCCAGTTTGGTTTTGAGTGCAGCCACTTATCTGCCGACTTGAACACAGTTCTCCCCTGAAGGGACAGATGGAGTTCATTGAGGAGGTAAGCAAGTAAGCAAGTTTTGTAACCCCTTCTATGAAATGTGCTGCCAGTGGTGACTACTTTTCTAGAAGAAATCTCTGGAGTGGCCCTCATAACTCAAACTCCGGCCAGTGATCTATCTTTAGAAAGCCATCCCACTTCTGTGTATAAAAGATGTGTGTGCTCTATGTCCATCTCACAGAGCTGTGTGAACAGATGTGAGTTAAGGGCATGTACTTTAATGTGGTTGATAATTTTAATCACATCCTGCAAAATGTTCTTAAGTTCAGGTGACATTTTTTGGCTAGCCAACACTTCTCTATGGATGTCACAGTGCATAGACTCACATTCAGAAGTGACCTCTTTGGCCCGAGTAGTGAAACCAGTCGTAGCAGTCGCTCTGCCCAAGCACATACTACCCAAAAGGACCAATTCGGTTTTTCTGATAGGTAATCATTCAAAGACTTGAATAGTTGTGCAGCTGTGGTGTTGGTTAGCAACAAAAGTGCAAGTGACATATCCTCGTGCACCTAACATCTTCATGTATATCCTCCTGAAAACTGTATCACAAAAAAACAAGCATTGTTGCCTTGTCAACACTGGTAGACTAGTCAACCCAGATTGCGTACCGCAGTGACTCATTAATCCTCTCTACCAATTGTGCCTCAATATCCGCTGCTATTTCAATTCGCCTAGTTTACTCTTCACCAATAGTAAAGGGCTTCTTAGCTTTAGCAATACGGTTAGCCACTAAGAATGATACTCTCATTGCAGACACATTTGATGAAATGGTAGCCTTCAATAATTGCTTCTGTTCTTTGTGCTTATGTTTTTTCTTTTGAAAAACTCCGAAGCCTTGTCTTTTAATGCAGGGTGCTTGGTCTCCATGTGGTGAAGCAGTTTTGAAGGTTTCATGGCTTCATTGGATAGCCAGTGGCCACATATTACACAAAGTGGGCTTGGAGAATGTGAGTCACCTGTTGCAATGAACCTGTAATTTGAGTATGACTCCTGGTATTTTCTTTTAAATGCAGCTTGCTTTTTGTTGGCAATCTTACAGTCTTCTGTCTCATCATTGGGTCTTCCCCCTTTTCAAAGAAGCTTACCAGTGATGTTTGTTTTTTACTCATTTCGGCTAGGGTTAGCTTGTGGGCTTACCAAAACTGTGACTGAGACAAATGTGCAGTGCAGGAAACAGGCACACCTGGAAGTGGTAAATAATGGGCGGGCCATGAGTGGACTAAAATAAGTGTCGGATTCTGACTGAAAGCCTGCCCACAGATGCAGCTGTACGATGGAAGTACATCAACTCACTTGCCACTATAAAGCCTGCCACCAGGCAGCATTAAGCTACTTGTTACTTGACACTCACTGATAGGATTTTGATATGAGTCTGCAAGCAATTGATTTATTATGGTCTCTGTGTAGTCAAACCTCCCTCTTAATGCTAATTTGTATTTGCAGCCACTCCCCAGTGCTAGCATCACTTGTAGTCCCAACTACTTGGGAGGCTGAGGAGGAAGGATCACTTGAGCCCAGGAGGTCAAGGCTGCAGTGAGCTATGATCAGGCCACTGCACTCTAGCCTGCATGACAGAGTGAGACCCTGTCTCTTAAAAAATAATAATAAAATGAAAAAACTAAAAAAGCTCCAAATGTATGAGTATATGTACTTCTTTATCAATGCAGTAAGTAACAAAATTCAGTGCAGTAGCAAGTAACTCCTGTAATTTCAAAGTAGTGATGCCCATGTAAATGGTATTTTGTAGTATTTTCAAAGGCTACACAGTAGTATGAAAGTATCTGACTTTTACTGGTGACATTCGTCAGAGCTGCTTTTACTACTATGATTTTTTTTTTTTTCTGAGACAGCGTCTCACTATGTCACACAGGATGGAGTGCAGTGGCATGATCTCGGCTCACTGCAACCTTCGCCTCCCGAGTTCAAGCAATTCTCATGCCTCACCCACCCCAGTAGCTGGGATTACAGATGTTCACCACCGTGCCTGGCTAATTTTGTAGTTTTAGTAGAGACAGGGTTTTGCCATGTTGGCCAGGCTGGTCTTGAACTCCTGGCTTGAAGTGATCTGCCCACCTTGGCCTCCCAAAGTGCTGGAATTACAGGTGTGAGCCATTACATCTGGCTGGAACTGCTCTTACTACTGTGAGTCGTTGTCCACATCTATAATCCAATGAAATGCTAATTTTCAGCCAGAAATTCATGAAAATAAAGATATTTGAGCTCATGTCCCCCTGAATTCTCTCTATGGACACCTTGGGAGTGGAGGGCTGGGGATCCTGGGTTACATACAACCCTACTTAGTGGTTGTTTTTCATCTAAGTACTTGCTGGCCACTTTAGCGTGTCATTTTTTTTTTTTTTTTTTTTGAGAAAGGGTCTTCCTGTGTTTCCCAGGCTGGATCACAGCTCACTGCAGCCTCAACTTCCCAGGCTCCCACCTCAGCCTGCTGAGCAGCTGGGGCTACTGGCATGCAACACCATTCCTGGCTAATTTTTGTATTTTTAGCAGAGAAGGGATTTCGCCATGTCGCCCAGGCTGGTCTCAAACTCCTGGGCTCAAGTCGTCTGCCCACCTCAGCCTCCCAAAATGGTGGGATTACAGGCATGAGCCACCACACCCAGCCTGTTAGTGCATTACTGATAGCAGTTTCCTTCTCCTTCAGTTAGTTTTCCCCTTTTTAGCCCGGGTTCACAGTTGTTTCTGTTTGATGAAAGCTTTTGAGAGGGGATTGCTGGATTGTTTATATAATCTACCTGCCCTGCTCCTTCTGTGGGTAATATGGTTGGAGAATATTCCTGAAATAGTGGATGTATGTCATATAGTGTATACACCCTACCTTTTTATTTTTTTATTTTTATTTTTATTTTTTTTTTTGCGAATAGAAATGAACCTTAGTGGTAGATGATGTTATTAGTGTCAGGGAAGAAAAATGAACTACTATCACATATCCCACAGACAGAAGCTCTTAAGATGTTATGAACGATTTCATGGTAATACATTTGAAAATTCAGATGAAATTGACAGGTTTTTCCAATAAAATATATTACCAAAGACACAAAAACTAGAAAAAATGAGTAGTCCTATATCTACCAAAAACATTGAATTTGTAGTTAAAAACCTTTCCATAGCAAAATTTTCAGGCCCAGATGGCTTTACTAGTGAAACTTCCAAACATTTAAGAAAATTAAAGAGGAACCACTTTCCGGTTGCATTTATGAGGCCAGCACAATCTTGTTACTAAAAATTGATAAGGATATTACAAGAAAATTATAGGCCAAATGCTCATAAAGACAGACACATAAGTCTTAAATATGGTAAGTCAAATCTAGCAATCTATAAAAAGGATAATAAATCATGACCAAGTTGGATTTATTTCAGGAATGTAAACTTTGGCTAACACTACGAAAGTCAACAAATGCAATTTAACTCCATATATGAAGTAAAGGAGAAAAAGTATTTGATACAACTCAGCACCCATTCATGATGAAAAAAAAAAAAGCCTCTTTGCAAGCTGGAGCATTGAGAGAAATTAGATTTAAAATAACAGAGGGTAAGGTATTGCTCTGCAAATCTATAGATTCGGGCCAATCCCAATCAAAATCCCGGCAAATTTTTTCTTCAAAAATAGGTGATAAGCAGATTGGAAATTTATTTGGAAATTCTAGACAGTCTTAAGAGCAAAACTGGAGGACCTAAGCTACTAGATCAATATGTAGTCATGTCAGTGTGGTATTGCATAAAGCTACACAGATTATGGAACTGAGTAAAGAATCCATAAACAGGCTTATACATCTGTGGTCTTTTGATTTATGACAGAGGCAACACTGCAGGGCAGTGGAGAGAAGATGGTCTTCTCAGTAAATGACACTGGGTCGATTGACTATCCACATAGACAAAATGAATCTAGATCATGTACCTCATCTCATATACAAAAATTAATCAAGATAACAACATACACCTAAATGTGAACGCTAAAACAAAGCACCTGGAAGAAAGCAAAGTAAAATATCTTTATGACCTAGGGACAAGGTTTCTTGAATAGGCCACAAAAAGCACTAATTGGTACAGTGATAAGAATGAACAAATTATTGCCTCACATAACATGGATGAATCTTGTGACACAAAGCTGAGCAAAACCAAGATAGATGTAAAAGAGTAAATGCAATGTGATTCCATTGATGTAAAGTTCAAAACCAGACAACTAAATAAACCATGGTGGTAGAAGTTAGGCTAGTGGTCATCTTTGATGGAGTTAGTGACTAGGAAAGGGCAGAAGGGGCTTCTGAGGCATTCTTTTGTTTTTTGGAGACAGGATCTCGCTCTGTCACCCAGGCGGGAGTGCAGTGGTGTGATCTCAGCTCACTGCAACCTCCCTGACCTGGGCTCAAGCGATCCTGTCACTGCAGCCCACCTGAGTAGCTGGGACTACAGGCATGCACCACTGTGCCTGGCTAATTTTTTTTTTTTTTTTTTTTTTTAGAGACAGGGTCTTACCATGTTGCCCAGGCTGGTCTTGAACCCCTAGGCTCAAGTAGTCTACCCATCTCCTCCTCTCAAAGTGCTAGAATTACAGATGTGAGCCACTGCCTCTGGCCTGGCGTGCAGTTTTTATCTCAGTGACAATTACTTGGTAATTACATAAGGCTTTCCACTTCTTGAAAGCCCTAAGGGCTGGGCATGATGGCTCATTCCTGTAATCCCAGCACTTTGGGAGGCTGAGGAGGGAGGATCACTTGAGGCCAGGAGTTTGAGATCAGCCTGGCCAACATAGCAAGATCCTGTCTCTAAACAAGACTAAAAAATTAGCAGGGGGTGGTGATGCGAGCCTGCAATCCCAGCTACTCCTGAAGCTAAGGCAGGAGGATCTCTTGAGCCCAGGAATTTGAGGCTGCAATGAGCTATGATCATGCCATGCACTGTAGTCTGGGTGACAGAGTGAGACCCTGTTTAAGAAAAAAATAAAAAATAAGAAAAAGGAAGCCTTAAGGTTTTTTCTTCATTTAAGTGTATTGTAATAAAGTTTACTT
Organism: Homo sapiens; assembly: GCF_000001405.40. Classification (NCBI taxonomy): domain Eukaryota; kingdom Metazoa; phylum Chordata; class Mammalia; order Primates; family Hominidae; genus Homo; species Homo sapiens. Next base: position 116,602 of record NW_011332687.1, read on the forward strand.
AAAATCTTGTAAAAAGTTAGGTTCATTCTGATGCTCCCAGGCTGGGGAGTGTAAGATGTGGTGGGCACAAGCCTTGCTGATTAAAAAGGCTTAAAATAGGTTGAGAATTTTCAGGGGAAAGAATGCAATATCACATCAGTAGCTTTTTTTTGAATTAGGGACTTATATAATTGACTCCCTTTTGCCAATCTTTAATGGCAGAGATCTGGCTTGAGGGAATTTCATATAAAAAGACTTAGAGTTATGTTTGATTATAAGATTGATATCAGTGTGGGGGGAAATTAGAAAAGCTAAGGGAGTATTAAGTAGAAATTTTTGTTTTCAGATTTAATTTTCTTCCAATTTAAGTTTTGAAAGTTTATGACCACTGGATTAAAAAACTTTTCTTCCAATTTAAGTTTTAAAAGTTTATGACCATTGGATTAAAAAACAATCTGTTTTCTATAAATCCTTTCAGTTAGGTACTTTCCTCCCATAAGGCCATGAACTAACTGAGGGCAGGGATGGCATATGAGTTTCCTATTAAACCTGAACTAAATTAACACAAATTCAGTGGCTTCAAAAAACACACATTTATTACCTTATGGTTCTGGATGTCAGAAGTCCAAAATGGGTCAGCAGGGTTCATTTGTTCTGAAGGTTCTAGGGAACAATCTTTTTGTTGTCGTTGCCTTTTCCAGCCTCTAGATGACTCTTAGATTCCTTCATCCAGGAGCCCCTCCTCCATCTTCCAAGCACACCACTCTAACCTCTGCCTCCATCATCACCTCACATTTCCTCTCTGTCTCTGACCCTTCAGCTTCCCTCCTGTAAGGAACCTTGTGATTACTTTGGGCCCACCCAGATAATCCAGGCTAATCTCTCAATCAGAAGATCCTTAATCATATTGGCAAAATCCCTTTTGCTGTGTAAGGCAACATAGTCACGGTTCCAGGGTTGAGGACATGGACACTTCTAGGGGACCCATCTTTGGTGGACCCCACAGAGGGGATCTATTTTGTCTTCACAAAGAGCACACTTCCTGGTTGTCAGTAGAAGTTCATTCGTATTTGTTGAATGAAGACATGGGTCTAAGATATTATTTGAGTGCAGTTTCTGAAAGAAAAGTGATGGTCTTGTCCTCCTCTCACTGACACAATTGGAGCTTTGGGTTCAGTTTTAGGTAAATGTACTATACAGAGTCAACTGACAGGCAGAGGATCTGGGGACAGGCATGGTGGCTCATGTTTGTAATCCCAGCACTTTGGGAGGTGTAGGTGGGAAGATCACTTGAGTCCAGGAGTTCAAGACCAGCCTGGGCAACATAGTGAGACCCGCCCCCATTTAAAAAAAAAAATGGGTGTAGTGGCTCTTGTCTATAGTCCCAGCTACTCGGGAGGCTGAGATGGAAGGATTGCTTGAGCCTGGGAAGTTGAGGCTGCAGTAAGCCAAGATTGTGCCACTGCATTCCAGCCTGAACAACAGAGAGTGAGACCTTGTTTCAAAAAGGAGCCTGGAACCAAGTCATTGAAGTAATGGTTGAAGGAATCATAGATGTTGGTCTGGAAGAGGGTTTGGATGGAGTAGATGGCATTAATTATCTTTAAACATTTGAACGAGTATTATTGGAAAGAATAAAAAAGCCTTTTTAAGCATACTCAATAATAGTAATAGCATTAAAAACAACAAAAATAAGCATTTCAGAGTTTACTATGCCTAAGGCACTGTTTTATCATTTTATAAATTCACTTAATCCTCATATCAATCTTCTGAGGTTCGCTATTACTGTGTTTTACAGATAAGGAAATTGAGGCTCAGAGAGGTTGTGCACCTTGTCCTAGGTCACACAACCATGAAGCAGCAAAGCTGGAATTCAATCTTTGGCATTCTGACTCCAGAGCCACCCCTGAAACCATATCACACTATGCTGTCTCCATGCCTTTAGTTCCAGAAGGTAGAAGAGGACTGGTGGCAGAAGAAATCCACCCCTGTATTTTTTTAGAAATCTGTATTTTTTAGAAATACGGGGTAGATTTCAAGGAAAAACACAACAATCAGAACTGCTAGCCAGGCACAGTGGTGTGCACCTGGGAGGCTGAGGCAGGAGGATCACTTGAGCCCAGGAGTTAGAGCTGTTTGGAGCTGCAATGAGCTATGATCACGCCACTGCATTCCAGCCTGGGTGACAGAGTGGGACCCTGTCTCAAAACAAAAACAACAACAAAAGCAAGAACTGCTTAGGAACAGAGTTTCTCTGCCTTGTAATGTTACTGGAAATGGTCAAGTAGGCTGTTATAAAAGGAATTCCCAAACTGGCTGGAGATGAGACCAAAAGGCAATAGAGACTCCACTGATTTTGAAATTCTGATTTGGGAACATATTTTTTTTCCATTACATATATAAGAAGGTAGGGAACAACCTTTGTGACATTTTATGTAATAAAGATCCATTGTGAAAGGTAGCTTTTCAACTAATTTTCCAGATTTTATTGATTAGTAACTATTTATAATATACCTGGTGTGCTAGATGTGTGCCCACCCCTTTCTAAGGTACCCTTGCTGCTCCTCCCATAAAGAAGTATGGTCTGTTTTCTCCTCCTTGAATCCGGGCTGGTCTTTGGACTTGCTTTGACCAATAATGTGTTCTGTGAACTCTGGAGCCTGGTCCTTAAGGGATGTTGCACCTCTTGCCTCTGTTCTTTTGGAACCCTGAAACCCCACTGCTGTGAAAAAGCCAAGTCTAGCCTACCAGAGGAGGAGCCCTGGCCTGGGGGAGAAGGGAGGTGACTTGTGTGAGCTGGCGCCAAATGCCAGACATGTGCATGAGGTCATCATGGCCCCCTCCAGCCCCAGTGGAGTTGTGTGGTGACAGAAGTCACATGAGTGACCTCAGGAGGGACATGAACAGAACTGTCCAGACTGCCATCCCACAAAATCCTTAAAAAGAATAAATGTTCATTGTTCTAAGGCATCACATGTTGTGATGGTTTCTTATGCAGCAATACATAACTAATACATAATATGTTGGTGCGGATGTGGAAGTAGTGGGTATATATTTTAAACTATTCTGTAATTAGACTTTTTTCCCCACTCCAGTGCACCTCTTCCAGTCTATCTAGTCATTCTTCTGTGTTGGTGAAACCTTTCTGGGTTTGGAGAAGTGTTTCCTCTTAGTATTATGTGGGTTGAAGAATAAGTCTTTGTAAGACTCTTAAATGGGGACTGGGCACAGTGGCCCACACCTGTAATTCCAGCAGTTTGGGAGGCTGCGGCGGGAGGATCACTCGAGGCCAGGAGTTCAAGACCAGCCTGGGCAACATGGCAAAACCCAGTCTCTACTAAAAACACAAAAATTAGTGGGGCAGCACACTCCGGCCTGGGGGATAGAGCAAGACTCTGTCTCAGAAAAAAAAAAAAAAAAAAAAAAAAAAGACTCAAGTGGGGTTTGGAGAGAATTGTGATATGGGAATCTGGACTTGGTGGTTTTCTTGGAGAAAATCATGTAATTTAGAGTCTACAAAATGGGATTCAGTTTCATGAAAATTGGACCCTGGAAAAGGCAAAAGTCTCATACCACTTTTTCCGAATATGCTAGAATATTGCACTACTATTTCATTTTCTTTAAAGCCGTTGTCATTTCAGTGGGCATGTGCTTCTTTCACTTTTATTGCTTGTGGTTTCCAGAGTGCTCATTTGTTCCTGAATTTAGAGCTATTTCAATTTTACTCTTATCTCTGCATAACTGCTGACTTTCCCCTCTTATTTCCAAGGTAAATCGGTTAGGTTTAGTTTGCCTTTTTCAGTAAATCTTTTAAGGAATGTATGTGAGTTAGATATTTCATGTGTATTTTGATTACATTTTATTGATTTAAATTTTTTTATCAGAGAGTGTCTAACGTTATGCATAACGTTTAAAAATTCTATTACATTTAGACCACTTATATTCTAGCTTTCCTAATGGATTGATTTCATTATAGATTTTGGAAAAAATGAGTCCAGTACACTCTGTAAGAATAGTGAGGTGGCTGAGGGAAGGCTCTGGAGTTAGACTTACTGGGTATGAATCTAAGCTTTGCTGCTTACCAGCTGTGTGATTTGGGGCGGGTTTACTTATCCTTTCTGGGCCTTGGTTTCCTCTTGTGTTAAGTGAGGTTATCAGAAGCACCAACCTCAAAGGTTTGTTATGAAGATTAAGTGAGATAATACTTGTAAAGTGCCTTTTCAGCATAGGAAATCTGTAAATAGTACTTGTTATAGTACAGCTATTACTAAAGCATAAGAAAACTCAGTAGAGGGAAATCTTCATTTAGGACATTAAGCAGTGAGTCAGTAGAAGTGACGATGGTGATGCTGGTATGGAGGGATTGTTAGCTTAATGATGAGAGCTGTCTTGTTAAAGTTCTCTGGTGCATGTGAGTATTGGGTTATAGCCCATTTAGTGCTTGATATCAAGATTTAAAAGCAGAAAAAATTTAAAATGGAAGTGTTGGAATCCATTAGTTGCCTGCATCAGAAGTAAAGCTAAAGTATTTTTGAAATGATATTGGAAGTTGCTGGGGGAAAAGCATCTTGCAGCCGTTATGTTTATGTATGTTTCAGGCTTTGGCAAGGTGTGCTGTACTTTTCTTCCAAGATCAAGGAACAGGATTTCTGCCTGTATGACAGTGGGGGTTGGGAATTTTGGTTCTAATTTTTGCTCCATTGCTGGCTTCTCTGTCCGTGGGTAGATCGCTGCTTCTTCCTGAGCAGGATTCTGATTCCTGAAAGGGACCTAAAAACTTAGCCCTCCTGAGAGGATCCGAGTAGATGGCATCTTTGAAAGCAGGTGGAGTGTTAAATTCCAAAGTAAATGCAAATGCAAGTGGCTCCAGTATAGAAAAAGTTCTGTGAGCTGAGAGATTCTTGCCATTTTACAGCTAAGATTTTATTCTGTGGCCCTCTTGAGTTCTATAATTCCCAGATAAATATATTTTTTGAAATATTCAACCTTGGGGTGTTTGTACCCAATTTGGAGGTGGAGAAAGCTCCCTATTCCTCCAGTCTGAATTCCTTCCCTCTGATTCCAGGGAAAACTTTGCTATGATTTCCTTTAACATCTAGTATTAAATGCACGTTCTACCGCTTTGTCCTCACTTGCCTCAAAATTCTCACTCTTTTCAACAACATTTAGCTTCAAGATCCTGTTGTCTTACAGCTTTGGAGTTGCTGTTTTATCTTCTTCATCTTCCTCTTTTTTCCCCCTACCAGCTTCTGGACTATTTTGATGCCAAGGACAACTCAATTTTTCCCCATCTGTGTGGCTTGGTTCCAGCACTCTCTCCACTTTCACTAAGGGCCTAAATCATCAACCTCCCTGCCTCTTGGGTCTACCACAGCATCAAGGGGCTGCTTTGTAGAGCTTCATTCAAATAATTTTATGTACTGGCTTGCAAGCCTGAGGTTTCTGCAGGAAATAAAATTTAAACATGAAATCGTATGTTTTAAGACTCCTTACCACTTGGCTCCTGTTCTCCCTTCCCTGAACCATCCACACTTTATCTTCTTTACAGTTCCGACCAGTATTCCCACACTGGGGAAGTGTTCTTAGACACATCTCACCATCACACATCCCTACAACCCTCCTTCACTATTACATATCAATAGTGCAATCTCATTTGTGTAGATTAATCAGGTAGACTGCTACTTAAACACAGGCTGTGTCCCTATAGATTGGCCGTTTTCTATAGAAATGATGCTGTAAGTGGTGATGACTTTTCTAGGCTATCTCACAGCTACCCACTTAGCTGATAATGTTGGTGCAGGACTGACTGCATGAAAACAGAAAAGAAACATCACTTACACATTTGAGTAAGAACCTCCTTGATTTCAGCCTGATTGCTCTGCCTAAAGAGGGACATGCTTGTTTAGAGTATGAGAAATGGAAACTTGGTAATTTTGTGAGAGAGTTTTTGGGAACCTCTAAGGGCCTGGACATTTTAAAAAGGTTCCAGTTATATTCCCAAATATATAGTTTTCCTTTTCTTTTACATTGTGTCATAAATCCCTTAAGACATATCTACTCTGATTTACTTTCTGGCTGCACAGCTGAAATAAACAGGGAAAACAAAGTAGGGAAATAATTTTCCTAAGATAAGTGGGCGAGTGTTGAAGGCCGAAAGAATGAGGGTCGTGATCAACTCAGTATACCACTGGAGACTATATGAGTAAACAGCAAACTGTTTCTCATGAAAGCAGGTTGTTGGCAAACTGACAAACTGTGTCTGCCTCCCAGAAAGAATGCTGGGGGGCAGTCACCACCCAGGCACAGTGTTTCTTGTGATTAGGCAAATCTGAAGCCTGTTAGCAATAACGTGAACCTGTGATCAATCAAGCAGCTGACCAGTCATTACCTCCTCCTCCCTGCTCTTTCTGCCCAATAAAAACAAAGGGCTGTAGAAGCTCGAGGTTGCTGCCTTTGCTCCCTAGAAGCAGGGAGCTCTCTTCTTCCCCTGGCCCCTTCCTTTAAAATAGTTACTTTTAAGTTTTCATTTCTGCCTTCGTCCTCCTTCCTTCAGTCTCCTAATGACTGTCTCAAGTAGTAACAGTAGTGACTGTCGTAGTGACAGTCTCAAATAGTAACCATTGCAGTCAGCTACAGGCAAGAGTTGAAAAGAGAGTGTGTGAGGAAGAAAGCTCTGTTAAGGAGGATGGGTGAGTGTCTGTGTGGTGGTGGTGTTTCGAGGTGGCATTCGTGTAATGGAGAGGTGAAAATGAAAGTGGAAAGTACTGCCTGTCATTCCCTTGGGAGTAGCAGAGACGTAGGTGGTGAGGAAGAGGCACCGGGCTGAAAGCCTGCGGGTGGTCCCCGGGGATAGTTTGCTTGCTGTCCAGGGTGGCTTTGGATTGGGCGTCAGAAGAGGAATGAGACATTAACGAAATCCCTGGGGATGCCAACTTCCTGAAAGAGGTCCAGATGCACGTAGGATGGGCATACCCCAGGAAGTTCAGCCAGATTTCTTTGATTCAGGGAGAAAATCAGGGTCAGGGCTTAGGTAGGCTCCTGATGAGTGAAATTCACTAACTAGTAACTACTAATGTTTGTTGAGTGCTTATTCACTGCCAGGCCCTGGGCTAAGCATTTTACATTTAACCCCTTCAACAACCCTATAAGAAAACATCTGGGAGGCCGTTATCTACCCGTTTCCTTAACCAATAAATGACACAGCCTGGGACTCTCCCTGCACCAGCCCACCCCTCCTCCCTGAACCCCACAGGTGGGTTTGGTGCCAGAATGTATCACTGTGCTGTCAAGTGGAGACTATTTGGTTCAATTCCTAAATTTTGGGGGTGAGGGGACAGCTAGTTTCCCTGCTTAGTTACCTGGTGTTTTGCCGCTAGTTACTATGTATCTCTGTGTATTTGTCTACAAAACATAGAGCATTGTTGAAACTATGTTATTGTTTCATTGAAACAATGTTATTGTTTCCTTATACCACTGAGTAGAAGAAAATGGAGTTTCTGCTGGGGCCACTGTCTGTGGAGTTTGCACATTCTCGCTATGTCTGCAGGGGTTTTCTCTGGGTACTTGGTTTCCTCCCACATCCCACAGCTGTGCCCATTAGGTGAATTGGTGTGTCTAAATGGTCCCAGTGTGTGAATGTAACTGAGTGTCCTATTAAGTTTTTCTGTGATGGCATCAAATGCCTGTTGATGCTCATCTGTCCAAGGCAGGGGGCTCTGAATCTAGTCCCTTTTAAAGGCCTCATAAAGTGGCTTAGCCATCAACCCCAAATTTGGAATTCAAATTCAACAAAAGCCAGACATTCCTAGAAATCCCTGCAATTGCCTCCCGTTTTGGGGAGCCTTTGGGGCCACTGTTATCTGCTTTCAGTAGGGTCTTTAGGCTCCTTCAGCCTGAAGTCGAGGTTCCAGAGACTAGACCTTGAAATAGTACAGGCACCTGTGAAAATCTCCCCTACCAGGAGATGGCTTTGAGGGTACAGTTAATTTACAACCCAGCTGAGCCCCAGATGTTGCCAGCCCGTTCACAAGATGGAGCAACAATTCAAGACGAGTCATCGGAACAAGTCATGCCGGCATCGGAACAAGTCATGCCGGCCTGCACTGCCTCACCCCATGCCGCAACTTGCTTCCCCTTCTTAAACCTTTGCACTTTGCTTGGAAATTTGAAGTGGTTCCATTAAGGCAAGAGTCTAGACCGTCTTCCCCATGGCTAGCTTTGGTCTGTAATAAAGTCACTTTCTTTCTGCCATACCTCTATCTTGCTAATTTGTTTTGCAAGTGGTGAGCAGCTGAACCTGTGTTTGGTAACGAGTGTGGGGGAGTGAGTATGAGTGGGTTCTGCGCTGGGATGGCATCCTGTCCAGGGCTGGTTCCTGCTTTGCATCCTGAGCTGCTGGAATGGGCTCAGCTACCAGAGACCCTAAATTGGAACAAGTGGGGTGGAAAATGAATGAATGAATACAAATTAATAAAAATTTGTAAAGTCTATGATAATCATACAAATGCATGACAAAAAAAATGTAGTATGAAAGCGCTCAGTGAGCCCACCCTAATTGTAAATGTTTTGAACTGCATGGTGGCAGGAGGTGCTCCTTATAATTTTTGCTTTGCAAACATTTTATTCCTTGGTTTAACCGACCACCATCACAACTGCCATCACTTGCTGATTCACCAAACTTGGGTAAATAATGATCTTACCTGTGCTTATTAATCTTTAAGTGTATGTGTATAGCTCTTGTTTATTTCAGTGTTTACTATTAGAAGTGTTTTGGTCTTTATTTAGATGTATGATGTTTTTGTGACCAGAAATATGCAGTAGGAACTTACTTTTTGCTTATATCAATTAGCCTATTGTAAAATTAGTAGCATTATACATTGTTTTGTTTAAAGTTACAATTTCCAAGACCCTACTGGTGATGTTCAGTAAGGACTCACTGTACAATCCAGCTAAGAGCAGCACTAAGCTGGGTGCAGTGGCTCACGCCTGTAATCCTAGCACTTTGGGAGGCCACGGTGGGCGGATCTCCTGAGCTTAGGAGTTTGAGACCAACCTGGGCAACAACAACAATAAAAAACTAGCCTGGCATTGTGGTGCATGCCTGTAATCCCAGCTACTCAGGAGGCTGAGGCAGGAGAATTGCTTGAGCCTGGGAAGTTGAGGCTGCAGCGAGCTGAGATCATGCCACTGCACTCCTGCTTGGGCAACAGAGCAAGACCCTGTCTCCAGGAAGAAAAAAAAAAAAAAAGCAGCACCAAAATGAAAAATTATTAAACCGAATTTTCTAGTTCCCTGAGGATTAAATCCTTAATGCAGGAGGATTGTCTCAGATAGAATGTCCCTGAAAAGCATCTAATGGCAGGCCTTCTAAAACTTTCATTCAGTCTACAAGATCATTTGTGTTCAAATTTCAGTCGCCCAATTAGGAGATCAGCTTTTTGCTAATCAGATTCTTCATGAGGCAAAGAGGTCATCCGATGTAATACCAACATCTTTTGACAGGCGAGACATTAAATTATAAGCCAAGAAGTTAAAATTACCTTCCCACTAAAGGGAAGACTACCAAATTCCTGAAAAGTTCCAGAAAGGAGTCTTGTTATTCTAAAGATGAAAGTATTTAAAAATAAATTGTGAATAGAAATGGATAAAGCTAGAAGCAGTTCTGAAAAATAGTAAGGAACTTGAGAAAGTGTTGTTGAAATACTAGGGCTTAGGCTTGTGTTTTAAAGCATGAATGATTGCTTCTGGATCTCTTAGGTTGCAGGAAAAGTCCAGACCAAACTTTCTGGGTGACTTTTAGGTAACGAAATGGGGCACTCTGGGTGCAAGACTGCTTATTTCTGAAATCGTGGTTTATCAAGGCTGAAGTTTATTTCCCTTCCTGCTCTGTCTCCCAGTGGTCTGAAGAAAGGAGTTTGTGTGTGCGGCAGATTCTAAGCCAGGCTCTAAGTCTGAGTAACTGTACACTGGCATTAATGGGATTGGCCATGGCAGAGTGGAGGGGCAGGGGCCTGGGTCCAAAGACTTGGCTTTGAGCCTTGGCTCAGTTATTTACTTATTTGTTTACTCACATATTTAGACAAAAATTGTACATATTTATGGTGTACAATGTGATGTCTAGCTATACATTGTGAGATGATTAAATCAAGGTAATTAACATACCCATCACCTTACCTGCTTATCATTTTATGGTGAGAACATTTAAGATCTACTCTTAGCACTTTTCAAGAATATAATACATTATTGTTAACTATAATCACCATGCTGTATAATAGATCCTCAGAATTTATTCATCCTGTCCAACATCTTTTAACCAACATCTTCCCCACTTCCCCCGCCCCAGCCCCTGGCAACCACTTCTGTGAGTTTGACTTTTTTTAGGTTTCACATATAAGTGAGATCATGCAGTATTTGCTTTTTTGCTCTGGCTCAGTTATTTCTGGCTCTGTGACCTCATCACATTTGTCATCTATAAAATGCCTACCTCCCCTGTTCCACTTCCACCTACTTCACCAGGCTGTTGTGAAAACAAAATGAGATAATGTGTGAATTCTGGGGTTTGGCATGACTGTCACATGTTAGAAGTACTTGGTGGGGTTGGTGGGAGGTGCTGCTTAAAATTTTGCTCTTATTTTGGCATCCACAATGAGACATACTTGAGAGGTTTAAATAAAGCAGTAAAGGCCATAAATGCGTTTAAATTTAGTGAACTCTTTGTTACTTGGAACATTTGGAATCATTTAATTTGCTGAATTTTAGGACCTAACTTTCCTATACCTTCTCTATTACTTAGAGTATAGTCATGGCTGCCATGATGGAGAGATCTAGAATAGGAGAGGCTTAAACAACCTAGAAATGCATTTCTCTTTCCTGTAACAGTCTAGATCTAAGTAGTCTGGGGCACTTTGGGGCTTGGGGGTGGTACCTGGATTTGGGGACTGAGAGGCCTCTGTCTTGTCCATGTGGCTTTCACCTCTTCATCCACGGAGGCTGTTCCAATTCTGTTCAACAGGAAAGGGAGGGAAAGAAAGAGATGGCCACAGCCATGTCCCTTCACTCACACCCTTTTGAATGGAGCTATTCAGGTGTCCACACTTAGCTACAGTGTAGTGTTGGTGTCCAGAGGAAATTTTAATTGATGTGTAAGAAGAGAGACTGAATTCTGAAAAGGGGTAGTGAGGGGCGGTGGGTAACAAGCAGTGTCTGTCACAGATGTCTGTGATTATGTCATTAACTGCCCTTTAAGAAATGTACAGATGAGGCCTGGCACAGTGGCTTGTGCCTATAAACCCAGCTACTCAGGAGGCTGAGGTGGGAGGATCACTTGAGGCCAGGAAATCAAGATCAGCCTGGGAAACATAGACCCTGTCTCCAAAAATACATAAATAAAGTGCATAGATGCATGGCAGACAGCTGATTTTAAGTTTTTATTTTATTATTGCTTTTAGAGAGGGGATCTGGCTATGTTGCCCAGGCTGGTCTCGAACTCCTGGCCTCAAGTGATCCTCCCATCTTGGCCTCCCAAAGTGTTAGGATTACAGGCATGAGCCACCATGCCTGGCCTATAGTATGATACTTGAAAGGGACAACAAGGATGGTGAACCTGTTGATTTAGAGGTTTGTATACTGTTTGTGCTTTTCAGACTTTTTGAAGCCATTTATTATTCACAGAGCACCTGGTAGTCCCTTCTTGCTACATCCCAGGCACTGTGCTAGGGGCTGGTGAGTCAGAGATCATGGTCCCTGCTATCTGAGGGTCCACTCCACAGAAGAGACAGGCATATTATGCAATGGGTAGAGAACTGTCTGATGTATACTCTGATGGGAGACTGTGGGAACTCCTAGGAAAAGACCTGACCCCTTTGACAGGCAGGATGCACATGTGTGGTGTATGTGTGCGTGTGTGTGTGTGTGTGTGTGTGTGTTGGATGCAGGATGGAGTAAGTTCACAGGGAGGAGGAAGCTTGATTGGGGTTATGTCTGTATCACCTTGAATAGTGATGGGTCTCCGGGAGTGTGAACTAACTGAATTGATGTTTAGATGCTGTTCTCTAGTGTCATGTTCATGGCTTAAAGTTTTGTCTCTGTTTCTCAGAAACTCTCAGCGTAGGCATCGGGAACCTTCGTGCCAAGGAGCCATGCTGCCCCGATGGGAACTGGCACTTTACCTACTTGCCTCACTAGGCTTCCACTTCTATTCCTTCTATGAAGTTTACAAAGTCTCCAGAGGTAAGGCCCCAAGCTTTTCAGACCTCCTATCAAACAAGGAAACTCCTGTCAAAAAAAGGAGCAGAGGTGGAAGATTCAAGAAGATGATCCAATAGTGTCAAGATGATGTGGGCCTTGATTTGCTTCCCCATGTCTTGGATAGTTTGAATCAGTGACCTGAGTCCATTGAGTTTTCTACCCTAAACCTAGGTCTTTTAGGTGATGCTGTGGCTTGTCTTCTATAATTGGTGGGTTTGATTCAAAAGCTATTGAAGGCCGTGGAGGGGATTTGCGTTCAGAATTCAAAGTAAACTCTTAAATTTCTCTTTCATCATTACTCCTCTGAGACATATTAGATCTGGGTTCGTTTTGTCTTCTTCTGTCATTTTTAGTGTTGCCTTTGTCTGAGTGTTGGAGATAAATCATCATCAGGTCACATTCCAGCCCAAAGGAAGGGGAATGGGGGCCCTCCTTTATTTTAGCGGCAGTTTGGCAAGGAGCACTAGTCACTCCTGCTCACACCCAACTGGCCAGCACTGAGTCCCACGGGCACAGCTGGGAGGCTGGGAAATAGTCTTTAGGTTGGTGGCTATGTGCTACCTAAAACTTTTTTTTTTTTTTTTTGAGACCTAGTTTCGCTCTTGTCGCCCAGGCTAGAGCAATGGTACCATCTCGGCTCACTGCAACCTCTGCCTTCTGGATTCAAGCAATTGTCCTACCTCAGCCTCCTGAGTAGCTGAGATTTCAGGTGCCCACCACCACGCCTGGCTAATTTTTGTATTTTTAGTAGAGACGTGGTTTCACCATGTTGGCCAGGCTGATCTCAAACTCCTGACCTCAGGTGATCCTCCTGCCTCAGCCTCCCAAAGTGCTGGGATTACAGGCGTGAGCCACTGCACCCTGTAGCTGGGACTACAGGAGTGCACCACCATGCCTGGCTTTAAAACTACTTTTAAAAAATAAAGTATATTGAAAATGGGAGGTGTCTATTCTTACACCAATACCATAATGTCTTGATTACCGTAGCTTTACATTAAGTCTTGAAGTTGGATAGAAGTCTTCTAACTGTTATTTGTGTTGTCTATTCTGGGTCTTTTGCCTGTCTGTATAAACTTTAGAGTCAATTTGTTGATATCTACAAAATAACTTTAGCCATAAAATAAAGATGTTTATAGCAGCTTTATTCATAATTGCTAAAAATTGGAAGCAATCAAGATGTCCTTAAGCAGCAAATGGACTAATAAACTGTGGTACATTCGGACAATGGAATTTGCCAGGATTTTCATTGTGGTTGCATTGAATCTATAGATTAAGTTGGGAAGAACTGACATCTTGACAATATTGAGTCTTCCTATCCATGAATATGGACTATTTCTCCATTTATTTAGTTCTTTGATTTCTTTCATGAGAGTTTTATTGTTTTCCTGATATAGATCTTATACATATTTTGTTAGATTTATAGCTCAGTATTTCATTTTTTGGGTGACAATGTAAATGATATTGTTTTAAATTTCAAATTCTACTTATTTCATTGCTGATATATAGGAAAGCAATTGATTTTGTTATAGCAATCTTGTTATTATAGCTTATTAATTCCAGGAGTTTTTCTGTCAGTTCTTTCAGATTTTCTACATAGGTAATCATGGCGTCTGCGAAGATGATTTTCTTTCTTTCTTTTCAATCTTATATACCTTTTCTTTTTTGTTGTTGTTGTATTGCATTAATTAGGGTTTCCAGTACAATGTTGAAAAAGAGATGAGAGGGCTTATCCTTGCCTTATTCCTAATTTAACTGGGGAAACTTCTGGTTTCTCACCATTAAGTATGACATTAGCTGTGGGTTTTTTATGGATGCTTTTTATCTAGTTAAGGAAGTTCCCCTCTATTCCTAGTTTTCTGAGAGCTTTTGTTATGAATGACTGTATTAGTTAGGGTTCTCCAGGGAAATAGAATCAATAGGCTACATATAGATATAAAAGGAGATTTATTACAAGGAATTGGCCCACACAATTATAGAGGCTGAGAAGTTCCATGATCTTCTGTCTGCAAGCTGTAGACCTGTGAAAGCCAGTGGTGCAATTCAGTTCAAGTCCAAAGGCCTGAGAACTGGAGTAGCCTATGATGTAAATCCCAGTCTGAGGGCAGGAGAGGATGAGCTGAGATGGTCTAGCTCAAGCAGTAGCCAGAAATAAGAGTGAATTCTTCCTTCCTCCTCCTTTTGTTCTATTTAGACCCTCAATGGATTGGATGGTGCCCACCTGCATTAAAGAGGGCAATCTACTGTATCTGATTCAAATGCTTATCTCATCAAGAAACACCCTCACAGACACCTAGAAATAGTGTTTAATCTGGGCACTCTTTGGCCTGGTCAAGTTGACACATAGCACTAACCAACACAATGGATGTTGGATTTTGTCAAGTGTTCTTTCTGCATCTCTTGATCAGTTTATTCTTCTTTAGCCTGGTGATGTGTTGGATTACATGATTTTTGTGTTCTGTGAGATTTTGACTTTAATATACCTGGACTGGACTCAGCTGGCATTTCTCCTGTTTCATGTATTGTCAGCTGGGGCTGCAGTCATCTGGTGGCTCGATTGGGCTCACTCATCCAGGGTGGCTCACTCACGTGGCTGGCAGTTGGTGCTGGCTTTCAGCTGAGAGCTCAGCTGGGGACTGTCAAGTGGAGTACTATGGTCCTCTCTAAATGGCTTCATGTGGCTTACATTTCTTACATTTATTACAGGGCAGCTGGGTTCCAGCTGTTGCACGTGCAGCCTGGGAAGTTATACAGGTCACTTCTGCCTCATTTATTGGTCAAAGCAAATCACAGGGCCAGTCCAGATTGAAGGGAAGGAAAGACTGCACCTTTTTACAGGTGGAGCAGCATGTAGAGGAAGAGTCTGATGGAGCCACCTCTGGAGTTTCTCTCTTCTATAATGGGTGTTATACTTCTTTACCCACATGAGGACACTGAGGCTCAAAAGTATTACTTGTCCAAGGTCATATATTTAATAATAGAAATAATAGAGCTGAAGCTTAAACCTAAGACTTTACAACTCTACTTCTTGTGTTGTGATAGCTTCTGGGAACGGGGCGAGGGGTTCCTTTGCGGATAGTACAAAACTTTTCTGCACCTTAACCTGTCCAGATGCTGTCATGCTGACCACCTCCTAGCCTGAAGCTTCTTTAATCCTTAATGCCTTTCCTTTTATTGTCAGTGCTGAAGTGTTTCTCAGGCCATTCCCAAGAAATATCTTCCTCAAATGCTTTTGCCAGTTTACCTCACGGGAGCCAGATCCCCATGCCATGCCTAAGTATGTTCAACTGATACAATGTTGAGCCTTCTTGGTTCCTCATCTCACTTTCTAATTCAGGAAAAAGTGCTACTTACCCACATTGTAGAAGTAGGTCACTGGAAAAATCGTCTTTACTCTGAACTTTTTTAGGGCATTCATGTCTGGAGCAAACGTGCTGCCTAGAATAGACTAGAGGCTCCAAGTGTATTTGTTCAGTGAAATGTCTCTGGTGGGCATCTGCGTGGCTACTCTCCTTGGGCACAGAGCAGGCATCTCATTCACTGCTGTCTCTATCAGCAGTAGTGGGGTTGTCACGTGGTTGGGGACAGCAGACTGATTTTAACAGCCTTAGTCAAATGGAATCTCTCAGCAAATCCACAGCAGGGACTCAACAGAATACCCCTTCTTCCCCCCAACTCTACCAAATTAGAATATCTTGAAGTCATATGGAAATATTGGGGTGGTGATAGTGATCCGCTATGCTGGCTGACCTCGCCCCTGGTGCTCTGCAGTACTGTGGCTAATCCACAGCTGTTGCATTAGGTTGGTGCCTTATGGTTTAGTAGACATAAAACTTTTTGTCTCTGTTTACTTTTTTTTTTTTTTTTAATAAGAGATGGAGTCTTGGTCTGTCACCCAGGCTGGAGTGCAGTGGCGCAATCTCGGCTCACTGCAACCTCTGCCTCCCAGGTTCAAGCAATTCTTCTGTCTTAGCCTCCTGAGTAGCTGGGACTACAGGTGCATGCCACCATGCCTGGCTAATTTTTGTATTTTTAGTACAGACAGGGTTTTACCATGCTAGTCAAGCTGGTCTCGAATTCCTGACCTGGGGTAATCCACTCCCCTCAGCCTCTCAAAGTGCTGGGATTACAGGCATGAGCCACCACGCCCGGCCCCTCTCTGTTTACATTTAATGTGAAAATGCAATGTACCATGCATCAGAAGGCTTGTGTGATAGGCCTTGAACGAATTGATGCCTCTGCCTAAAAGGATGCCATATATTTTTCTGGCCATGTCAATTTAATGCAATATTCGGAATAAAAACTATTGAATTCCCATCATGGAAAATCCCGGTGATAGAAGGAAGTCACCTGTTTTTTTTTTTTTTTTTTTTAAAAAAAAGCACCTGGGAGGGGAAGTCTTTGACTATTTCAGTTTACCACCTATTCGTTCTTATTTAAATGTTTTATTTCTTCTTGTACCCATCTTGACATTTTATAGCTTTCTAGGAAATCTATATACTTTATGTAGGTTTTCAGTTTGATTAGTATATTGTGGTTCTTAACTCTTACTTAAAAATTTTTTGGTGTTTCATTATTTTATATTTTATCTGCATCATCTTCACTCCCTTCATTTCCTCTTTCCACTTCTCCCTCCCTTCTATTTTTTCTTTCTTTGATCAACGGTGCCAGAGATCTTATTAATCTTTTCAGCATTTGGCTTTATTTTCTCAGTTGTTTCTTTTTGTTTTCTAACTCATTGATTTTTGCCCTTATCTCATTATTTCCTTCCTTATTGTTTCTTTAGGTTTGGTCTGTTCCTTTTTATTTCATTGTCATGAGTTGAATGCTTAGCTCATTTACTTTGTAAAGAATGTGTTTGGATTGTTGATTGTTTTTCTCAGAAAGATTTCTAGAAGAGGAGTTATAGAGTAAAACCACACAACCATTTTTCAGGTGCTTAATAGATGAACCCAGGCTGTTCTCAGGAAGGCTGGGCCAATTAACGCTTCCAAAGGAGGAGATCCATTTTTCTGTACTACTCTCAGCAAGTTGAGTGCTCTTCAATCCATCTCAAGTGTATTTTAGTATATGATGTGATATTTTTTCACAAATAGATAACTAAACATAATGTCTTTTTTTTTTTTTTTTTTTTTTTTTTTGAGACAGAATCTTGCTCTGTTACCCAGGCTGGAGTACAGTGGCACGATCTCTGCTCACTGTAACCTCTGCCTCCTGGATTCAAGCAATTCTCATGCCTCTGCTTCCTGAGTAGCTGGGATTACAGGTGTGTACCACCACACCCTGCTAATTTTTGTATTTTTAGTAAAGACAGGGTTTCTCCATGTTAGTCAGGCTGGTCTCAAACTCCTTGGCCACCCAAAGTGCCGGGATTACTGGTGATTATGATAATTATGATGCAATCTTGATCATGTACTGAGTTCTTTTGTTAAAATTTATTTTTATTTTTTATTTTATAAAAAGAGAGACAAGCTCTCTCTATGTTGCTCAGACTGGTCTCAAACTCCTGGACTCAAGCGATCTTCCTGCCTCGGCCTCCCAAAGTGCTGAGATTACATACATGAACAAGGGTGCCTGGCCTCACATATTAAATTCTTATATTCTGTTTAATTGATTTCTCAATCAATTCTTACATCAATACTGTGCCGTTTTAATTATTTTTGATTTACAAAATGCCTAAGTATCTGGAGTAAGTTATTAGTTATTGGTTCTTTGTTTTCAGATCTTTCTTAGGCTGTTCTTACTGGCTTATTCTTCCAGATATATATTTGAAATTGGCTACTTTCAAAAAATCATTAGGGTTTTAATTAGAATTGTAATAAACTTATAAATTAATTTGTAAATAATTGATATTTTTATAATGTGTCTTTCTATCCAATAATATATTTTTTCTTTGCTTATTCAAAATCTTTCATCACTTCCCTTAATGAAGGTTTGTGGTTGTCTTCATAATAGATTCTGCTAAAACTTAAGATTATTTCTGAGTCTTTTCCTTTCTCCTTTTGTGATTGGGATATTTTACAAATTTTCTAGCTGATTATTTCTGATCTACACTAAAGGTATTTATTTTGGTTTATGTATTTTATATTTCAGCAATTTATTGAATTCTCTTATGTTCCATTGGCTTGATTTTCCTTGTCCTTCTATTTAGATAATACCATCCACAGATAATGATAGTAGTTTTGCTTCATTTGTTTTTGCTTTGCTAGGACATCTAGAACAATACAATAGTTGAATGTTAACCTGTTTTAATTCTGACTTTAATGGAAATCTCTGTATAGTGAAAGGTTGAACAAGCTTTACTTACTTGTTTTTAAAAACTCATGTTAAGGAATCCTAGCCCCTTTAAATTGGCAATAAGTGTTGAATTTTATTTGTTTTTAAAGTACCTATTCCTTTTTTGACCTATTGATACTATATTTTAAAGTCATCAGTTTTCCAGAGGCAAACCATACGGATTCATTCCTATTACAAACCTACCGTGACCATGGTATTTTTAAACATACTGCTTTTTTCCCTAGGGTTAAAAAATATATGGATTTCTAAGTGAGAGTGGTTGGCCTGTAATTTTGTTTTGTCTCATCCCCAAATTTCAATCTTGATATCCTGTTAGCTTTATAAAACAACTGGAGAGGATTCCATTTTAAAAAATATTATGGAACTGTTAAAGTAGTATATGAAATGTCTGCATCAGTGTCTGATGTTATTCACTTCTAAGTTTGTCTAGGCATGAAATCTCTTTGGGAGTAGATTCATTGAAAACTTTTCAGTACCTTTCAGGGTTATTGGTATGTTTTCATTCTTAAGTCAGTTTGAGCAATTCATATTTTTCTATTTCATTATTATTATTTTTGAGACAGTGTCTCATCCTGTTGCTCAGGCTGGAGTGTAGTGGCTCAGTCCTAGCTCGCTGCAAACTCAAGTGCTTGGGCTCAAGTGATCCTCCAACCTCGGCCTCCTAAGTAGCTAGGACTACAGGCACACAGTACCACACTTGCACACTTGCTTGGCTATTTTTTTTTTTTTTTGGAGACAGGGTCTTGCTATGTTGCCCAGGCTGGTCTTAAACCCCTGGCCTCAAGCCAAATCCCAAAGTCCTGGGATTATAGGCATGAGCCACTATGCCTGGCCTGTGAAAATTATTTTCTAATGAAAAGCAGCTACCCTAGAACCTTCTGATTTTGCAGAGCCCAGGCACATCTTCTTTTATGAAGCAGCTATGTTCCTGAAAAGTTGCATATTAATGACATTTTTATAAATGAAATTGTGCTTCCCGTTGATTTGCGTTTTCATGTCACAGGCTTTTTTTTTCATTTTTTTAATATTCAGTGATATATCTGTAGTTAATGTTTCTTTAAATAAACTCTAGCACCGGGGAGCCCTCATATTTAAAGAGCTTTTGCTTTTTCTGGTGCGAAGTATTTATTTGAATCACTACTCCCTGTTTCTTTGTTTTTATATAGTTGTTCTTAAAGTGGGATACAGCTAGTATAACGGAACACATTCACCTTCTACCTTTTGTTTATTTCTTTATAAACCTGTGGCCTTCATTATTACTAAGCTCGATTTATGAAGAAAGGATACAGAAGCTCATTTATAGATTAGTTCTTTCTTTTACATTCTTCATGCAACATGCTAACCTCTTACGGGTCATGGGCTTTGTTAGGAAGTAATTTTTCCCACTGACTTCTGTGATTAGAGGAACGTGGTTGCAAGATGATCAGTAACTCTGAAGAACCCAGTCCAGGGTGGGAAAACAGAGGCCACTGGTCCTGTCCTTGAACCAGGTGTCCTTGCTCTTGGAACCAGGTGAGCTGACTGAGTATGTCTGGGGCCACCAGGGGCCCTTCAGTTTACAAGGCTTTGTGAAAAGACCCAATTGAACTTCTCCTGTAGGAGCTGGGAACTGGACAGCCTGTCTTGAAGCATTAACAGTGAGTGTTGTGGAACAACCAAGGCTCCAAACATTCTGTTTGGTGATGCTTCACATTATATTTGGCTGTGGTTTCCATTGTTATCTATGGCCAGGGTCTTAGGAAACAGTTGAATCACTGTCTTCCTATTGGAATGGATCCCAAGTCTTGTAGCCTATCCCTTCCTCCTTGCACTGGCATTTTCCTCCTGGGTTAACACTGGTCCTTCAGGTAGGTGTTGGGGGTTCAGGAGCACTACCTCAAAACATGGCACCTTGGCATTTGAGAAAACAGCAGAAGCAGGAAAGTTACTCCCAACCTTTCTCCCCTGAAGCAGGTCATAAAACTCTCATGTGAGAGGTGCCTTCTCTATACACAAAAGAAGGGAACATCCTTATCTCAGAAGATGAAGGATCACACAGAAGAAATAGGTCTTGCTAAGTTCCCCTCAGTTTATTACCATTAGAACATACTCACTTTATCCAAATCTATTTCTCCATGACTGTCCAATCTTCATCAAACCTAGCATTAAAATACACAAATTTGGCTGGGTACGGTGGCTCACGCCTATAATCCCAGCACTTTGGGAGGCCGAGGCGGGTGGATAATGAGGTCAGGAGATCAAGACCATCCTGGCTAACATGGTGAAACCCCGTCTCTACTAAAAATACAAAAATTAGCCGGGTGTGGTGGCGGGCGCCTGTAGTCCCAGCTACTTGGGAGGCTGAGGCAGGAGAATGGCGTGAACCCGGGAGGTGGAGCTTGCGGTGAGCCGAGTTCGCACCACTGCACTCCAGCCTGGGCGACAGAGTGAGACTCCATCTCAAAAAATAAAATAAAATAAAATTTAGCCATTTCTTAGTCTTCATTTCCTTACTAAGGCTCCTGTATCATGTGAAACTTACATTAACTACATTTGTATGCTCTTCTCTTGTTAATGTGCCTTTTGTTATAGGGGCCTCAGTCATGAACCTAAGAAAGTTGGAGGAAAAATATTTTTTTATCCTTACATAGGAGAGTGTTGGCTTCCAGGTAATCTGCTTTCTTAAGACTTCTAATAAGCCTCCCACAATGACATGGGGCAGAGCCTAGGCTAGAGAGCATTTGTGGGCAAGCCCTAGTGTTAGACTCCACAGCTCCTCATTCCTTCTGTTTCTCAGCTGGTGCTCCATGTCAGACCCCTGAACATGCACAGAGCTTATGGCTTACTCTTGGCTTGAGAGTTTCCATTTCAGTCCAGGGTGCTTCTACTTCTCCCAGAAGCTCTAAAGTTTTCCATGCAAATTAAGCACCTGGTGGTCTGCCCCTGCAGACTCAGAATTTCTCAGGTGAGTGGCAGATGAGCAGCCCCATTTGGGAGTTTTGAAGCACATTTATGCAGTGTCTCCTTTTACATCCATTGACATATCTGATTTGCTTTTCCTTGGGTTATTTCTAAATCACTTTTTTATTCCTCAAGTGGAAATTGGAAGAGGAAAGAAGGAGCCCCTAGGCCTCCAGAGTGTCATGAAAAGCCACCCCCTTTCTGTAGGATAATCTGCAGAAGAATATTTGAGAGTTGCTTACCGCTAAATTCTCCTATCATTAGAAGCCCGTCTTTTCTGTGCCCCCTTCCCATTCTCAATGACTACCACAGTCTATTGTACTCATGGCTTCCTGGAGAAATAATCAGTAGGAGCTGATTGGAGTTTTGCCAATGTATAGAAACAGCGGGGCACGTGCCCCATGACTGGGTGTGCTGCTCCCTGGCAGTGGCTTGTGTCAGACTAGGGTGTGTGTGTGTATGTGTTTTCTTCTGATTATTGCCCTCTTACTACACACACCCCAGAATTAATTTCCCATCAAAATGCTGAGAGTGAAAAGGGGTAGGTTAGTTAGAGGTTTTAAGTAAATGGTTTACCACCACAGCTCATTGGCAGCGATTAAAATGCAAATCCTCTCACTCAGTAGGTAGGATGGAGCTTTGATGTATCCTTTTGTGGAAGGGAAGAATCAACAGCTGACATGGTAATCAGGACTCATCAGCAGAAATTGCTTCATTTCTATGCTCTCAGGCAGTTTTGTGGAGCACTGAATTTGGGGAAATAGAACCAGGGCACTGGAAGAAAGAGCAGGTTCTGCCAGACAGTCCTGTGTGATGGGGAGAGAATTCCCAGGCACAGAAGGCTTCTTTTCTGTTTGTAGCAGCCTCTTGCTTGACTGTATTTGACTTAGGATAAAAACTCCAGTTCTGCTCAAAGAATGAAGGTCTGAGGTCCCTCCCTAAGAATAAAACTGCCTGTGCCAAAATTATAAATATAACTGCCTTTGTAGGACTAACAAATTAGTCATAAAATTAGAAATTATGGCTTAGGAGTTATGTAGCTAGAGGCCACAAGATTCTAAACCATCCCAATTGCTCCTAGGGAGAACATCACTATTGTAAAACCTAAGCTTGGTGCTTGAGATATTTTGCAGACTTTGTACTGGAGAGATCAGCTGGTGCCACCCAGATCGATGAACTGGCTCATTTGATCTTGCGGCTCCCACTCAGGAACCAACTCAGCACAGCAGGACAGCTTTGACTCCCTATGATTTCATCTCCGACCTGACCAATCAGCCCTGGCCCTCTACCTGCCAAATTATCCTTAAAAAACCCCAGTCTCACAAGGTCAGGAGTTCGAGACCAGCCTGACCAACATGGGGTTTTAGTAGAAACCCCGTCTCTACTAAAAATACAAAAATTAGCTGGGCATAGTGGTGCACACCTGTAATCCCAGCCACTTGAGAGTCTGAGGCAGAAGAATCACTTGCACCCAGGAGGTGGAGGTTGTAGTGAGCCAAGATCGCACCACTGTACTCCAACCTAGGCGACAGAGCGAGACTTCTGGGAAAAAACAAAAAAAAAACCCAGTCTCCGAATTTTTGGGAGACTGATTTCGGTAATAATAAAACTCCCATCTGACATTTAGGCAGCTCTGTGTGAATTAAATTTCTCTATTGCAATTCCTCTGTCTTGGTAAATCTGCTGTATCTAGGCAGTGGGCCGAATGAACCCAAAGGGCGGTTACCAGAAGATATAATCAGAAATTCTGAGGGTTACTGCAGCTTGTGGAAAGATGTCCTGCCACAGGTTCTCCTGTATCAACTACATTCTGCAGCTGGGATTTTCAGCTAACTTAAGACAATTTGAAAACAGTGAGTTCCAAACAGGTCATGAATGGATTTAAGTTACAATTTAAAATTTATGTCAGGGAGCATTTGTGTCAAGAAATGAGACAAAGGTGATTTATATGAATTCTCCAAAACATGAGGAAAGGTTGTTTTTGTGTTTTTTTTTTTTTGTTTTGTTTTGATATGAAGTTTCGCTCTTTTTGCCCAGGCTGGAGTGCAATGGTATGATCTAGGCTCACCACAACTTCTGCCTCCTGGGTTCAAGCAATTCTCTTGCCTCAGCCTCCCGAGTAGCTGGGATTACAGGCGCCTGCCATCACGCCCAGCTAATTTTGTATTTTTAGTAGAGATGGAGTTTTTCCATGTTGGCCAGGCTGGTCTTGAACTCCTGACCTCAGGTGATCTGCCCACCTTGGCCTCCCAAAGTGCTGGGATTACAGGCGTGAGCTACCGCGCCTGGCCGAGGACAGATTTTTGGTCTAGAGCTATGCTGTCCAATATTGTACTCGTGGGCCACATCTGGATAGGGAGCATTTGAAATGTGGCCAGGCCAAATTGAGGTGTGCTATAAAGATGACATGTAAATAGGATTATAAAGAATTAGAAAAAGGGAATGTAAAATAACTCATATAACTGTTTAATATTGATTTTATATTGAAATACAATTTTGGATATATTGGAATAAATAATTAACTTCACTTTTTTTTTTTTTTTTTTTAACTTTGTGGCTATTAGAAACTTTAAAATTTTAAGTGTGGTTCGTGTTCTATTTCTGTTGGACAGCACTAGGCAAGATTTCATTATAATTCTCTTGTCTGCTATGGGGTTCCTTTCTCCCACTAGAGGGAGATATGTTCCAGCCTCAGGAAATCTGAGGCTAGCGTGTAAATGCCACTGCTTTTGAATGAACTCTTAAAGAAGCACCAAAAAAAAGAGCTTAAGTTTTTGCTTTGTTTTAATCCCGTGTAACTCTGATGTTTCTAAAGGTTGCAGTTTCTGTGAAAGTGAAGCCAAAACAGAAGCGGGAAGAGGCAGAAAGTTTTTCTACCCTCTTTGCCTTAATGAATTCAGAGGTTTCTGTTACTTCTTTGTTGGATCACAGTAACTTGTCATTTGTTTGCCAATTGTTCCTTTGGACTTGAGTCTGTGTGTCTGTGTGCAGTGCAACACGCAAATAGGTGCGTGCACGCACACACAATGGTCTTGCGTGCAGCTGTCACAGAGAGGACCAGTGCCCTACTGCAATCACACACCTCCATGGCACACCCAGATCACTTGGATTGCACTGTGGCTGGGGCTCCTGGAGGTGTGCGGTGTGTACCCTGGGCCGGTTTGCAAGCCCCTCTCTTTTCTGTTGTTACTAAATGTTGCCTGTGGTCTGACGCTTGGCTTGCTGTTTGCATCTGGTGTGTGTGAATCTGCCCCTTGATCCTACTCTGAAACCAGCATTATTTCATGATTATATTTTAGTGACAGCACTCTCTCCTGGGTTTCCTTCTGGATAGCTCCTTTTTGGTTTCTTGAGGTTTTTATACTTTTGTTGATCTGATATGCATTAATATTTCCCCATTCTTGTCTATGTACTCTTTGTCCTTTTTTGGGGGGGAATCTCAGCCATTCTGGTGGTTTTGTCCCACCCTTATACTGAGAACTTGTAAGTCTTTATCTCCAGCTTAGAGCATTCCTTTGAGCTCCACCCGCATCCATGCAGTTGCCTACAGGACATCGCACAGACCTCAGCATCGGCTCCCACAGCATTCCTTCCTGCATCATGGCACTGATCAGCACTATCATAGTTTCTTATTCTGTGTTTGTCTATCTTCCCCAGCATACAGTAAGCCCCAGGAAGACAAAAGCCACGCCAGTCTGGTTCCATTTCATTGCTAGTATCTTGTACTGTGTCTGGTTACTGTACCTCCTCAAGAAGTGTTGGCAGATTTTATTTTATCTTTTGTTTCAAATCAACTGTATTGTTTACTTACAAACATGCTCATTACCATTATATGACTATTTTATTATATTTTGTTAGCATTATATCATAGCGGATCCAATCACCATAGTTTTGTGGCATAGTCTGTGTCAAAATTTCTTTTTTTTTTTTTTCTTTTCTTTTTTGAGATGGAGTCTTGCTCTTGTTGCCCAAGCTGGAGTGCAATGGCATAATCTTGGCTCAATGCAACCTCTGCCTCCCAGTTGAAGCAATTCTCCTGCCTCATTCTCCTGACCATGCCACCACACCTGGCTAATTTTTGTATTTTTAGTAGAGATGGGGTTTCACCACATTGGTCAGGCTGGTCTCAAACTCCTGAACTTGTAATCCGCCCGTCTTGGCCTCCCAAAGTTTTGGGATTACAGGCGTGAGCCACCATGCCCGGCCCAAAATTTCTAACAGCGTGTGCACATGGGCCATTTGCAGTAACCCTTCCCATGTTTTCCTGTGTTGGAAACTCTTCTCCTTTGCTGTCTCCTTTTGTGACCCTTATTACAAGCCAAGTTTCCATCAGTGGCTCTACATATTTCCAGGAACTTAGGTCACAGAACACTGGAAAGCAAGGTCAAGGAGTGTGGTATGTTTCCGTGCCTGCACCTTAGTCCACTGGCTGCTTTTCCAGGACATAGTCCAATTCTTTCAGTGCTTCAGCTCTTCAGCCAGCCCAGTTTTGTTTAGATTTGTGACTAACGAAGACTTTTTTTTTTTGGTCAGAACACGAAGAGGAGCTGGACCAGGAATTTGAGCTGGAGACTGACACTTTATTTGGAGGATTAAAGAAGGTACAAAGTGGATGCATAATAAATCTCAGTTTTCAAACCTGATTTCAATATTTCACATCACATTTGTATTTGGAGTCGATCCAGGTATCAGATTCAGCAGCAATCTGGAATGAAGCACCCTTTTTGCCGTAAAGGTGTGAGTGTGCTGTGTTGGGGAAGGCGTTCCCAGGGTCTCTATGTTCTTGTCCCCTGTACTCTTCTGAAGATACCAGAAATGTGACTAACCTTATCAGTTAGGACAGTTTTCACTTTTGTAAAGCTCAGAAACTTCCTACTTGACCTAGCCAGATCCATCAGAATCACATGCGGCCCCTGGACGCTCCTATACCAACTGCCGGCAGCTGCAGGAACATCTTCCTTCTGGCCTCTGAGTGTCCCTGGCTGTCCATGCTGCTGCAGAGCATGCTGGGAATTCACATCCCTCGTCCCTCTGGTAGGGCGGTGCCAGGTGGCTGGCTCGCTTGTCTTCAGCAGCAGCTCATTTTGTCTACTTTGGTAGCAGGCAGAGTGGCCACTGTTCTTTCACATACCCATGTCTTTCTAGATGTGACCAGTAGCACTTCTGTGCTAGAGTATATATTCTGGGTAGGTACCAGACCCTTCTCTTCCAGTTGAGAGATGCCTGACTACTTTTTTCTCCCACCAGAACCCCTGTCCCTTTTAGGCTGGGGTTCTTCTCATTCTTCTCCATTCAGTTTCTCAGGACCCCATTTCAGCTATGACTTGGACTGTAGGGGGTCCAGGGCCCAGGTCATGGTGGGGGCTTCGGGTCAAGGCTAATTATTGGCTGTATATTTGTTTTCTAAGTATTTTTATATGTTTTTAAAATGTTATCAGAGCAGTTTGTTTTGTTTTGTTTTCTATTTTTACTTTATGTAATATACCAAATAGATTACAGATTCAATCAGCCTTTTGTGGGCTGGCTTGGGACATAAAAGACACCTTGCATTCCAGGTTCTGAACACTCTGCTTGCAAATGAACTTTTGCAAGACAGTTCATTTCCAAGTTGGGTACTGCCTGTACTAATATTTTTCTATTGAAAGTTGCAGATCTTGCTTGAATTGTAACAAATGTAGCTCAATTTCCATTTTGATTTGCTAGGGTAGCCTGTTCCTTTCTCCCAGCTCTGTACAGAGCCATATGTAAGATACAAGGCCCATGTTTTTCTGTAACTGAGAAGAGCATCCTGCCCTGCATGGGGTGCCATTCTTGGCTTTTGTCGCTCTACCCACCAGATGCTTCCATGAAAACTTAGATGTAAATTGAATTTTCATCCATGGCATCCATTTCTAGATGTTTCTTATTTAAATAAGCCCTTTTTAGGATTGTTAATAAGAATGTAATGTGGGTAGTATTGTGCCCACTTCAGAGATGAGGAAATCTGGGAAGCTTTGTCACAAAGTGGAATTTGAGATGAAATAGGAGGTAGCCTTTCTGAGTGTCTCAGATCTACTCTTTACGAATGTAACACTAGCGGATGTCTTACAGCAGAAAAAAAGATGATTTTTTTTTCCTTTTAGAGTTAAAATTCAAGCATTTTAGATAATATTGGAAATATAGAATTATTTGCCAAGGCAAAAATAAGCAGACACATTTGAAAGACTTTTAGCTGCAGAGGAACAATGGTGAGGCAGCGTGAGAAAGTGAACACAGGGTCAGGCCCCAACAAGTTTTGGAGCTGCCACAGATTTCATGATCAAGGGCAGGCTCAGCCCAGCCATGCGTTGCTACTTCCAGACAAAGCGGCCTTGTCTTCACTGACTTCCCAGCTCTTGTCACTTCACTGGGTCAAGCCCAGCTGCTTGACTCCCTGCAGAGGCTCCAGAGTCCTGCAGAGATGACCCCTTCTCAGTGCTCTCCACAACAGCTCTCATAACAGGTCTGGGGTCGGGAGTGTTGTTGCTCAGGCCAATTCTGCCTTCACAGAAAAGTCCACGTGGCACAGACACACACACTCTGGGAGCTCCAAGGATTCCGTCTTTTGCCATCCTGACAAATCTGTCCATCCCTCTGTCTGACTATCCATTCATCTACCAGTGCTCTGAGCACCTCTCATCTTCTCATCTCTCTACTTCTCATCACCTTGCATGTGGGGTGGGTGGTTTGGAGCCCTAGAATTTACGGAGGAAATGGGTCCTGGTGAATATCCGGCAGAGGAAGGACATTGATATGGGTCCTTAGGATCAAGATACTCCTTGCTGAATATTTCTTTTCTCAGAGGCTGTAGGAAGTGGCAAGCACATGCTATTTTGGTCCAAATTCTAATCAAAAGAAGATATTAGATGTGACTAGAAATCATGACCTTTAGAAGAAAGCTTAGTTTTCTGACCAGCCCATCCCTTGAATGTTAGTCTGCAGCTGGGTTGGTAAACCTCAGTACTGCTGACAGTTTTTTTTTTTTTTTTTTTTTTTTTGAGACGGAGTCTCCCTCTGTTGCCCAGGCTGGAGTGCAGTGGTGTGATCTTGGCTCACTGCAACCTCTGCCTCCTGGGTTCCAGTGATTCTCCCACATCAGCTTCCTGAGTAGCTAGGATTACAGGCACCTGCAACCACATCCAGCTAATTTTTTTTATTTTTAGTAGAGATGGGGTTTCGCCATATTAGCCATGCTGGTCTCAAACTCCCAACCTCAGGTGATCCACCTGCATTGGCCTCCCAAAATACTGGGATTACAGGTGTGGGCCACCATGCCTGGCTGACATTTTATTTTGTTGAGATAGGGTCTCGCTCTGTAACCCAGGCTGGAGTGCAGTGGCACAATCTTGGCTCACTGCAACCTCCATCTCTCAGGTTCAAACAATTCTCTTGCCTCAGTCTCTTGAGTAGCTGGGATTATAGGCACACACCACCACGCCTGGCCAATTTTTGTATTTTTAATAGAGATGGGGTTTCACCACGTTGGCTAGGCTGGTCTCAAACTCCTGACCTCAAGTGATCCACCTGCCTCAGCCTCTCAAAGTGCTGGCATTAGAATCATGAGCCACCATGCCTGGCCACATTTTATTAAAAAAAATTTTTTTTTTTGAAGAGATGTGATCCTGCTCTGTCACCCAGGCTGGAGTACAGTGGTTGTAATCATAGCTCACTGGAGACTTGAACTCCTAGGCTCAAACGATCCTTCTGCCTCAGCCTCTTGAGTAGCTGGGACTACAGACATGCACCACCATACCTGGCTGATTTTTAATATTTTGTAGAGATGGGGTCTCACTATATTACCCAGGCTGGTCTTGAACTCCTAGCCTCAGCCTTCCAAAGCACTGGGGTTACAGGTGTGAGCTATGCTGCCTGGCCACTACTGACATTCTAGATTAGATGGCTGTTGTGGTGAGCTGCTCTGGACGTTGTACAATGCTTATCAGAGTCCCTGGACTCTACCTAGTAGATGCTAGCAGCATTTCCTGCCCTAAGCCTTAACAATTTTAAAAAGTGGGCTGGGTGTGGTGGCTCACTCCTGTAATCCCAGCACTTGGGAAGGCTAAGACCAGCGATCATTGAGGTCAGGAGTAGCCTGGCCAACATGATGAAACTCCATGTCTACTAAAAATACAAAAATTACAGCCAGGTGTGTGCCTGTAATCCCAGCTACTCCAGGGACTGAGACACAAGAATTGCTTGAACCCGGGAGGTGGAGGTTGTAGTGAGCAGAGATCGTGCCACTGCACTCTGCACTCCAGCCTGGGTGTCAGAGTGAGACCTTGTCTCTAAAAATAAAATCAAAAACAAGAAACAATTTAAAAAGTCTCCATGCATTGCCAAATGCCCCCAGGAGGCAAAAATCATCCCCTTTTAAGAGCAGCTGGTCTATAGCAATATTTAAGGGCTCTTAAATGACCACTCCCTTGGTCATGCCGATTTGCCATTCTTACCTTTACTCATCCTGTTCCTCTTCTGGATTGGGGCTCACGCCTTCCCTGTCCGGCCCTTACTCAGACTTCAGATCATAGCTGGCTCCCTGTCACGAAGCATTGCCTGAAGCTCAAGCTGAGCTTGGTGCTCATAGTTCCTGACACTTCCCTGCCTCTCTCTTTACTTCCTTCCACAAATACAGCTTTCAATGAGAGTGTCTCTGTGCTCAAGTCCATATGGAGCGCTGGGGACAGTGGTGAGCCAGACAGACAACATTCCTATGCTAGTTTCTCCTACTAGGGACAGGCTGACCGCAAACAAATGAACAATGGCCACAGATTGAGCTAAATGACATGAAGGCAGTAAACAGGGTGATAGGATAGCACTCTTTTGGGTGAAATCGTGTACCCTATTATGACAAATTTATTTGTAGAATTTTATTTGATGTTGTCCTTTCTGACTTAGATTGTGGGTCCCACAAAAGCAGGGCTGGGATTTAATCATTTCTGTATCTTCAATGCCTGGAGCAGAGTCAGTGAGTATTTTATTGAATTTAACTGCAGGAAAGAGTGAAGGGCCAGGTTGCAGCATGGAGGTGAGAAATACATTGGTCCTACGTGCCTCTAGATAGCCATGTAGGTAAGTGGGCTAAGTGGGACAGTGTGTAGAGTCAGAGTAGGGAGACACCATTCTGGGCACAAAAAATCACAAACTGCTTCTGGGAGAAGGGGGCTGACCTTCACCTGAGCTCCAGAGAATGAGTAGGATTTGGCAAGATCATCAGTAGAGGAGATGCTGTTCCAGTGGTGTTGCTATGGTTAGAAAAGGGAAGAATGTATTAGGGAAATGGTGAGTCAAAGTGAAGCTTCACTTAGGGCAGTGAAAGGGAGCTGGACCTGACTGTAGTCCTCCAGTTTTTGATGATGTTCAGGTTTGGAGGATTACAGCCCCAATCAAGAATGCTTTTGATCTTTGTCATTTCTTTGAGGGTAATGCTGATTGCACTTGCCAAGACAACAGAAGTGGTGTGGGTGCTTGCGTAGGTGCGGCTGTCAAGGGCTGTTCAGACTCCATATGCTTTGGTTTTTGCATCCTTTTTTTGTAATGTTTGCTCTTCCAGGCTGTCAGGGTAAAAGCCCCTCCCCCACCCCCCACCCCCTGCAGGCTCCAGTGTGCTGTGCTAGAATGGGGTGAACCCAGCCTTGCTGGGTTCTGGGGTGATCTGTCGTTGTATTTGCCAGTCCCTTTTTCTTTCTTCTTGCTGGTCTTCTCTCTAGTGATGCCAGGGAGATAGGGGAAATATTTCAGTGCCCACATTGCGTGCTCGATGAAGTAAACATGTTTCTAGACAGTAGCATCTGAACCAAACTGATACAAATGAAGTTCTATGTCAGGTATATTGTCATTCATTTTTTTCCTTTTATTTAGGATTCAAGATCATAGATTCTTGGCATAATGGAAAGAGCACAGGTTTGGAGTTGGATGGGCTTAAGTTCAAATTTGGCTTTGCTACATCTGAGAAAATAATTTGCCTCCTTTTTAAAAAAATGTATGTATTTTTTTGAGACAGGCTGAAGTACAGTGGCATGATCTTGGCTCACCATAACCTCTGCCTCCCAGGTTCAAGTGATTCTCTTGCCTCAGCCTCCTGAGTAGCTGGGGTTGCAGGCGTGTGCCACCACACTCAGCTAGATTTTGTATTTTTAGTAGAGATGCGTTTCGCCATGTCGGCCAGGCTGGTCTTGAACTCCTGGCCTCAAGTGATCCACCTATCTCAGCCTTCCAAAGTGCTGGGATTACAGGCATGAGCCACTGTGCCTGGCCTCATTTACCTCCTTTTAGCCTCAGTTTTATTACCTGCAACATGGGAATACAAGGTTATGGAGAAAGAGGTGATGGACAGAAAACACCCAGCATGCTTGTACTTAGTACAGAATAGATACACAATACCTGTTACTGTGGTTATTGTTACTTTTTTCTTCCATGGATGAATAATTCCTTCCTTTAGCATTAAGAATTACTGATTCTTGGTCGGGCACAGTGGCTCACGCCTGTAATCCCAGCACTTTGGGAGGCCGAGGTGGGCGGATCACCTGAGGTCAGGAGTCCACGACCAGTCTGGCCAACATGGTGAAACTCCGTCTCTACTAAAAATACAAAAATTAGCTGGATGTGGTGGCGGGTGCCTATAATCCCAACTACTTGGGAGGCTGAGGCAGGAGAATCGCTTGAACCCGGGAGGCGGAGGTTGCAGTGAGCCAAGCCTGCGCCATTGCACTCCAGCCTGGGCAACAAGAGTGAAACTCTGTCTCAAAAAAAAGAAAGAAAAAAAAAAAGAATTGCTGATTCTCCCTCTGTAGCAAGGAGGTAACGTTCTACAGAGAGACATTTACATGTAGAGGGGGACTGCTGTTGAAAGGAGCTCTCAAAATCCTAATGCATTATGAAGAGTGTTACAAGTAATCAATTCTGTTCTTTCCTGAGGACACATTTTCCCATGACAGGTTTCTGAAATTGGGGCAGACCTCTAAATAAGCTGTTCTTTCAGAAGTAAAATCAGAGAGGACTTTCCATTGCCTGTGAGGAGGCTTAGGAAGAAGAGACAGAGGCAGACGGGAGCTTGAATACGAATGACTATGAACATAGATAAAGAGGTACTTCTATAAAGACACAGTTCTTAGCTACTCATGCTTTGCCCATGAAGATTTTTAAGATTTGGCTTATTTATAAATGCCTCTGCATTTTAATACTTCAGGAAAACAACATTCCATTTTGACTCATTTAACACATGAGTTAAATGCACACCTGCTGTGTAAGCAGCTTCCAGGCCACGTGCCAGGGATGCTGTGACATTCCAGGCTCAGTCTCTGTCCTAAGTGGGCTCTGAAGTTTGGGGGAAGGTGATGATGTGACAGTGAGCTGGTGGTGCAACAGCCACTGGGGCTTGTAGAGACAGAGGGTGCAGAGAACCCCAGCGGCAGGGACTGAAGGGAGGTGATGGCTGGGAGACGGGAAAGGTAGGTGAAGGGTATAGCATGCCTGACGACCTGGATTTGAGTGAAATAAATTTGGCTTGGCTAGAAGGTTGAGTTGTGAGGAGGGCAAATGACTCAAGACAGGGAGGGGATAGATCGTAAAGGCCATGAAGTGCCATATGCGGAGTCTGGACTTTATCCAGAAGGCAGTGGTCAGTCATTGAAGGGTTTCAGGTGCCATTTGTTCTGTGGACTCTTTCTGGAGCCCTCTGACTGATTTTCCTGCCTTGCCCTGTCTCTCTCTTCTTTCTCTTCTCTCTCTGCATACACATATACACACACACACTCTTGATCTGTTAGTTTTGCAGAGCTAAACCCTTGATTCTACCTTCACCTTATTTTCTCCTAGCTTCTTCAATGACTTTTTTTTTTTTTTTTTTTTTTTTTTCCTGAATGCAGAGTCTCACTGTGTCACCCAGGCTGGAGTGCAGTGCATGATCTTGGCTCACTGCAACCTCTGCCTCCTGGGTTCAAGCGATTCTCCTGCCTCAGCCTCCCAAGTACCTGGGATTACAGGTGCCCATCACCATGCCTGGCTAATTTTTGTATTTTTAGTAGAGATGGAGTTTCACTATGTTGGCCAGGCTGGTCTTGAACTCCTGACCTCATGATCCACCCATCTTGGCCTCTCAAATTGCTGGGATTACAGGTGTGAGCCACTGCATCTGGCCTTTAAGGACCTTTTTAATGAAACAAATAATATTTCCCATGAACTACTAGATAGAAGAGAGAGAGAACAGAGCAGGGTACCTGGTGGCTAAAAATTAATAAGCAAATTTGATGTTTATCCATTCACATTGCAGATGCTATTTTTTTTTTTTTTTTTTTTTGGAGACGGAGTCTCACTCTGTCACCCAGGCTGGAGTGCAGTGACATGATCTTGGCTCACTGCAACCTCCGCCTCCCGGGTTCAAGCGATTCTCTTGCCTCAGCCTCCCGAGTAGCTGGGACTACAGGCATGTGCCACCATGCCCAGCTAAGTTTTTGTATTTGTAGTAGAGACGGGGTTTCACCGCATTAGTTAGGATGGTCTTGATCTCCTGACCTCGTGATCCACCAGCCTTGGCCTCCCAAAGTGCTGGGATTACAGGCATGAACCACCACACCTGGCTGCAGATCCTATTTTTACGTTAGGCAGAGAGCTACAATTCCTATTCCTGTTCTCACCAGGAAATCACTAACATCTTACATTTTTCCTACCTGTCCGCAAATTTACATGTCAGGAAGAAAATCTAGCATGGATGAGACTAGACAAAAGGTCATGTACTGATGGGTAAAGAGCCGGCATTCTTTGTGTTCACAAGAAGGAAGCAAACCTGACCTTCCATCACCAATCATGGGTTTCTTTTTTTTCTTATTTATTTTTTTGAGACAGAGTCTCACTCTATTGCCTGTGTTAGAGTGCAGTGGCACAACCATGGTTCACTGTAACCTCTGCCTCCCAAGTTCAAGCGATTCTCGTGCCTCAGCCTCCCAAGCAGGGCCTACAGGCATGTGCCATCATACTTGGCTAACTTTTTGTATTTTTAGTAGAGACAGGTTTTCAACATGCTGGCTAGGCTGGCCTCAAACTCCTGTCCTCAAGTGATCCACCTGCCTTGGCCTCCCAAAGTGCTGGGATTACAGGTGTGAGCCACCCTGCCTGGCCTAATCCATGGGTTTCTTGCCCCTGACATTTTGGAGACTCTTCAACCCACATTCTTTGGAGGGGCTGGCATGGAACACAGGAATCTGTCTCTGCTAAGCAAGCCTCTCTGGGAAGGGGAAAAACTGTATAAAATCCAGTTTTCTGGTAAGACAGGCTGAACATTCACGCACACAGCCAAATCACTTATTAATCTGCTCCCATCAGATGGAGGGAAGCAGAGAGATGACAGACATGCTGGAATAATCTTTGAGGGGCTGCGGCTTAATGAAAATGAGTTAAGGCCTAACCTCTGTAAACTCACCAGAGTTTACACACATGAAACAAAGCAAACGTTGCCAAGAGATCAATGTTCCTTTATAAGAAGTCCCCAACCCCAGTGGGCATATTCACCTCAATTCAGCAAACATTATCAAGAGTCTACTAATGTTTGAGGGAGTTCGATGCAAAGATGAAGACATTCCCACTGTTGAGAATGGTGAGAAATTTCTCAGTCACAAACCAGTCAGCTTACAAGTCAGTGCTTACTGCCTGCTTTCTGATCTGGGTTGTGATAATGCTGTGGGTTAAGGAATTAAGAGGCATTATTTCTCTACTCAACAAGTTTATACTCTATTTGAGAATTCCAGGAGGACACCCCTAGCTTTAATATGGCTGATGTGTGAAGTATTTAACAAGGGCCAGAGCTGTACACAGCCAGGACAATTGGCCCTGCTCGTGGGTCCTGCCTGAAAGCTGGCCCTGGCATGCCATTTAACAAAGTGTTTTCCATATGTATGATTGTCCCTAGTCGGTGTAGCCAAAAATTGCTGGGAGAGTTTCTAGCCTTGGAATGATCAGAGAAGACTCTCTGGAATAGGTGGATTGGAGCTGAGTCTTGAATAGAAGTACTATGTTTTGAACTGACCCAAGCCTATTTTGTTGTTTAACAAAAATAAAGTTCTTTGGTTTTACTCTTGGTAACTTCTGTCACTTGGAGATGGACAGGAGTTAAATGTCTTCTCTCCCACAACCTTGCCACCAAGTGGTATGTTAAACAGTGAAGGTGTCTAACTGAATTCTCCTACAAGTACAAACATTCATTAGGTAGGGAAGTACAAAACCATCATTGAACTTGTTCCTGAAAGCTTGTGAAGCCTCTATTGTCTGTCTTTAGGTACTCCAACAAGCATCTTGCACGGAAGTTCCTTCTGAGGCTGGTGCAATTCTATTCTGCTGGCTGAAGCAGTTACCCTTCTAGTCTGATTAGAGGATAGAGCCTTATTAAAGCAAAGGACACAGACCAAGAGAGTGTTAGACTTTCAGTGCTTTGGGTGCTGGGCTCAAGGGAGGTGTTTTTTTTTTTTTTTGTGATCCTTCTGGCTCAGCCTCCCAAAGTGTTGGGATTACAGGCGTGAGCCACTGTACCTGGCCTCAAGGGATTCTTACATACATGCTTCATTATTACAAGGGTATCAGAGCCTGAGAAAAATTTTAATCCATCACATATTGAGCACCATGCTTTTCATTACTAAAATATTTATTTCTAACATTCCTTATGCTAGTAAACTTTCAGGTGCAGCTTTAGGTACCATGTTGGAATTATTTGAATTGTAGTCATGTCTGGGAGTAGATTTCTGATTAGAATCCTTCAAATGCTAACTCACTCTTTGTGGACTCCTCATTTGGATACTTTCAATGTTAAGAACTGTCCTTAGAGGTGGATTAAAGTTAATTTACACACAAACATGGAAGTGCTGTAACATGATTCAGACTTATATAAGTGCCATAACAAGACTCAGAGAGAAAGGGGGACGGGATTATTCCAGCCTAGGGCAGGTTGAATAGTGGCGGGATCTGAAATTTGGGGGGAGGTATGGGGAAGTGGGAAGGAGGGAAAACATTTCCTTCTCTCAGTACATTTCCTAAAAGTGGTGCCTGTCAGCATTCTTAAAAAGGTTATTACCTTTTAAAATCATGACATGACAGTTGATAAGCCTTTGTTAAAAAGAAATTAAGCAGCAGCAGCAAGGTAAGAGCGAGATCACAGGGGCACGTGGGAGAAGATGTAAAGTGGGGTGTCTTTGTGTGGGGAACTGACTGATGCTACTTTCAGGGATGACAATAGCTGCCGAAAAGTTCGAGATGGATGAAGGTTTGTTATTCCATCATGATTTTGCTCCCAGGTTTAATGAAAGCAAAGCTCAGGTCAAATTCTATCTGGCATGTGTACGTTTATTAAACACTTACTAGGCAAGCAGTGGAAACCAGTTTACACCAAGCTGATCAGTGGAATTGATGGAGTCCTTTAAGGAGCTTGCATCACCACCTTGCATTGAATTTGTTACTAGGTAGATAGATAATAGAATGTTATCTAGAGAAGGATGGATTTGGGGCTTTTTTGCAGACAGGCAACCAGAAATTCTCCCAACTATGTGGCTGAGTTTAGGATCTTAAAGGCCATCACTTAAGGGGGAGTCTCCAAATTGTCTAAGCCAGTCTGTGTCTCCAATGTTAATGTTGCTAATTAGCAAGTCAGATGTCACCAGGGAAAGTTACACAGACTTTTATCATGCAAGTATTCAGACCTTTGACATGGAAAACAAGAGTTAACTGTCTTTGCAAGTTCTGTTACACAATGTTTAAACAAACAGTGACAATGAATCACTTAAGCCTAAAGTTGCACCATAATGTTTTCCTCTTTAAGTCTTTTTTTATAAAACATGATCTGCCTCCCCAGGGCAAGGCTTACAAAAAATTAGCTTATAACTGATTTGTTTCTCTCCACGGAAATCTTTAGTAAAAGGCGAAAGATTTATTCGATCTGAAGAGAAACCAGTGTAATGCTACAAATTAGTTCAACTCATTGTTGCAGTAACCGCAACTCCTAGTACGCCGATGGTGCCTACAGTTCGCACAAAAAGAATTACTGCCTACAGTTTGCACAAAAAGAATTCTTTAATCTTCCCATAGTTAGAAATGTTGAGTCAAAAGAAATATTCTTTTAAGCTTTAAATAATTTACTATGTGCAGGGTACTATGGGTATGCAAATGAGATGTTGAGTCATCACCTTGAGATTCCACACCTTGTTATTCACCGGGTGCCTTTGGTGCTACCACTAGGGGGCGAAGTAGAGGCCATGCTAGCTGAGTTCTAAATCCCATCCTGGGTTAACCATGGAAACTCGTTTTAGCCCTTTTTGTATAATGGGACTTGGAGTACGATTTGTTATCTTTAGCATCATCTTATTTTGAAACAATTACACATTTACAGGAAGTTGCAGCAGTAGTACAGAGAGGCCTTGTGTACCTCTACCGAGCTTCCCCAGTGGGGAATCTTTTTTTTTTTTTTTTTAATCCCTTACTTTTAATTTTAGATTCCAGGGGTACATGTGCAAGTTTATTACCTGGGTATATTGTGTGACGCTGAGGTTGAGGGTATGAATGATCTTGTCACCCAGGTACTGAGCACAGTACCCAGTAGTTAGTTTTTCAGGCCTTACCAGTCCTCCCTGCCACCCCCCAGCAGTTCCTGGTGTCTGTTGTTGCTAACAGGAGAACCTGATGGTTAGCTCCCCAGTGGGGAATCTTCCATAGTGAACTCAAACCCAGGAACTTGACATTAGTACAACCCACAGACTTTAATCAGATTTCACCTGTTTTGCAAGCACTTACTTGTGTATATGTATATAGTTATATGTGGTTTTATCACATGTGTAGATTCATGTAAACACCAACATGACAAAGATACAGAACCTTGAAGAGCTACTCTGTGCTGCCTCTTTGATGGCCATACTCACCCTCCTCCTCTTCATCTCTAATCCCTGAAAAACCACAATGCTTTTAAATATATATGTATGTGTGTATGTGTATATACACACACACATTTAGGATTCTTATATCTTATTGGTGAGAAGATATTTTTATCATTCTGCAATGACCCTTTTTGACCCTGGTGATTTTCTTTCTCTGAAGTCTACTTTATCTGCCATTGGTAGAGCCACTCCCACTTTCTTTTGATTCATGTATGTATGCCATATCCTTTTTCATCTTTTAACTTTCCACCTCCCCATTTCATTATATTTAAAGTGAATTCCTGTGGACAGTCCAGAGTTGGGTCTTTTTTCTAGCAATCCATTCTGCCAAGCTCTGTCTTTTAATTGCTGTATTTAATTTGATTGGGGTTTATTCAGCTTCTTGAATTTGTAGGTTTATGCTTTTTGCCAAATTTGGAGATCTTTTTTTTTTGCCATTATTTCTTTGAACGTATTTTTAACCTCATATTTTTTCTTCTTTCCTTCTGGAAAATTTAATGACACCAATGTCAGATCTTTTGTTCTTATATCAAGGGTCTCTGAGGCTGTATTTTTTCAGTCAGTTTTCTCTCTCTTGTTCAGATTGGGTGATTTTTATTGACCTATCCTTAGGTTCAATAATTAAAAAAAAAAAAAAATCTCACTCTGTCATCCAGGCTGGAGTGCAGTGGCACAATCTTGGCTCACTGCAATCTCTGCCTCCCGGGTTCAAATGATTCTTCTAACCCTCCCAAGAAGCTGGGATTACAGGCATGTGCCACCATGCACAGCTAATTTTTTTTTTTTTTTTTTTTTTGTATTTTTACTAGATAGGGGGTTTTGCCATATCGGCCAGGCTGGTCTGGAACTCCTGGCCTCAAGTGATCCACCTGCCTCGGCCTCCCAAAGTTCTGGGATTACAGGCATGAGCCACCACGCCTGGCTCAATAATTCTTTCTTATGTAATCTACTTTTGCTATTAAGCCCATCTAGTAAGTTATATATTAAGTATAATGCATTAATGTAAATGTTAATATTTATATCAACATTTACTTAATACTTAATTTTGTTTTGCTTATTGTCGTTCCTTAGGCCCTGAGCTCTCTAGCCAGTCTGCTCTTTTCACCATTCACAATCCCCTTACATTCGTTTTATATGTTACATCCAAGGGTTTTAGCTGTCGTTAGTGGAGGGATAGGGATAAATGTGTGTACTATATCTTGTCTGAAAGCAGACGTCTCTGTGTTGTAGCTTGTGTTTTAAAGTAAGTCTTAGGCATCATAAATGAGTTATTTTATTAATACGCAAATAGATTTCTGAAGAAAGATGGTGGAAGTAATGGACTGTGGGGGAAGGATGGGGCAGTGTGCCCTGAGGATGTGGTGAGCCTTGGTCTCGTTCTTCTCTGTCTCTATTCCCAGTCTCCCAGGCCCCTGGGCTGCCTGTGACGGCTGGTGGGTTCAGGGGTGCGCTGGGTGGGGAGGTGTCTCTTGGACAGCTTGGGCAGCTAATGGGCAAAGGGGACAGATGTAAAGATGTATGGGAGAACTCCAGCATAGTTCTGCTCACCTGTTTCCCTGGTCTTTCAGGCAGTGTGTAAAGTAGAAAGGTGGTAGCTGGGATTATGGAGGGTTCCCTTCTTCTTCCCCTAGATAGATGGCAAAAATGTTAGTTCTCCCTTTTTCTCTCTGAGATCACACTTTCTTTAATTGGCCTTCTGCCCTGGGGGCCTCCAACATTTTGGGACTCCATGTGGAGTTCCAGTTTGCTATGTCTGCCCACTGCAGAGATGTTCTGTACAAATCAGCTTTCTTGCATATGTGAAGACTTCCTAAGTATAAAGTAAGTTCTTTGAGTGTGAGGATCATTTTAGGGGCTGTGGCCCCCAACAGGCTGGGGATCTTTTTTCCTTCCACGTTATTGTGACTCACTTTGTCTTTTTGATATTCTGGGAAAGTGACACTAATGGTATGTGTGATTTATTAGCATAGTTTGAAGCTGAGGAATCATGATTCTGTGTAATTTGTTCTCTAGTCATCTCATTCTATTACATTTTTTTCATCATCTCCAATTTGTTTATCACCTTTTTTCATTGTTTATAGCTCTTTTTTCCATATGCTGTGTAGAAAATAGTGTTTTTCCAATTTGAGAGATGTGGGGAAAATAATACAGTTTTGTGCCTTCAACTTCACCCTGAAACTTAATATTTCTTTTTAAGCATTTGATTCCTTCTTTGCTGGCTTTAGGAGGAAAGGAAAGGTGGGAATATGGCATAGACAGAGCAGGGAGACAGAATCTATTCAAGTTAAACCGAATAGACTCTGCAGTCTTGCTCTCCTGCATAATCCAAAGTGACTTCTGAGAAACAGGTCAGTAGGTAGAGTTGTGACCAGAGGATGTTACTGAGTTTAGGTTGGCAGTTGGGCTGAAGATACGCAAAATAACTTACCCATGTTAATTAGGTCCTCTTGATGTAATTAAACCCTCTTAAGAGGCTTTCTCTTTTCTTCTCCCACAAAACACCTCCCCTTTACCATTTTACACTGGACCAATTTGCCTGGCTTCTGTGGCGAGGGGCAATGAAGAGGCTGGGAATGGTACACAGTAGAACAGGGCAGCCTGTGCCTGTCCTGTTGGCAGCATCCCTGCCCTTGCAAGCAACTTCACCTATGCAGGAGGGTGAAGATGTTTCAGTAGGGACTTTGTTATTTACAGAAAAAAAGGTTTTATTAGTGGAAGCATTTTATCTTTAAGAAAGTATTGATTGAGAGAGAGTGTTGTCTCTGGAAATTGTAAGCAGTAAAATGATTTAGTTCAAATTCTTTTAGAAATAGAAAAGCAGCTGTTGAAGGAAAAAGAAAACTCTTCCAATAATTGCTCAATGAATCATTAGCCTGAGTTCATTCGGAGAGCAGTGCCTCTTTTGTGCAGAATTCTTACAAAATTAGTCTCCTTTTGTGTTTCTTGTCTGGAGATTTACGGGCCATTAAGGTCAGTTTGCTGCCTTTGAATGTGCAGGGAAACATTTATGATTTCAAGAACCTTATAAAGGTTTTCCCTGATCTTGGATAAGTCTTACTCAGTGTAATTAGAAATTATATATGGTCTCAAAGTAAACAATAAGCAAATAATGCTATTTAGGAAATAGGTACAGAAACATGTATAGTATTTCTGTAGTATTTTATTTTTACAACTTGCTAGATATAAGGATAAGGAAAATAGTAAATATATTCAGCTCTATACTGTTTTCTCTGAAGGAAAAAGAGGTATAATAATGAAAAATATAAACTGGTTGGTAAGGTAGGTCATTTCCTTGTTTTTCTTTAAAAATTGATATACAATAGTTGTATAAATTTTTGGAGTACATGTGATACTTTGATACCTCTATACAGTGTGTAATGATTAAATAAAAGTAATTGGGATATCCAT
This sequence comes from Homo sapiens, assembly GCF_000001405.40. Lineage (NCBI taxonomy): Eukaryota > Metazoa > Chordata > Mammalia > Primates > Hominidae > Homo > Homo sapiens. Next base: position 158,391 of record NW_011332687.1, read on the forward strand.
CACCTGAAACATTTATCTTTTTTTTTTGTATAGAGAACATTACATATCTTTTGGTTTTGAAATACATAAATGCATTTGTGACTGTATTCTAACAAACAGTCACTGCCATCATTACCTAGTTCTTGAGCATTCATTGGGTTGACCTAGCTGGTGTTTTCTTCCATTTCATTTTCCTCCATTGAATAGACTTATTTCAGACTAGTGTTCTTCAAAGTGAACTGTTTTCATAATGCTTTTGTTATAAAGCTGGAGCTGGATTCCAATCAGAGGAGACATTTCTTCCGTAGTATGTTAGTCATGGTTCCATTGCAGACAGCAGAATCTATTGCAGTTATTTTAAAAAGAGAATTATTGCAGGGATTTAAAGACATTTGAGAATAATAGAAAAACCTGTAGGAGCAGGCACTAAGTGAGCTACCAGAAACAGTTCCAAGAGCCACTGTACACAACATCTGCTGCCACATAGCTCCTTGCTTGAGAACCTAGGGCTCTGGTGCCACATCTGACAGCTTCAGCATCTCTGAACTGACTGGACCCCAGAATCTCCAGCATGGCTGCTGCAGAACAGCCAAAGGGTCTCTGCCACCATTTTCTTCAGAAGTCTCACAGACCATACATTGTTTCTTTACTCTGAGAGTCATAGTGTTTGTATTTGTTCATGAGAAGCTCAGCCATTTTTAGACCTGCCAGCTACAGGGAATTCTGGGATATTTAGTTTTCAACCTTCTAACCTGTAATGTGTAGGAAGTCATGCTAGAGAGGAGTAAATAGTCATGGTTGAGTTAATCGGCAGTACCTGCTGTACAAGCAGATATTTTCTTCTTAGGAAAAGGTTAAGATGGTTGCTTTCCTGAATGCTGAAGTTCCTTTTTGTTAACCGTGGGCTCACTTCTTTTCAGTCCACAGTCTCTAGAACTTTCTTCTTTCCTTCTTTTGGACTGGGTTTGGGATCTTGAACAGCTGAATTCTTATATTTTAACTATGAGTGCTTCTAACTGTTTCAGGATATGCAGCTTGAAAACTCCTGGAGTTGTGTTTCTGGGCCTATCAAAGTAAAATCGAGTTTGTTGTTTGTTCGTTTATTTACATATTTACTGAACAAACAAGGACATAATACTTCATACATTCCTGGCTGTATTCCAAGTGTTCTCCATACTTTAGTTTATGTGTTTCTTATAAATATGAAATGGGTCCTCTATTGTAATACTACTGTACTTTGGCCATGGCTTGAGAGTCAGTAATTGATTTTTCGGAGAGTGGGCCTTGAGTTGGTCAGGATAATTTGCAGAGAAGATCATCCACTGGAACTATTCTGTGAGCTTATATTTTCTCCCTACCTGGGGTTATAAAGGCATTCTAGGGCAGATACCGGATGCTCCACTTTTGGTATCTCTTCTCCCTCTTTCCCAGTAGACTGTGCTGATACCAGGTTCCTAAAAATAGTTTGACTCATTGTATAATCATTCAAATTTTTCAAATTTTTATTGAGTATCTAATATATTCTGTTTATTGAAGAATACAATGCTTAATCTATATGTAGACCCTGTCGGAAAGGAGCTCACAGTCTAGTGGAGAGACAGCTCAGTAACCTGTAATTAAAGCACAGTGGGGACTGGGTCTGGTGGCTCACGCCTATAATCCCAGCACTTTGGGAGGCTGAGGAGGGTGGATCACTTGCAGTCAGGAGTTCAAGATTAGCCTGGCCAACGTGGTGAAACCCTGTCTCTACTAAAAATACAAAAATTAGTTGGGCATGGCAGTGTGCACCTGTAATTCCAACTTCTTGGGAGCTGAAGCAGGAGAATCACTTGAACTCAGGAGGCGGAGGTTGCAGTGAGCCGAGATCATGCCACTGCACTCCAGCCTGGGCGACAGAGCAAGACTCTGTCGCAAAAAATAAATAAAATAAAATAAAATTTTAAAAAGCACAATGGGATAAGTTGCTTTGTTACAGGTAACCGTAGTGGCATATTGTGGGAGCATAGGCAAGGGACACCGAGTCCAGGCTGAATGGATGGACTACTAAAGGCTTCCTGGGAGAAGGCTTGCCTGAGCTGAGACCTGAAAGATATGTCCTCATTCACATGATGCTTCAGTGATGGTTTTTCCAAATAGAGGGAGCAAAGTGTGGGAGGCCCAGCTGCATGAATGTGGTGCTGTGGGGTCAGAGGGGTCAATGCAGTTGTAATGTGGGATGGTGGGGGCAGTGAAGGTTAGGTACGACGATGGAAGGGTGGACAGGGGGACAGGGCCATTTTATGAAGAACTGCATGAGTCTCACTGAGAAGTTTCTCTGGAATGCTAAGGGGAGCACATGAAGAATATTAAGTGGGGGAAATAACATGATCAAATATGCTCTTAAAAATATTACTTTGGTGCTGTGTAGGGAGCATGGAATGGAAGGAATAAGGCTAAATGGGTAGAAGTGAGTAGAGCACAGTCTGCGGAATTGAAGTAGGTCTAGCATATAGTACGGGGAGGAAAACGATTTTGCAGTAACTCCAAGACTTTCCTGGATAACAAAGCCTAATTGATATGCTGTGATTGACTATATGAAGCAGCATATACTAGATGCTTAATAAAATTTATTGAAAGATTTGAATGATTATGCAGTGGGTCATTTAAAAAAATTTTTTACTTTTATTTTTCTGAGACAGAGTCTTGCTCTGTTACCTAGGTTGGAGTGCAGTGACATGATCTCAGTTCACTGCAACCTCCACCTCCCAGGTTCAAGTGATTTTCATGTCTCAGCCTCCCGAGTAGCTGAGATTGTAAGTATGCGCCAGCACTCCCAGCTAATATTTGTATTTTTAGTAGAGATGGGGTTTCACCATGTTGGCCAGGCTGGTCTCGAGCTCCTGGCCTCAAGCTATCCACCCACCTTAGCTTTCCAAAGTGCTGGGATTACAGGCATGAGCTACTGCACCCGGCCTCAAATCATTTTTAAGGCTTACCCATGGCCTTTCTTAGACTCTGCTTCATTTGTAGATGTAAACTTCTGAGCTGATAGCAAACTATCTGCAAATACCATCCATAGACATAATAAAACAGTGCTCCTGACCCATCTCACTAGGAGATAAACAGTGGAACTATTCAGCAGGTCATGGACTGATTACAAAAAAAATCCAAAAAGACTCCAAAAACAGTGGGACCAGGGATCTGGGTTGAAGAACTGGTGGACTGAGCTAACTGATGTGGCTACAGGGTGAATTTCTCTCATTCACTTAGGGCGTCTCGGTGAGTGCCTTGGCACTTGGCTTGGTACTTTACATTTTAGTCTATTGACCAGGCCTTATTAGCTATGCGTTTGTGTTGTTTTCAGCTGGAGAATAGTCCTCAGTTTTCTGGGGAATGCAAGAGAAAGCACAGAACCAGAATTTTAGCCATCTCTTGTGATAACAACACAGTACTCCAGCTAAGAGGCTGAGAGTGAGTTGTGATCTGGCAAGGTTTAAGGGCGATGAGAATTCAAGGCTAGAAGGAGGAAAGATTTACTCAGTGGTGAGTTGCTAGGGCAAGTCCTCATTTGCCAGGAATTTTTTCTTGTAACTTTCTTCCCTAGTGACATAGGGGTGTGAGAAGAGGGGACGACCCCTTCTCCACGGGTGGGTGACAAGCACTTTCTTAGTATTTCTTTCCTTTAGCCTAGAAAATAATTGTCTTTCCCATTTTCTGAAAGGAATCTTAGACATTGTGCTAGTGGAGCCCTTCATTTTACACACAAGGAAATTCAATCCCAGATAGTTAAGTGACTTTTCCAAGTTTAAACAGAGGGAGAAATGTGACAAGTACTAGATAGGCTGATTTTTTGGCTCCGTTCCTGCTCCTCGCCATTTTAAAGGCTTGCTGAATGTTGGGCATCTAGGAGACAGATTTAAGTCAAGGTTCTTGCTCTCAGAGAGATCCATTTTTCCCTCCAGAGAGAAAATACAGGAATAAAAGTGATATAATAAATATGCCATAATAAAAGTTCTAGAATTGAGATGTGGATGACGGAGAAGGGAGTGCAATGAGGTCCACCTGGGGAGGTAGGTATGGGAAAGCTTCACTCTGGAGCTGACATTTGAATTGTACCATTTAGTGAGTATTTTGTGCATGTCACTGGGCTGGCTTTGTGGTTACGGGGCATAAATGAGGTGCACTCTAGGTTGGAGATTGCCTAGTCAAATAGTGTTGTGGGGCAAAGGGGTGGGAAGGGCAGAAAGTCCAGGTACAGGGACAAGCATGAGTAGAAACATCTCAGAAAAGGGTTTCCTCCTTGGCTTCAGACAGGCCTAGGTTTGAAACCCGGCTCTGCCCCTTACTAGGTTTGGATAAATAATCTGCTTTCTCTGACCTCCAGTTAACTCATTTGTAACACGGAGTTAGACAGAACTACTCAAAAAAGAAAAAAGAAAAAGTGAGCTTCAGGCCGGGCACGGTGGCTTATGCCTGTAATCCCAGCACTTTGGGAGGCTGAGGCTGGTGGATCTCTTGAGGTCAGGAGTTCGAGACCAGCCTGGACAATGTGGTGAAACCCCGTATCTACTAAAACTACAAAAATTAGCCAGGTGTGGTGGTATGCACCTGTAGTCCCAGCTACTTGGGAGGCTGAGGCACGAGAATCACTTGAGCCTGGGAGGCAGAGATTGCAGTGAGCCGAGGTTGTGCTATTGCACTCCGGCCTGGGCAGCAGAGCGAGACTGTCTCAAAAAAGAGCTTCAAATCACTGACGAAATAAAAAGAAAAAAACCCAAAACTTATTTATTTCAGCTACATGACATCCTGGAAAAAGTAAAATATGGAGACAGTAAAAAGATCATTGTTTGCCAGGGATTGAGGGGAGCAGGGCCAGGGTGGGAGGGATGAAGAGGTAGAGTACAGAGGATTTTTAGGGCAGTGAAACTATTTCATATGATATGATAATGGTGGATATGTGTTTTTATACATCTGTCCAAACCCATAGAATATGCAACATCAAGAGTGAACCCGAATATAAACCATGGACTTTGGGGTATCAATGTAGGTTCACCAGTTGGAACAAATATATTACTGTGGTGGGAGATGCTGATGGAGAGGGGTTAAGGGGTCTATGGGAATTCTCTGTACATTGTGCTTAATTCTTCTGTGAACTGAAAACTCTCTAAAAGATAAGGTCTGTTAAACAAATTGAGCTACTTTAAAGATTGTTATGAGGCTGTAATTAGAAAACACATACTCGAGTGTTCATCAGTGACTGGGAAGAAAGGACAGGTCTGTCAGTTTCACTGACATATGAAGTTGAGTTGCAGCACTGTTACCCCTCTCATTCTGCAGTGGGTTTTTGGTGTGTCTTCATTGTGGGGTGTGGTGGTCTTGGTGCTGGGGGTCTTCCTATTTAGACTTTGAGCTCCTCATGGTGCCTAGAGCAGAACTCTGCTGTGGGTAGGAAAAGAGGCAGTTACAAACACTAGGCCCAGACCCTTTCCTTTGTTAAGAAAGGAAAAAGTGTTTTGCTAGGACGTTAGAGTTACTATTTAAGAAACCCAGAACAATCATGTCTCTCAGAGTCCTTAGTATTACCTGGTAGCAGAATGTAAGCCTCAGAATAAACAACCACATTTGTTAACTTGTTCAGTGAATTCCGAAGTCTGGGTGCCCAGAGCTTTGAACGGTGAACGGGAGGATGACTGCTCTGTTGGTGAGTGTTAGGTAGCAGCTTCGGAGTATGTGCCCTCCCTGCCTGGGAATGGTACGGGGCGGGCTGAGCTGTTAAGGATTCTGTGAGTTTATGAACATTCAGCTGTAGGAAGGCATAATCAGTCATGTAGATTGGTCCCCAGGCTGGTAGTATCACATCACCTGGAAGCTTGTTAGAAATATAGAATCCCAGGCCCCACCCTTGATTGACTGCATCAGAATCTGCATTTTAGCAAGATGCATAGGTGGCTTGTGTCCACTTTGAGGTTGGATGTGGGTGACTTCTCCTTGGAGTACAGCCTCCCTGCTTCCATGGAGAAGCCTGCCTAGTTCTGCCTGGCTGAGATTTAGCTCCAGTTTATATCTGACCCCCTTAGAGTGCCAAAGAAGAGGTTCCTAATTGACTAATAACCATGGAGGCAAGAAAGAAAATGGGGGAAGGGACAGATCATGATGTTGTTCCTGATTTCAGGCTTTCATGTTTGCCTTGAAATGTGTGACTGAGCTCAGAGTCTATAAAGCTTTTGCTTCAAGAAGCAGTGAGTCAATATTTTTCTTACCCAAATCATTAAACATCATCTTGACCTATTCATTGGCCCAGCTTTTCTGTTTGGTCATTTCCCTTAGGTAACTTTTTTAAATAGGGAAGAATAGACATGAGAGAGACATTTTTATTTCCTTTAAATGAATGTTTTCTGTGATAATTAGAGGTGAAAGGCCATGTGTAATTTTTGTTGATGGGATTTTACCAGCAGAGTTTTCAGGAGTCCTGGACTTTCTGGTGGAACAGAAAGTCTTATATGTTTTGTTGTATTATATCCTTTTTTCCACCCTAAAAAATTAAACTTGGAGAAGTTTCGAGGCATAGGTAAGCTTGGGGTCATGAATTCTAAATGTAATTCTAAGTGTTCAAAAATGTTGTATTTAAAAAGCTCATATGTTTTTCTTTTTTTTTTTTTTTCTTTTTGAGTTTGTATTAAAAAAGTGTCTTGGCTTTTGTGTCTTTTAGCTGTATCCCTGTTATAAAAGTGGTATTTTACTAGCATGGCCTCATCACATGACCTTTGAACTTATTTACATTTGTTTAGTTAATTGACTCTTGGCTAATTTGGAAATCTCTAGATGGGGAAATAAGCTGTGGATCAGGGATCAGGAGCCAGGTTAAAGCTTTGAGTTCTCTGCTGTGCTGCCTGGCTGTGTGTTTGTGGGCATGTCCCAGACTCTGGTGTAGTCATCTCTAAATGGAAGCAATTCAACTACATACATGATTTCCAGCAAGGGACAGGGGCTTTATGAGCAGGTCATGTATCAGGATCTGGGGTGTGGGGAGCATGTGTAATCTGAGAATGCGCAGTATTGTATTTCCTTATTTGAAGAAATGGGAAAACTTTTTTAAAATGAGTGGCACAAAGTAAAGCATGATACGGTCTTGGCTGGTGGTTTACAAGGGATGGGAAGCACATGGGTCTAGCAGTTAGTAGCGGGTACTGCTGTTTAATAGCACTGTGTGCTGCTACAAACTTTTAATGTACATATGCTCTTATTTAAGCCTCAAAAATCCCTGTAAGGTAAGTACTATTGTCATATGAAGAAACAGAACAGAAAGGTTAAGAATCATGTTCAAGGTCATCACAGCAAGTGTGTGAGTAGATCTGGGCTCTGGACCCAAAACAAGCCTCCAGTCTTAGCTACCTTGCACTCATAGTCTGTTATGAATCAAGATCAATTTTATATGTATCTTACCTTCTGCAAAAAAGAGTTTTATTTGTGTGCAACTGGTATGACATTACCCCACAATCTTAGGTACACCAAAAAAATCACACTTTTCTTCAAATCCAATTAAGAGAGGCTTCAAGTTCCACTTGCAGAGATTGGTGAGGAGTTCAATATCAGTGGTCATTGCAGGAGTCCTTTTCTTTTTTTCTTTTTTTTTTTTTTTTTTTTTTTTTTGAGACAGAGTCTCGCTCTGTCGCCCAGGCTGGAGTGCAGTGGCGGGATTTCGGCTCACTGCAAGCTCCGCCTCCCGGGTTCACGCCATTCTCCTGCCTCAGCCTCCCAAGTAGCTGGGACTACAGGCGCCCGCCACTACGCCCGGCTAATTTTTTGTATTTTTAGTAGAGACGGGGTTTCACCGTTTTAGCCGGGATGGTCTCGATCTCCTGACCTCGTGATCCGCCCGCCTCGGCCTCCCAAAGTGCTGGGATTACAGGCGTGAGCCACCGCGCCCGGCCTGCAGGAGTCCTTTTCCAGGCACACATTTTGCTTAGAAAATTCTGAGACCTCAAATCCCCCTCCATCCTGGTAGTGCTGAACTGTTCACTGGCCAAGCCTGCATTGCCTGTTTCAGGGTGACCGATGACAGTGTGCATCTCTCCACGCTCCTCTTGGCCTCCGTGGTCCTTTCTGGGGCTCCTGAGGCCATGACTTTGAGGTGCTGGTTCCTAAGCGTCCACATGTCCACTGTTGTCAGAGGTTTCTACCTTCTCCTCCTGGGGAGCTTCATAGATGTGGAACCTGGTACTGATGCAGACACAGAATGCCACATGGACACAGAGCTTCTTGGGGGGAAGGGAAGTGTACCTTTCATTCCTTCATTATAAATTTATATGAACTTAGTTAATTTCTCTGACAAATTATTCTGTCTGTAAATGGCAACAAGACTCAGAATAACTGACTTTAAGCCATTTTATTAGTGTCCAGTTTACATTTCTCAGTGAAAATATCTAGTTGTCTAAACTGGGATAGCCTCAATTCATTACTTGTACTATCCCTGTGAACTTGGGTAAATGAATTGAGTTCCTTACGTCTCTGTTTCATGTTTTGCAAAATGGAAATAATAATAGCATCTATACTACAGAGGGCCCTGGGAGATCAGCTGTAACAAAGACACTGAGTTGTAGAAAGTCCGAGGTGCATTTGGGGAATGGCAATGGCAATCATTCCGGTTAGGTTGGTGCAAAAGTAATTGCAGTTTTTGCCATTACTAATAGCAAGCTGGAGGGGAGTGTACAGGTGGGTGGGGAAAGGCTAGAAGTGTGTAAATCCTCTTTTACAGAGTTTGGACTCACACTGGCCTTCTTTCCAGTTTTATTAACTGGAGTTTGTGTTCTGACTCAGACGTGTACTGAAATCCCTCTGATAAACTATTTTGTCCTATTTAGGATGCGACCGACTTTGAGTGGAGCTTCTGGATGGAATGGGGGAAGCAGTGGCTGGTGTGGCTTCTCCTTGGCCACATGGTAGTGTCTCAAATGGCCACACTGCTGGCAAGAAAGGTATGATTATATGTGTTGTTACCTTTTAAGTGTGTTTTTCCTTTGCTTCTTGTGAAGAAAGAGTCCAAGCTAGGAATCGGAAGACTTGGATATTAGCACTGGGAGCCTGGAAAAAATGATAAAGTTGTTAACAATCAATATAACATTTAAGATAAAAGTTCATAGTTCATATCCTGCACTTGCTTTCTCCAACTTATTTTCAGGCATTGAATATAAAGGTTGTAGTGTAAAACTAACCATGGAGGGTGGTGGTGGTCTTTAAGATCACTTCTAATCAAATGATCAAAAAGTTGCCTGTGGTTGAGAATCTGGATGAGTTCACTTGCAAATTCAGAAGAAAGTTGATGATTTACTTAAGAAGTGGGAATAATTTTAAAGTCAAGTAGTTTATGCTGCTGTCACTGTTTTAGATGGGAAGTCCAGTAGCATTTTGCTCTTGCCTTGGGCTGGCTTAGAGGATGAGAGATTCTTCAAAGTGGTTATTTGAAAACTACTTTTATGTGAGGCAGGATTGAGACCCTCTTCACAGGTCTAGCTACCAAGGGACCTGATATACTGCCAGGAGGATCTTTCTGTCACCTGGGGGCCAGGGTATTGCCCAGAGGCCTCTGATAAATACTTCTTGCTTGCTATAGATTCCTGATGGAGGAAAAAGTCTGTGCTTGGAAATTTACCGAATAAAAGCAAGACACAACCAAAACCTGATTTGGAAGTCAACCTAGGAAAAATGTTTTGATTCTCAGAGGTTCCCGCAGGTGATAAAACTGAAGTAGAAGAGAAACAGAAACCTCTGGAGATTGAGACCAGAAAGTGAGATGCAGAAATAGGATGTCCTGTGGTTAGAGATGCGCACCTAACTTGGGCCAGTTTCTGACTCTTTCCTGAAAATTGGCGTTTCCTGGGCTTGCTCCTCACCCTGGAAGATAGGAAATCCCGACAGCATATTAACTTCTTCTTGAATATGATACTGATTTTTTTTTTGTACTCAAGTGGCTGCTGAACTGGCAAAATCCAAAATATTAGATGTTGTCAGATCTGAGTATATTTTAAAATTTCATTTAACTTTGTGAGCAGACCTAATAATAATTTTTTTTGTTCCTAAGCTAGTAATAAATATATCTACCTCAGCCCTCATTAATGGTTTTCTTTACTCCCACAAATTTCTGTTTAGTTTTTTTTTCCCCAAGAATTCAAAACTTCTGGAAATTTAACATTTTAATTCGTAACAAAGTTTTCCCATCCATGTGTAAATGACTTATTACCATAAGTCTCAGTTTTCCCGTATGTAAAATAAATAGCTTCATACCTGTTTTTCTTTACCTCTGTGAGGGGAAGATGATGTACTTTGAGGATTGTACTAAGTTAATTGCATAGTGGAAGAGTGCTAGACATTGTATTACTCATGTTTGGTCCTTGGTTCGATTAGCTTTCTAACCTGAGCAAAGGTTTTCACTGCATCTTCATTTATGGTCTTAGTGCATTTTTGTTGCTTATAAGAGAATACATAAAACTGAGTAATTTTATAAAGAAAATGAACTTATTTAGTAATTTATGAAGAAAAGGAATTTATACAGTTATGGAGGCTGGGAAGTCATAAAACTGAGTAATTTTATAAAGAAAATGAACTTATTTAGTAATTTATGAAGAAAAGGAATTTATACAGTTATGGAGGCTGGGAAGTCCAAGTCACCACATCTGGTGAGGGCCTTCTTGCTGACATCGCGGCAATCCTGAGGCAGTGCAGGAGATCACGTGGTGAGCATGATAGCTCAGGTCTCTTTTCCTCTTCTTATAAAGCCACCAGTCCCACTCCCGTGATAACTCATTAATTCATGACATGGTTTGGCTCTGTGTCCCTACCCAAATCTCATGTCAAATTGTAATCCCCACGTCTTGCAGGAGGAGCCTGGTGGGAGGTGACTGAATCATGGGGGCAGACTTCCCCCTTATTGTTCTCCTGATAGAGTTCTTATGAGATCTCGTTGTTTGAAAGTCTAGCACTCCCCACTTTGCTCATTCTCTCTTCTGCTCTGCCACGGTAAGATATGTTTGCTTCCCCTTTGCCTTCTGGCATGATTGTAAGTTTCCTGAGGCCTTCCAGTCATGCTTCCTGTTAAGTCTGTGGAAGTGTGAGTTAATTAAACCTCTTCTTCATAACTTACCTAGTCTCAGGTAGTTCTTTATAGCAGTGTGTAAACAGACTAATACAACTGATGAATGAATTAATCCATTAATGAGGGCAGAGCTCTCATGATCCAATTGCCTCTTAAAGGCTGTACCTCACAATATTGCCACATTGGGGATTAAATTTCAGCACCAGTTGTGGAGGGGACAAACATTCAAACCACAGCGGTTGTCCTCTGTAAAATAGGATCAATAAGATAGTATTAGTTTTTTTTCTCCCTTTAAAATATGATGAGCTTCATTGGTTAGACATTTCATCCTTAAAAGTAAAGATGAAACATGGAAAAGTGGGACAAAGAGAAAGCATAAAAGAAATGGTTGAAGTAAGTTTAAATATGTCAGTCATTGCAATCAACATAAGTGGATTCTCAAAAAAGATGAAGATTGTCAGACTAGATGAAAAAAAGAAAGAGAAATAGAGGAAAACAAAAACCAAAACAGAGCTCAGAGAGGCTCTTCTTAGCTAGATATCCTTAAAACAGAAGGACACATAATTTGAAAGTAAAAGGTATGAAAAGATATTCCAGGCAAATATTAAACCCCCTCTCCCTCTGACAAACTACTGGTGCAGTTTTATTAATAGCAAAGAGCATTACTAGTGACAAAGAGGGCTGCTGTTTAATAATAAAGAATTCGTTTCTTATTAGGAAGATATTAAAACTCTAAGTTTATTTGCTTCAAAATATATAAAGCAAAAAGTGATCATAAACATAAAGATAGGTCTATTATTGTAGGGAGAGATTTTTTTTCTTTCAGTAGTTTTCGGGGTACAGGTGGTTTTTGGTTACATGGATAAATTCTTCAGTGGTGATTTATGAAATTTTAGTGTACCTGTCACCCAAGCAATGTATACTGTAGCCAATATGTAGTCTTTTATTCCTCACCCCCACAACCTTTCCCTCCAAAGCCCCAAAGTCCATTATACATTCTTATGCCTTTGCGTCTTCATAGCTTACCTCCTACTCATAAGTGAGAACATAGGATATTTGGTTTTCCATTCCTGAGTTACTTCACTTAGAACAATGGCCTCCAGCTCCAACCAAGTTGCTGCAAAAGACATTATTTCATTCCTCTTTATGACTGAGTAGTATTCCATGGTGTATATATACCACATTATCTTTATCCACTCATTGGTTGATGGGCACTTAGATTGGTTTCATATCTTTGCAATTGCAAATTAGGCTGCTATAAACATGCAAGTGCATGTGCCTTTTTCATATAATGACTTCTTTTCCTTTGGGTAGATACCCAGTAGTGGGATTGCTGGATCAAATGGTAGTTTTACTTTTAGTTCCTTAAGGAATTCCTATACTGTTTTCTATAGTGGTTGTACTAATTTACACTTCTACCAGTAGTGTGAAAGTGTTCCCTTTTTACCACATTTACACCAATATCTATTGTTTTTTGACTTTTAATTATGGATTAATAATTATGGAAATTAAGTTGAAAAGCAATAAAAACAAGATCTACTTTTGTCAAACTAGAAAGTATACATATACTTATCTCACAGTAATTTTCAAGATGAATTAAGGAGTTAAAATGAAAATCAAAAGTATTAAACTTTTAGAAAATATGACATAGAATATTGATGTTGGCACAGACAGAGATTTTTTTATACAAGACACAAAAAGTGCAAATTATAGAGGAAAACACTGATAAATTTAACTACGCTAAAATTAAAAACTTTTTATCTAATGACACAATAGAAAAGTGGAAAGGCAAGTCACTAGTGGAGAAGTAATTTGCAAACTGACAAAGGATTGGCATATGGAATAAATTTCATAAAAAAGACAAAATCACTCAATAGAAAAATGGTACAAGATATGAAGAGGAATTTGTAGAAAAGGAAACATAAATGATGAATAAACATGAAAAAATGTTAAATTCATTAGTAATCAAACAAATGCATCTTAAAACTACAATAAGATAACATTCTATGCTTTCTAGTTTGGCAAAAACAAAACAAAAATCCCCTGATATCAGTGTTAGCTGCCTGAACTCATACAGAAAGGGTGTTGAATATGTATTTGTATAACTACTTAGTAACACATTATATAGTAAAGCCAAAGAGGGGCCTACCCTACAGCCACCAGTGCTATGTGATTTTTTTTTCCCCCCTTTACAGACAGGATCTCATTGTGTTGCCCAGGCTGGAGTGCAGTGGTGTAATCATGGCTCACTGTAACCTCCAACTCCTGGGTTCAAGCAATCCTCCTGCCTCAGCTCCCGAGTAGCTTGGACTACAGGCTGTGACACCACACCTGGCTAATTTTAAAAACTTTTTGTAGAGACGAGATCTTGCTGTATTGCCCAGACTGGTCTTAAACTCTTGGCCTCAAGTGATCCTCCCATTTCAGCATCCCAAAGTGCTGGGATTACAGGCATGAGCTACTGCACCTGGCCGGATATTTCATATATTTTTAACTGAACACATGGAAGAATGAAATGATGGGCAGAAGGAAAGGTGGGAGTTGCCCTGGGGACACTGTGTTTTTCATCTGTCCTCCCCACGTCTCTGGGCCATACACATCAGGACCCACATGGCCTCCTCTGATGGGTCTCCTTTGCCTCTCACCCTTGTTCTTGTTCCTCCTTGTTTGCTTCCTGTAGATCAGTGTTTCTTAAATTTTTTTCAGTATTGTCCCCAGGGCACCTTTCTAGATAATTTTTTTCCCTGATCATCTCTCCTCTGTGAAATTTTAATACTACAGATATCCTGTTTATATCTCTTCATGTACTGTGCGTATGTCTGTGCTTTATGCATAAGGAGTAAGGTTTTCTAGCCCCTGATAACTGACAAGTAACCTAAAACTTAGATAAAATATAGTACTAATCTTCTACAAATGTTAAATTATTAAAAAAATAATAGAGATAGAGTCTTGCTGGTCTCAAACTCCTAGCTTCAAGCGATCCTCCCACCTCTGCTTTACAAAGTGCTGGGATAACAGGCGTGAGCCACCATGCCCAGTCATTACTAATTTTAATTTCCATTCTATCCTTAGGTCTAGCCTACAAAATCTGCCCCACCCCACCTCGTTTATAGGAGATACAACCCTTGTTGAGAATGCATGACTGATATTAATAACCTGTTCCTGATTAGATGCCCCTCCCTCTTTCCAAACCTCCTCCACGTTCAGCTCCTGTTTCGCACCTGACATTGGCAGAAATCTAGCTATATTAGGATATAGATGTCCCTTCATTTTATTTGCTTGTACCTTTGAGTTCTTGCTTCTCCTCTCGTGGGAGGCAGTATTTGGTGTGGTTGAGAGCACTAGGGTCAATCCCTGCATTGGCCACTCTCAAGCTGTGTAACCTTAAACAAGTTCCTGAATATCTCTAAGGCTGCTTCCACAGTTGTGCAAGCAGGATGGCACTGCTGGCTTCGTGGAGTTGTGGAGAGGGTCTGATAATCAAATGTTTTTCAGAGTTATGCTTGCACATGAGGACAGCCCAATAGATGGTGTCTGCTGCTGTCATCTGCTGGCATTTGCTCCTGGGAGCAGTTTATGGTGTTCAAGAATGGAGGTGACGGTCTTGAGATTCCAAAATCCTCAAGGGCATAGGCCATGTCTAGCATCCATACCAATGTTCCCATACTGATGGTCTTTTCAAGCTTGTCTTGGGTCCTGGGGGAAAGGATTGAGAAACACAGCCCCTTCCCTTGGGGAGTCACAGTTGAGTGGGAAGTTAGGAAAGCAAATACTGCTCACTCTTCTGTACCTGATGTTGTTGGCTGGGCACGTTACTATGGGAGAAGGTGTAGGTCTCACCTGCCGTTCTGGTCTCAGAGCAGGCCTCCGAGAAGGTGGCTTTTGAGCTGTGGCTTGAAGGAAATGGAGTTTACTTATTTCACCTTTCTGCATCTTGTTACCAGGCAGGGGTGGACAGGTGGACTAGGCTTCTTCTCTGCAGAGCACATCTTATCCAATATCAGTAGGAGGTATTCCTTTGCATTTTTCTTGGAATGAGGCAGAGTGAGCACTGAGTCATCTCCCTCTGTATGTGCCTCTCTCATCCTCTGGGTGACCACGGGTTTGATTTGTGAGACAGCTGGTGGGCCGGGTTCTGCCTGTGGCTGGGGCACAGTGCTTTCTTTGTCTGAGTTTGCTTGGCCCTTACATAAGTATGAACCACAGCGTTGGCCTCATTAGCTCTCTGCTTTCACCACCTGGACTAAGTGTTCCAGATGGCCTTAATTCGGGTAGTTGTTTTTGGTACTTACTCAGAGTGGAAGATTTAGGCTGCAGTTGTCCTTTTTTCTCCCCATTCTCTGAGGCATCCTAAACTATAGGCAACACTATGCAGGGACAGGCTTTAGCAATTCTTGCTGTTGTAGCCTTAAGCCCTGAAGGATTCTAGCCTCCTCCTTTATCTACTATCTAATCTCGTCTCTTCCTTGGCTCATTCCACCTCCTCCCATGGAGAGGTGACAGGTTATTTTTATTTTCAAAAGCATGATCTATCTTTTTTTTTTTTTTTTTTTTTTTTTTTTTTTTTTTGCCATGGTAAGAAATAAAACTTTCCACTGAGTTCCTTGGCTCAGTTAAACACCCTTTCCCTGGATAAGGCTCTCTCTTTGGGTTTTGGTGAGACTTCATCAGGAGCCAGTGCCCCTGGAGGGAAGGCTGAATCATGGCTTTCAGCTTTGGCTGTGCATTTGTTATGATTGGATTGGATGTCACGGGTCAGACAGTTGCCTCCTTTCATGAACGCCAACTGTGGCCTCACTACCACCTGAGACATTGTGTTCTCTGCCCTCAGAACCAAAAAATACCCCCGTGTGAACTTTTTGAGAAGACTGGCCTGGTGTAGGGTTGAGGGTGGGTGCTGTTGCTAACCACAGAGCCGGGTTCTCACTGTGCCTCTGACGGGAGAACCCACATCATTAGCAATTGACTGACAGGCTGAGCTCATCAGGCGCAGGTAATGCAAAGGGCTGAGAAGCCTGACCCATGGTGCTGAGTGAGATGAGTTAACCAACCTCTGGAAGGCTGCAGGGAGCAGGGTTCTTTTCCAGGACAGTCCCAAATCTATCCACTGAATAGAAATCTCATGTGCTAATGGTTTTCCTGGAATCAGCCCCTTCTACCTCCATCAGTGCATGTCTAAGGAGGGATGAAATTCCTTTTACGTGGGCCTGCTGGCCTTTGCTCCCAGGAAATGGGATGCAGTTGTTCAGACTGTGGGATGGGTGGGTTGTATTTTTCTGTTTGGGGAGATTATATATACATATGTATGTATATATATAATACATATATATTTCAGTAGCAGCTGCTATTGATTATGTAGTATGTAATAAATTGTGTCATACATAAGATTGATTGATTCCCTTTATTATTTTCCGAATAATGCTCCCATTGAGTGGTTTCTTGGCAGATGTGCAAAAAGAATTAATAGGCAGGGACGTCTGATAATGTTGCCAACAGGAATTCTGACCAAGGCTCTACACTTTCACTCCTCCCTACAGAGGTAAACTCTAAGGAGGGAACCCACCAGGCATACCCTATTATCACTTGGCACCCTTGGCACAGAATGAGCTGAAGTAGAAACAGATGGTGTGAGAAGGGGCATTGTCTGGCAGTTTTTCCTGACTCCTTATGAAGAAGGTTAAGAGTATGGATTTCAAAAGAAAGGAGGGCAAATCTGTAGTCTTTTCTTAAGGGCACTGACACCAATCCTTGGAGCTCTGCCAGCTCAACTGGTTATTCTCCCGGGAGACTCTGCTGGGGTGATGGATAGAAGCCTCTATAACAGGTATCCACTTTCCTGGATTGGTACCTGTGCCCCATCAGTTGTTAACTATTGGAGATTTCCCCCAACAGAAGTGGAGTTGTTAAGAGATGCTGTGAGTAGCAAACAGGTAATAGGCAGTGAGATGTGAAATGTCTCTTCCATTCTACCTACATTAGCAAAACAGCCATTGTTTATAAGGGGTTAAGTAGGACAAGTAGAGACTTTGGAAGACAGTAGGTTTTCACATTATTGGGTTCCAAAGTCCACATTTTACTGCTATTTTCTTGTTTTTTCTTAGTCATGATCTCAAGGTTAAATCCCAAGACTTGGGAAAGCATATCCATCTACCCAGCTATCCATCCATGCAACTATTCTCTCCATCCTTCCATCCAATAGTTATGAAACACGTGATATATGCTAGGCACTGTGCTAGATTCTGGGCTTACATTACTGTAATCTAAACAAGGCAGGAGTTTAGCCTATTAAGGAGACTATCAAGTAGAGTCAGACCCCATTTTGAGAGTGGTTCAGTGTAGACTCAGGGAGCAGAGGGGAAGGATGCCTGCTTAAGTCAACCAGGGTTAGTAAGATCTATGTCTCATCAAAAAGGCCATAGCGTTCAGTCTGGCTTTGTCTCCACTGCTGTAAAAATAGAGTATACTTTCTTATTTTTCATCAGCCTTTTAAACACTTCCCCTCTTCCCCGGCTTTCTGTTTCATCTCCTATTAGAAATGGAAGAACCTGGAATAAAGACCATTGAGTGAGGGTCAGAGTAGTTCCGGTGGGGCTGTCATCCTGTGCTCCAGCAAGCTCATCTCAAGCTTCAGGTCACTCATGCTTTGATACCTTTTAAAAGAGCATGATAAATTCAAATTAAAACCACAACGAGATGTCATTACACACTTACCAGAATGGCTCAGATAGAACATAGTAACAGCACCAAATGCTGGCAAGGATGTGAATAAACTGGATCACACATGCATTGCTGGCAGGAAAGTATAATGCTACAGCCATGCTGAAAAACTGTTTTATAGTTTATTATAGAACTAAATATGCAACTACCTTGCACCCCAGCAAGTGTGATCTTGGGCATTTATCCCAGAGAAATGAAAACTTATTTTTACACAAAAATCTATGCATGTGTGTTTGCATAAGTTTTATTTGTAATAGCCCCACATTGCAAACAGCCTAGATAGCCTCCAGTAGGTTAATGGCTAACAAGCTGTGGTATATCCACATCATGGAACACTACTCAGCAATGAAAAGGAGCAAACCATTGATACAGCAACTTGGATGAATCTGCAGGAAATTACGCTGAGTGAAAAAAGCCAATCTTTGAAATGGAGAAGAGGTTACTGGTTGTCAGGATTAGGGATGGGGGTGATCAGAGGAGTGGGAAGGAGGTAAATGAGGTATAAAATGGCAACACAAGGAATCCTTGTGGTGATGGAGCTGTTCTGCATTTTTACCATGGTAGATACCAAACCTATACATGTGATAAAATTGTATAGAACTAAACACACACATAAATTAATAGAAGTGAAACTAGAGAAATCTGAATAAGTTTGGTGCATTGCAGCAACATCAATATCCTGGTTATGATATTTGTGGTTTTAAAAAATGTGCCATAGGAAGAAACTGGGTAAAGTATACAAGGGATGTCTCTTGTATGTATATGTGAATACAACTATCTCAAAAATCTGAGAAAGAACATTACATAAAAGTTGTATGCAACTGGAATCTGTAAATCAGAAACATCACAATCCAACATTGAGGCCATGTTTTACCTATACACTTTATGTGATCAATGTGATTCTTTGTCTTCTTTCAAGTAACAAGTAATTCCCAATCATCTTCATAATTTGAACCTTGTAATTTAAATGAATTGGGCTATTTTGGTGTTTAGGTGGGTTTTTAAACTTGAGTTTGACGTACAGTATGTGTGTGACCAAATCTTGTATGTCTGCTCTTATTACCCTGAGAACTTGGGGAAAAAAATCTGAAAGCCTTTCTAGTGATGAGTCAGAAGTGTTGTTTTGGAACAAAATGCAACACAATTTTTTTTTTTTTTGAAAAGTTAAAAAAATTCTGGCCTGGTTGATGTCAGAAGCTTAATACTGATAGTTAAGCATTTTTACTTAAGAGAGAAAAAAGGTTGATAAATACATAAGCACATTTGGAGTAGAGATGGATGGGACAGGGCTATCTTTAGGCCTTTGCTGATGAAACTGGCCTTTGAAATGCTTAGAAAAAGCTCTTCTGCTGCCCAAAGAAGCAGGCCGTCCATGCTGCTGCCCACCCTGCTGGGCCATGTCACCCTTTTATCCTAGAACCCTCTTCATAGTGCTTGAGATCTAGGTATGTGCATGGGAGGGATCGTGGTTGGGCAGCTGTGCCCTAAGGGCTACCTCTATAATGGGGACTGCCCTGCCATGATGCCAGTTGGATTGCAAGACATGGGAGGCTGATTCTGCTCTAGCAGGATTTTATTTACTTGTTTGTTTGTTACTTATTTTGAGATGGAATTTTACTCTTGTCTCCCAGGCTGGAGCGCAATGGCGCGATCTTGGCTCACTGTAACCTCTGCCTCCCAGGTTCAAGCGATTCTCCTCTTGCAGTATTTTAATGGTGTTTTGGGGATAGGATTCATTCCAATAGCATTTTTATAGACAAAGTATGAAAATCAACATTTTAGTGGGATTCTAATATATACAACAGTTTCGTGTAGGTGATTCTTTTTGCATTATTCACATCTTTTCATTGCCTGTGCATCATGAATGTATATAGTAGAGTTGCTTGTACTTGGGGAGAATCAATGGGTAATATTAAGATGGGTAGAGAACATGAGGCTCATGTGAGAGCGTGTCCTGTGATGTCTTAGAACAGTATTAAGTGTCGTCTGCCTGTACTGTTTGGCAGTAGGGAAACAGTGGGGGATGAATATGGGACAAATTTTTCTGCCCCAAGGTGGCTTTGGAGACCACTGTTAAATTCATCATAGTCTCTCAAGTAAATGGGGTTTACACAGCACTATCAAGTATTTCCTGAAGCTTCTTTCAGCATTTTCCAAGTTGAAGCAGCTTCAGTCTGTGGTAAGTTCCCAAACGAATCCCAGCAAACAGGCTTTTTCCAAAGGGATCAAATAGCACTTAATAAAAACATAACTGTGTCTATGTATGTAGCCACACATGCACAAAAAAGAATTCCATTGGTAAATGCTGTAGGTCATGTTGGAAAAGAAGCCCCTTTTTTTCATTTGTTAAAACTACCTCTTAAAATAGTCTTTGGCCATGTATTCCTTATAATTGGACTCTGCCCAGAGGTGAGGGTTTGAAGCAAATTTATGTGGCTGTTTTCTGTGGGTAGTAGGATGGAAAAATAGTAAAAATGAACTTCACATTTCTCTGGTTTTCTTGGAACTTAAAAATGGCTGATCTAGTCTCATATTTAAAATGTTCTCTTGAGCTAGAGTATAGGTTTGGGAAAGAATGGTAGGTAGGCAATATTTTGAAAGAGTTAGCATCAAAGCACGGGATTTGCAATTTACACTCCACACCTGTCTTGCCCTGAAAAAAGTCTTTGTTTCCACAAGACGACCTAAGTTCAGGCACTTATCACTTTTCAATTCGGTGGTTCCTGGGATCCACATTTTAAAATGCATGCCCGTGAGACATCACATTTCCCTATGGGAATAACAACTGTATTTGTAGAGTCCTTCCTGTGTATCCACCCCATGAAGGAGATATTGTTATTATTCCAGTTTTGTTTTGTTTTTGAGATGGAGTCTTGCTCTGTTGCCCAGGCTGGAGTGCAATGGTGCGATCTCGGCTCACAGCAACCTCTGCCTCCCGAGTTCCAGGGATTCTCCTGCCTCAGCCTCCCGGGTAGTTGGGATTACAGTCACCTACCATACCTGGCTAATTTTTGTATTTTTAGTAGAGATGGGGTTTTGCCATGTTGGTCAGGCTGGTCTTGAACTCCTGACCTCAGGTGATGCACCTGCCTCGGCCTCCCAAAGTGCTGGGATATCCCAGTTTTATATATGAAGAAATGAATCCACAGAGATGGAGTCATTTGCCTCAGGTCACACAGGTAGTTATGAGACACCAGCATTTGAATTTAGGCAGTTAGACTTCAAAGCTTGAATCATTAAACCACAATGATACCTTGCGTCTCAAAGTTAAAACATTGTGGTTTTTAAGGATTTCCCCATCAGGTCTGACCAAGGTTATATCATAAAGCAAAGACATGTTAATTCATCTACTTATTCAATGTGATAACTATAAATTAGTTGATGATTAGATAAAAATCTGTGATTCTCCTAAAATGGGAATAAATGTATCAATCAGGTAGACTATGCAAAGTCCTCAATAGCTCATAAAGCAGGTAAGATGCAATTTTTCTATGACATAAATTTGACTAATCAATATGCAAAAAATCAAAAATGCAAAAAAACCCTACATATTTAAAATCTCTGGCTTAGACTTTGGAAAGTCTTTTGTGGTTTGGATGGCCCAGTTTTCTTAATAGGTCTTCCTAGAAATGTGTACTAATACTTTCTCTCACCTTCACTTCTGAAGGATGCTGTATGTGGGATGTGGTCCAGTTGGCATTTTTCCAGCTGTCTTCTGGCTTCCATTGTGTCTGTTGAAAAGTCAATCCAATATCTTATTGTTGTGTGACCCAGGGGTCTGGGTGGCTTTGGTTGAAGGCAGGAGAGTGGTTACTTGCTTCTGGGTGGAGCTGATGGGACTCTGGGGGTTAATGTGGAAAGTCCCTCTGAATCTTGTTTGTCTGTGTTGTACCAAAATTCCCAGGGCAGTGATAAGAGTTTCTTTATTGGGTAATTAAACGTGATCCTCTTACATGTAGAACCTTCAATATCACTTCCATGAGCTCACTTCTGTTTATTTTCCTCCCTCCCCTCTTCCTCCCTGTCTCTCTCTGGATGGGCCCCACCATTTGCAGCACAGACCCTGGATTCTCATGCTCTATGGGATGTGGGCCTGCTGGTGTGTGCTGGGGACCCCTGGTGTGGCTATGGTTTTGCTCCATACCACCATCTCTTTCTGCGTGGCCCAGTTCCGGTCTCAGCTCCTGACGTGGCTCTGTTCTCTCCTCCTCCTCTCCACACTGAGGCTGCAGGGTGTGGAAGAAGTTAAGGTAAGTGTTTTCCTGTTACCATTGGGAATCCAGAGAAGGCCCCTTTGGCTTTGCCTTGATCCCAGTAGACACCTTGGTTTTCAGACAAGAGATGATTGTAGAACTGTGATGGGGCTCCCCATAGTGGCCGTACAGGGTTGCTACAAGTGAACCCTAGTGGTGCATTCTGCAATCCTATCATTCCTGGCTGTGTTTTAGCCCTGTGAGATTGCCCAGGGCTGGCCCTGTACCATCTCTCCCAGTTTAGGTGGGCATGTGGGGTGCCAGATGTCACAGGGCCAGAGGGTCAGGAACAAAGAGAGAAGAAACAAACAGATGATTTACTAAAAAACATCTGGAGAGTGCCCTACAATTTATAGGGAATGCACACATCACTCAACTCATCTGATGGCCACAATGGCCCTGTGGTGGTAAGTCAGGTCTTTTTCTTCTTCCTAGTTGATGGAACAGATTTATTTATTCATTTGTAGAGACGGAGTCTTGCTCTGTCACCCAGGGCTGAAGTGCAGTGGTGCGATCTTGGTTCACTGCAACCTCCGCCTCCTGGGTTCAAGCGATTCTCGTGCCTCAGTCAACCGAGTGGGTGGGATATAGGTACCTGCCACCATACCCAGTTAATTTTTGTATTTTTAGTAGAGATGGGGTTTCACCATGTTGGCCGGGCTGGCCTCAAACTCCTGGCTTCATGTGATCTGCCCACCTTGGCCTCCCCAAAGTGCTGGGATTACAGGTATAAGCCATTGTGCCCGGCCAGGAACATATTTATTATCTACTCATGTGACCCAGTGGAAGCTCTTTCAATTTAGGTAGTGAAAACAAAGTGTTTAGCCCCGAAGGGCACAGACCAAGCTTTCATTTCTGTAAACCCAGAGGCATTTTGACAGACTCAACCACCTATCCATTGTTGGTGCTAATAGAGGAGGACACTGGGCTCAAACCTCACTTCTTTAGGGCTTTTGTTTGCATTAGTAAAATCTTATTTTATAGGCACTTACCTTTTAGCTTTATTTTTTTTCTCAGTCACAATAACAGTGCATTTTTACTTTATGAGTGCACATCAGACTTGACCCAGAGAATTGGTGGATGACAGACAGACTGCCTTCTGAGTTGAGTTTCCTGTGCCTTGCTGAGGCGATTGCACCTATCAGCAAATTCTTCTTGTACTACATTTTCTGATTTCTGTTGTGTGTTCTCTGATCATCTCCTGGGCAGTGGCTAGCATCCCCTGGACGGCTCTGGACTATCTGTTTCTGTCTTTGGTAACTGGAGTGACCTAGCCCTGCTTATGCAATTGAAGCTTAGGCCCCTCAGCCTATCTCAGGCCCACTCAGGCTGTGTGAGGTTCCTTCTCTCACTTGTCTGTTGAATACACCCTTTACATGTTCAAGTTGGAGCTGCCAAGGTCTGTGGCTGCAGGGGAGTAAAGGCAGAGTCTGTGTGGAACTCTCAACCATCCAGAAGTGGGAGCTTTCTTTTAAGGAGAAATGCATGGCAAGAACACAAGTCCAAGGCCCCAGCTCCAGGGTCTGGTTCTGGGCACTCAGCTTCAGAGCCCTTCACTTTTGGGGCCAGTTGACTCTGAGAACAGCCAGCCTGAGAGTTGCGCAGCTTGGAAAACATCAGGGGTCATATGCCCAGGGCAGGACCATTGATGTTTCCCACCTTCATCGACCTTCTCCTTCCTAGCCCGGTTCCCAAACACTGCCCAACTGGCAGGAGCTGTTTTTTTGAGTCAGGCCAATCTGCTTACCTTTCCCTTTACACATTTACGTATGTTTATGCTGTCTCTTGGAACCAACCTTCTCATCATCCCTGTCCACCGGATTCTCTTTCAAAGTACAGCTTAGACCTCAGTCTCTAAAGGTAAGAAATAAAAGAGGGCCACAGAAAAACAGATCAGTTAGTGTCCGATACTGCTCTGAGAGCTGCTGGCTCTTACAAACTGGTAAACAATAAAACAGTAGCATGTAAGTGACCAGGTGTCACCTAGAGCTTTGGGGACACTGCACACACCTATCCCTTCCTCTAACCCCCTAGGATCTCCATAGGCACATTCAAAATCTTGGGCAGTGTTGGGTATTCTTTCTTCAATCACTGTGGGACTGGAACTCCTGTGGTATCTTTTTATTCATTCATTCAGTCACTCATTCATTGATCCAGGTGACAACACTTAGCATTCATGTGCCCTGCATCAACACAGTGATGGGAAGGAACATGATGGGAAATGTGAGATGGATGACCTGGTTCCTAGTCTATTCTATTCCCCATCTCTTCCTACTCTGAAGCTGGAGCAGTCATTTAACCTCTGAGCCTCAATCTCATCATTTGGAAAACAGAAGTAATAAATCCTCTTCCTTCCTCATGGGATTGTTCTGAGAGTCAAACGGGATAATCTATGTTAAGTGATTTTGTGAAAATTGTAGCATTTTGAAAGTTCAAGTATTTTTTGCTGTTTTTAGTCTACCTTCATTTTTCTCACTCTCATTAATGATGTGGGGCTAGCATTTTAAGCACGTATGTCAAAATCTGGACTTATGAGAGTATATCAGATAATCACTCCGTTTTAATGAAGATACTTCCCAGAATGATTAGGCAACCATTTAGGCAAGTGTGCTTAAAAACAGATTTACAGTAAAAATAAAAACAAGCTCATACCTAACCTTTTGGGGACCTGGCAAGTGTACAAACAGAATCTAATTCCATTTATCATTTATTTGGGGACAATTAGCATCAGTTATAGATGTTGGAGGTGAATAAATGTTCATTTGTTCTGCAAATTTTACAGTGATTTGAAAAACACTGAGGAAGGAGATCATGTGATTAGAAACTAGCTGGGTTTCCATGCTTTTGCACATGTGGTTCTCCTGATATGATTATCCTCTTTTCCCTTGGTGGCTGCTAAAGTCTTGTACAAGAAGTAGAAACTCTGTTCAGTGGTTGGTTTTTCTGTGTACAGCTTTAAGAGACCCTGATGGATCAAGTTAATTACTTTCTCCTTTGACCCAAGTTCTATTTCTCGTATGTATTTCCATAAATAGTTTTTCTCACTAAATGTATTTTTGGAAAACATGGAAAATGTAGAAAAATATAGAAATTAGAAAATACTTCATAATTTTACTCCCCGATATTAACATTTTATTGTATTTCCTTCTCATTTTTTGTTCCATGCATATTTTTGCACAGGTTATTTCTTGTTTCATGCTCTATTGTAATTGCATTTTTACACATCTACGTCCTGTATGAGAATTTAACATATTGAGGGCAGGGACTTTTTTTTTTTTTTTTTAAATATTTGTCTGTAAAGCTTATTAGACAAATGCTACTCAACTAAATGTAGAGCCAAACTGATAACAAAAGAGGAAAACGAAAAATACATTGAAGACAGAAATCCCATGGGACATTTTAAGCCCCTCTTTGTTATCTGAATTGTTGAAGAAGCTGTCAAAGTATCCACTGGATGTAGCTAATCTGCACCTTATGCCCTGGATGTATCTGATACATGCCTAACTGGGAAAACCTTCGTTATGTTGTGTCAGACCTAATGCTAGGTTAACATTAGAGATGTCCTTTTTCCTACTGCTCATTAACTGCTTGCTTTGATTACCAATGAGATTTACCTGGTGTTCATTGGTTCTCGACTGCCTTTTATGGCACAGCTGCTCTGCCTGAAGAAGAAATTGCCTTCCCAGAGCCCCCTGGGATTCTCAGATGACGGTGGCCCTGCTGGCCAGCACCTGCAGTGGGACTGGACGATGTCCCTGCTGGCCACTCAAAGGTTGTTCTCTCCTTTTGATTTTGTAGAGAAGGTGGTACAAGACAGAAAACGAGTACTACCTGCTGCAGTTCACGCTGACCGTTCGCTGCCTGTACTACACCAGCTTCAGCCTGGAGCTCTGCTGGCAGCAGCTGCCTGCTGCATCGACCTCCTACTCCTTTCCCTGGATGCTGGCCTATGTCTTTTATTATCCAGTCTTACACAATGGGCCCATCCTCAGCTTCTCGGAGTTCATCAAACAGGTAGAGCCCGCTGGGGATGGGATTGGGATTCTATAGCTTAAGCCTTTGTCGCTGTTGCTCTGGTCTTCTCTGACTCTTGAGTCGTTTTGTTCAGAGGTGCCCACAGATTTACAACACATACTATTAGTTCTCATGAGGTTTTTTGTAATAGATGAAATACATATGAGAAATGAGCCTTTAAAATAAAGTTTGACCCATCAGATATGTCAGCTCTAGGGGGTCCCACCTTGATTTTCAGTGAACTCTGGCAACCAGGATTAATGAGTAGGGCACAACAAGGAGTTTGGGAGTTGGTATCCACTGTGGCAAAGTCCCAAGGAAAGAAAAAAATTTGATTATGATGCTATTACTTGAAGGAATAGAAAAGGAAACTGTCTAAGCTGTTGCTTGGCAAATAGTATGTTTCCTTTTATATTCACAAGCTGCTTAAGAAATAGTCCTGCCATAGCCTGGGAGCTGTTCAGGGTGACCTAGGTGTGAAAACAGAGTGGAGTTGAAGTAAGTTCGAAGGCAGTGGTGTGTGTTCATGTCTGGATCCCCCTTTGTGCCCAGGCCCCCGCCTGCCTTCCTCGGACGGCATCCTTGTCTGAAATGCCATGTTAAGCTACCTCTGTTGTTCCCCCCTACTTCACTTTTCCCCCTTGTTTAGAACTTTCTTTTTTTTCTGCCTCCTCAACCTACCTCTAGTTTCATGGAACATAATTGCTAAGTTAATTCACCTAAGGAATTAGTAATTGAAAATGCCTAAAACAGTGTTCTCAAGGGATATTCTATCCCTCACCAACAAAACAATCCTCATAGAGGAGAAAATAACATGTACGTGCATACACAGACATGCATGCACACGCAGAACACATACCCACGCATACGCACACACCTGGAAGGGCAGGGCAAGCAGCAGTGTTGCACATTTCTGGGCAGCAACATGAAAGTTGCTCCCTGAAAAAGGAGGGTTCTTAGAAATCTTATTTTGTCCTCAAAGTTCCACTGAATTATGCATTGTATTCAAGAATATATTTTTGCATTATAACAATAACATAATGTTCTAAAATTTCCAGTGAAAGTATGTAACTTTTTATATCTCTAGAAATCTGTAAGTGAAATTGATATTCTAGACAGATATGTTTAGTCTATGGTTTCTCATACCTCGGTTTGGGATCGTTCTTTTGTCATGAAGGAATTTAAAATCTGCATTTGAAATTGTGTTTAAAATTATTGTGTAAAAGAGATGGTTTAATGATGGCAGCTGATCTTCTAACTCAATGATTTGCAAAGTGTGGTTCCTGGACCAGCAGCATCAGTATCGCCAGAGAGCTTGTTAGAAATACAAATTCTCAGGTCCTCTCCAACCTCCTGAATCACAGCCTCTAGGGATAAAGCCCAGGAAGGTGGTTTAACAGGCCCTCCAGGAGGAGGGTGGGAGTAAAGGTAAGGTGGGCACAGCATAGGGTGGGTTCCTCTCTTTTACAATCTCCTTACCTTTGTGAACTTTTGAATTATTCTCAGTTTGCCAGCCAATAACTTTTGGACCAAACATCCACACACAGACACCCCTCTCCTGAGGATGGCTGGTAATTTTCAGAGAAACATAAACTAAATCCATTAGAAGGAAACAGATTATTTTCCTAACTTCCTCCTGTATATAAGCTTTGCCTGTATGCTCTGTACTTTGTTATTATGCAAAATAATTGTTTCTGTTATTTCTCATCTCCTTTTTCTTCTTTTTTTTTTTGAGACAGAGTCTTACTCTGTCACCCAGGCTGGAGTGCAGTGGTGTAATCTCAGCTTACTGCAACCTCCACCTCCTGGGTTCAAGTGATTCCCGTGTCTGAGCCTCCTGAGTAGCTGGATTACAGGCATGCACCAGCAAGTCCAGCTAATTTTTTGTATTTTTAGTAGAGACCGGGTTTTGCTATGTTTCCCAGGCTTGTCTCTAACTCCTGAGGTCAGGCAATCTGCCCTCAGCCTCCCAAAGTGCTAGGATTACAGGCTTGAGCCTGGCCTCCCTTTTCAAATTGTGCCTTTTAGGGTCTAGTAAGAATATTAGAGGCCTCTAGCAGGGTCCTGTGTCACACAGAGGCACGCTTTAAGATTATCTTCCACCTAAATCCTTAGCCAAGGGTTCTCATTCTCTTGAGTCTCATTCTGGGGAAGTGAAGGGGCAGGTTGCTTCCTGTAGGGGCCAGGTATAGACACTCTGGGTTTTATCCATGTCTTTTCCTTCCCTCTCTCTCTCTTCTTTTTTAACCCCTTCTAAAACAATAGCAATTGCTGACAGCAGGGAACTTGAAAGGGCAAATTAAAACCTCTATGTTTGGGGGAGTATTCATAGAATAGTCATTCTAGAAAAGGATAAATGTTCAGTAAGATATAGGGCAAATTTAAAAAGCCAGGAGGTTTCTGCACTTGCTGAAGGTGGCTGTGGGGAACTTCCCTTCTGTGGGGAAGGGGGCTTTAAAGGGGCAGGGGGTTAAACCAAAAAGCTTATCTTGCAGTGAAAGGGTTCTTTCAGAGAAGCCAAAAAGGAAAAGGCTGGGAGGTGGAGAAAGAAAGCTAGTTGGAAGAACTAGTAAGTAAGATTTGCTCTGAATGAATGCTTGAATGAATGCATGCATGAAATGCCTTCAGCTATAAGGATTGGAAATATTGAAATGCATGGTTCTTAGACTGGCAGGTCAATGCATAAAAATAACGTAGAGCAGGAGAATGACGCTGCACCACCAGGGGGCAGCAGTGCCCCATTGTGGAAACCAACCCCAGCGGGAAATCTTCACCCAGTATCTGCAAACTCCAAAAGATCAAATGACAATGTTAGTTTTAGGCATACACCTGGAGAATGTGTCTTCCACCCAATTTACATACACAAAATGAGGGAGGTATAGAAGCGTTGTCTTCTGCAATGTAAAGCATGTGAAATTTGCATAATTAGTCACGAACAGGTAAAAATTTGCCTCTGTGCCTTAACTTGAAGGCTATTTCTGGTGGCATTTAGAGTTTTAGGAACATGGGCCTGATTTGTTTTTCTCTCACGTTTCTGTGGAACTCGGATACCAAGTCAGCGGTGAGACAGGGATCCTGGGGGACTTAGGGAAGGGAAGGACATGGTGTTTACTTGCTTAGCCTGAAGCCTGGGGCCACTACGTCTTGAAGAGGTTGACTGGTGTGGTGTGGGCACTGGGGAGAAGAGCAGCCTTAGGGTGGTGGGCCAGGGACTCTTCCTTGCTGGGCACTGTGCTCTCCCACCTTAGAGAAGCCAGTGGTCAAATAGGGAATTTGGCATGGAGGTTGAGAGCAAAGGTCCTGGAGCCCACCCTCCAGGGTTTGAATCCCTGCTGTGCTTCGGCTTGAGAGTGCTTGCTGAGTTACTTACCTTACTTATGCCTCAGTCTTCTTATCAGTGAAATGGGAAGAATAATAGTGCCTCCCTCAGGATTGCTGTGAGGATTAAATGATTGTGTATAGGTAATGTGGTTTGACAGGTTAATACTATAAAGTGTTAATTCTTACTCTTATTATTATTTGAGACAGAGTCTGGCTCAGTTGCCCAGGCTGGAGTGCAGTGGCACAACTTTAGCTCATCGCAACCTCCACCTCCTGGTATCAAGTGATTCTTGTGCCTCAGCCTCCCAAGTAGCTGGAATTATAGGCGTGCACCAACGCACCCAGCTGATTTTTGTATTTTTAGTAGAGATGGGGTTTTACCATGTTGGCCAGGCTGGTCTTGAACTCCCGACCTCAGGTGATCCGCCCGCCTCGGCCTCCTAAAGTGCTGGGGTTACAGGTGTGAGCCACCATGCTCGGCCTCTTACTTTTATTATTGTGATGATTGGCCAGAAAGCAAGTGTAATTCTAGGGTAGTTTAGGTCAGAAGTGAGACCCTGGGTATCCAGTCTGGTAGGCAGGCACAGCAGCAGGGGACTCTGGGCCATGGCCATGCTTGGGCTCAGAAGAGGCCAGTGTGCTGGTTCCATCTATTTGAAGAGAGACCCAGGCAGCTGCTGCAGGAAAGGGATGGGGGCAGTCCAAGAGTTGCTGGGACTGGCAAGAGCTGTGCAAGGCAGTCAATGTCCCAGAAGCTTTGTTTAGTACTTGGCATGGGCTCTGGTTCTAGAGAGCACCTGGAATCATGCTAATTGTAATAAAATATACTAGGTGATCATTTAGTCTGAGCCAGGCTTTATACGTTCTAACTTAAAATGTTTGAGATGGTCTCACTCTGACACCCAGGTTGGAGTGCAATGGTGCAATCATAGCTCACTGTAGCTTTGGCCTCCCGAGCTCAAGTGATCCTCCCACCTCAGCCTCCTGAGTAGCTAGGACTATAGGTATGCATCACCACACCTGGCTAATTTTTTAAAAATACTTTTCTAGAGATGAGGTCTTGCTATGTTGCCCAGGCTGGTCTCAAACTCCTGGCCTCAAGTGATTCTCTTGCTTCGGCCTCCCAAAGTGCTGGGATTACAGGCACACACCATTGTGCCTGGCCATTCTAGCTTGTTTAATCCTCACAACCTGTGAGAGAGATACTGTCATGACCACTTTACAGACAGGGAAACAGAGGCAAAGAGAGGCTATTACAATGCAGATAGAGTGAAGGGAATCAAGACATGAGCCTTGTTGCGCTGACTTGGTGTGTGAGAGGAGTTAGAGGGGGATGGAGTGTGGCCTAGTGGACATGAAGGTCTGGAGGCTCAAGCAGGCTGAACCAAGTACCAGCCTTGGTGGCAGCAACACCTGCAGGCCCCACTTGCTGTTCTGGGAGAGCTCACTGGATGTTGCTGGCCTTGGTCTGGATGGCTAGCGGGTGGGAGTAATGTGGGTCTGATTAGGGAATGATTTGTTAGGAGTAGGGGTATGGTCTGTGACCAGTATAAAGGAATACAACAACTGCCACAAGGCCTCCTAGACCCAAGCAGAGAGAAGCTAATAAGTTAGTGGCCCAGGTGGCCCAGTTGAATATCTGCCTCTGGGGAGGGCTTTTGTTTGGTGCTCACAAACATATGTATTATTCGTGTATGAAGAAAAAGAACCTTTCATCTTTGAGAACTGTCATCTTTAATCATCAGAATATATTTGGGAGAAAGAGAAAGGCATAGCTATTCCTTTTTATGCAATTTGCATGAAATTAGGTTTTAAAGTATAATGCATTTTGAAATGCACTTTGCAGATGAGTTAATGTGTATTTTTTAGTGATGCCTGAACTTCACAATTTCCATGGTGGCAGTTTCCAGTGGTCTAAAGGTTTGGCAGTCCCCTAGGTTTGAAATGTCTTAAATGAAATACTTTGCATGCAGGCAAGAGAGCCGCCCTGCACATTAGATGAGCTATATATGGTCTGTCTGTTCTTCCTGCTGGGTTGACAAGGGACAAATTTTGGATTTTTTTTTTTTTGAGACAGAGTCTGGCTCTGTCGCCCAGGATGGAGTGCAGTGCTGCGATCTTGGCTCACTGCAACCTCCACCTCCCGGGTTCACGTCATTCTCCTGCCTCAGCCTCCCGAGTAGCTGGGCCTACAGGTGCCAGCCACCACGCCCAGCTAATTTTTTTGTATTTTTTTTAGTAGAGACGAGGTTTCATCGTGTTAGCCAGAATGGTCTCGATCTCCTGACCTTGTGATCCACCCGCCTTGGCCTCCCAAAGTGCTGGGATTGCAGGCGTGAGCCACCATGCCTGGCCGGATTTTTTAAACAAAAGACAGTCAACTAGATTGCAGATGTAAATGGACTGTAATAATGATATGACCCTAAAGAAAGATGAAAAACCTTTTGTTTTTTTTTTTTTAAGTAAAAGCAAATAGAATGAAAGTTGGATTGTTTTTCTTTTGCTGTGTTGTTTATTTGTAAATTTTTTTTTTTTTTTTTTTTTTAAGATAGAGTCTCACTCTTCACCCAGGCTAGAGTGCAGTGGCACGATCTTGGCTCACTGCAACCTCCACCTCCCAGGTTCAAGCGATTCTCCTGCCTCAGCCTCCCGAGTAGCTGGGATTACAGGCACCTGCCACCACGCCCAGCTAATTTTGTATTTTTAGTAGAGACAGGGTTTGACCCTGTTGGCCAGGCTAGTCTTGAACTCCTGACCTCAAGTGATCCGCCCGCCTTGGCCTCCCTAAGTGCTGGGATTACACGCATGAGCCACCATGCCTGGCTTATTTGTGCAATTAATAAACATTTCTGTTGCTTGGAGCAGGGAGGCAGTCAGCACCAGAAAAGGAGTGTTGCAGAGAAAAGTCTAGTCCTTTTGGTCCTGTAGTGACATGTAATTATGCCTTATTATACCTGGTAGGGAAGTTTTAGCTTGTGAAAAGTAGGTAAGTCATTATTAAGAAGCCAATGCATGACAAAATGTACCTCATGATTTTTCTTAATTACAGATATTTGTGTCATTTTAGAATGCACATGTTTGAGGAGGGAAAGGAGGCCTTTGAATTCACCTTGAAACGTGATTGCCTGGAGCTGAGAGGTGATTGGGTGTCAGCGATATTTTCTTGATTATCTTGGGGGCTGTTGGTTCTGGCCTCCTCCTGGCTCCCTTCCAGTCCAGCTGCTATCTCTCCACTCCCTGGGATGGGGCTCCATACCAAATGCTGCTTGGAGGCCCGAGGTACTGTCCTGGCCTTCAGGGAACCTGAGCTTTGGGTAGGTTATGCTGAAGAGCCTGTAGGCCATATGCACAGTTGGCTTATTTAGAAACTGTAGACATTTGTCTGTGTGAAGATTATCTGCTGTCAACACTGCTTTTGAGGCCATTATCACGTTCAGCTAGAAGACTTGCTTCTCTCCAAGAGTTTGAGCAGGTTGGGCACAGTGATTTACACCTGTAATCCCAGTGCTTTGGGAGGCTGAGGTAGGAGGATCACTTGAGACCAGGAGTTCGAGACCAGCCTGGGCAACACGGTGAAACTCAGCTCTACAAAAAATAAAAAAAAATCAGCCAGGCGTGGTGGTACATGCCTGTAGTCCCAGCTGCAGGGGAGGCTGAGGCAGGAGGATTGCTTGAGCCAAGGCTACCATGAGGTAGGGTCACATCATTGCATTCTAGCCTGGGCAATAGAGTGACACCCTGTGTCATAAAGAAAAGAGTCTGGGTGCCAGGAAAGACCTGTCCATTGGTCTAGAGTGATTTTGCTGCCTCTACATGTCTTACATGCCTCTACATGCCTCTACATGTCTTAACCTTGGTGTGAACTCCTCTAGCCTCTACAGACTAATGGATAGTATGTATCTTAGTCCATTCAGACGGCTATAACAAAATATCATAAACTGGATGGCTTCTGAGCATCAGAAATTTATTTCTCACAGTTCTAGAGGCTGGGAAGTCCAAGATCAAGACACTGCCAGATTTGATGTCTGGTAAGGGCCTGCTTCCTGGTTCACAGGATGGTACCTGTCACTGTGTGCTTTTGTGGTGGAAGGGGTCTAACTCTTTGGCGTCTCTTTTATAAGGGTGCTATTCCCAACCATGAAGAATGCCCTCATGACCTAATTACTTCCTAAAGGCACCATCTCCTAGTACCATTACCTTGGGGGTTAGGATTTCAACATAGGAATTTTTAGAGGGATGTAAACATTCAATTAATAATATTTTGCCCCTGCCCCCTGAAAATTAATGGCCTCCTTACATGCAAAATACACTCATTCCATCCTAATAGCCCCAATAGTATTAACTTGTTCCAGCACCAACTCAAGTGTCTGAAATCCAAAGTCTCATTTAAATATCATCTAAGTCAGATGTGTGTGATACTCAAGGTATGATTCATCCTTATGCAAATTCCCCTTCAGCTGTGAGCCTGTGAAATCAAGCTCTGTACACCCAAATCCAATGGTGAGACGGGCATAGGATGGACACTCCAATTCCAAAAGGTAGAAATTGGAAAGAAGAAAGGAGTAAAAGCTCCTGAGGAAGTCCAAAACCTTAAGGCTCAGGAATCATCATGTTTGGCTCATTACTCTGCCCTCCAGGCCCACTAGGGTGGAGGTTTCACCTCTCAGACACACTGGGGTGCCTCTGGACACATGGTGGTGGGGAGGGGGTTATGCCTCCTGCAGATCACCCAGGCCAGAATCTTGAGCTGGTGGCTCTACTGGTCTGGGGTCATGAGACAGTGCCACCCTCATGGCTCTGCTGGGCCCTGCCTCTGTGCAGTTCTTTGTCTGGGCCCCATGGCTCTCTAGGCATTGTTAGAAATCTAGGTGGAGGCAGCCACACCCCCTCACAGCTTTTCTGGTTGCAGTGCCAACTACACTGCACTGGGGCCCACAGGAGCCACCCTTGGGGCAGCCAAGGAGTGTGGTGACGGGGAGTGGGGAGCAGAGCCCACAATGTGAGGCAGGACTGGGCAGTGACAGCCCCTCCTTTGCATCTGCAATTGCTTTGTCCCCCAGGCCTTTGCACTCTGGCCTGTGATGATGGTGGCAGCAGAGAGGGTCAAAATATTCACAGTATTATAATGTTACATTACTTTTTCTCTGACTGAAAAGAACCAATTTTAATTGTAAAACATAACTAAAATCTCACCATCCAAAGATTACCACTGTTGACATTTGGTGTATATCTTTCCAGCCTTTCATTATTTTATGCACATTGAACACAAATAGTTTTCATGACTGAATTCTCTTTGTGATCACTCTTCCATTGTCTTGGACAGGAGGTCCTGGCTTCTGTTTAAACAGCTGACTAACCTTATCAGGTGGTTGGTTGGCCACATTCTTGATGTTCTCTCCTGAACAGGCTTTCTCATTCTTGATAGTATGGAAAGGCTGAGAGTTTTCCAAATCTTTAAGTTCTGCTTCCCTTTTGATTAACAATTTTGTCTTTAAATCACTTTTCTCCTCTGCTGTTTTACTATAAACAGTCAAGAGGAGCCAAGTTGCACCTTCAACACTTTGCTTAGAAATGGCTTTAGCTAAATATCCAATTTCATTACTCACAAATTCTGCCTTCCACAAAACACTAGGATACGAACACAATTCAGCCAAGTTCTTTGCTGGTTCATAACAGGATTGCTTTTCATTCAGTTTTCAATACCATGTTTCTCTTGTCTAAGAAATCATCAGATTGGCCTTTACCATGCACATTTCCACCAACATTCTGTTCACTACTGCTCAGCTATTCTTTAAGAATATTGAGGCTTTCTCTGCAGCTCTTCTCCTTTCCTTCTGAGCCCTTGCCAAAATTTCCCTTAAAGATCCATTTACAGCAATGTATACTGCTTAAAGCATGCACCTCCAAACTCTTCCAGCTTCTATCCATTACCCCTTCCACACTACTTGCATATTTTTGGGTATTTTGTTACAGCAGCACTCCCACTCTTGGTACTGATTTTCTGCCGTAGTCCATTTGAGCTGCTGTAACAAAATACTATAAACTGGTTGGCTTATAAGCCACATAAATGTATTGCTCACAGTTCTGGAGTCTGGGAATTCCATGATCAGTGAGTTGGCAGATTCAGTGTCTGGTGAGGGCCCGCTTCCTTGTTCATAGATTGGCACCTTCTCACTGTCTTCACACGGTAGAAGGAACTAGCTAACTCTCTGAGGTTTCCTTGATGACAGCACTAATCCTAATCATGAAGGGTCTGCTCTCATGACCTAATCACTTCTCAAAGGCCCCACCTCCTAGTACCGTCTCTTTGGGGGTTAGGATTTCAACATATGAATTTTAGTGGGGCACAAACATGCAGACCATAGCAGTGTGTTTGTAATCATGTCTTCTTTTGCTAGTGGTTATTAGGTCAAAATGAACTTGCTTTGGAGAGCTGGAAAAGGGTTGAAAATGAACCAAGAAGAACTCAGTACATAGCTACAAAAAAAATCTAAGAGTGAAGGGGGAAGGAAAGGAGAAATAAAAATTAGTCTAGCATAAAACATGGAGAAGAATACTCACTCATAGAGGATGCTGGGCTTCCTGGCAGAAGTTCTGATGCCAGGCATTTGGAGAAGCAGGATGAAGAAACAGAGGGGTCTTGAGTACATTTGCCTCTCTAACAGAGAGGGCCCAAATATTCACAACATTGTAAGATCACATTACTTTTTCTCTGATTTAAAAAAGAACCAATTTGGCTGGGTGTGATGGCTCACACCTGTAATCCTAGCGCTTTGGGAGGCCGAGGTGGGCGGATCACTGGAGGTCAGGAGTTTGAGACTAGCCTGGCCAATGTGGAGAAACCCCGTCTCTACTACAAATACAAAAAATAGCCAGGTGTGGTGGTACATGCCTGTAATTCCAGCTACTTGGGAGGCTAAGGCACAGAAATAGCTTGAACCCAGGGAGGCAGAGGTTGGGGTGAGCTGAGATTGTGCCACTGCACTCCAGCCTGGGTGACAGAGTGAAACTCTGTCTTAAAAAAAAAATCTTTTTAATTGTCAAAAATAACTAAACTCTCACCATCCAAAGATGACCACTTTTGACATTTGGTGTATATCTTTCCAGCTTTGGATTATTTTATGCACATTGAATAAAAGTAGTTTTCATGACCATACAATATTGAGGTACACACATGCATTTAACCAACACCCTAGTGTTGGACATTTGGGTTATTTCCTTTTAACTTCTCGTTTATTAAAACAAACGTGAATGATCTGGCAGGTAGGTGTTTCTGCACTGAGGATTTAGTGATTGACTGGCTTGTAACAGATCTGCTGCCATAGACTTCGTAGGGTCTCTCAGAGCATGCATGCTTGAGGTAAGGATTCAAATGAAAACCATCCTCAGTTTATGCCCAGAAAGGGGTCTGCCTGGGGTCACTAGTGCATCTGTAATTGCAGTTAGGTCTGATCAATACAAGTCTGCAAATATCCAAGGATACCCAATCTTGCTTCTTGGAGAACTCAAATTCTGCTTCCTGTGAACACTAACCAGATGAATTCTCCAAAGCAATTACTGTTGTTTCTTAACAGTGCAGATTGGTATGGCTGCATAAAATATCTTCCTGAAGTGACCTGAGGGAAACAAAAGGCAAAAGGGAAATTCCTGTTGTACCAATTTTTTCCTTTTTTTTTGAGACAGAGTCTCTGTCTGTCACCCAGGGTGGAGCGCAGTGGTACAGTCTCAGCTCATTGCAATTTCTGCCTCCCGGGTTAAAATGATTCTCCTGCCTCAGCCTCCTGGGTAGCTGGGATTACAGGTGTCTGCCACCACATTCAGCTAATTTTTGTATTTTTAATAGAGACAGGGTTTCACCATGTCGGCCAGGCTGGTCTTGAACTCCTGACCTCAGGTAATCTACCTGCCTCCACCTCCCAAGGTACTGGGATTATAGATGTGAGCCACCGTCCTCGGCCTAATTTACATTTTAAAAGTTAAAGCAACAAGCTTTTCTGGGCATAGTTAACCAAGCAGATGGCAAAAGGGAGAAAGCTGTTTGTGCAGATGATTGTAATGCCAATGAGCCGACCAAAATTTCTTAGCCTGGCTTCTTGTTGCGGGAGGACAGTTAGAGAGACTGGAAGAATGTATGTTAGAAAATGGAATAAAAATAAATCCCCTGCCGTGTAGCTCTCTCTTTCCCGCTGGGGGCAGTGCCTGCCACTCTCCTGGCTGCAGAGGGTCCCACAGCACCCTGATGATGGAGGAGAGAGAAGCTAAGGAGGTACCTCACGGAATGGGCCTTTATGTCATGAGCCCTGATAGTCAGATGCTAAATCAAGCTCATTTCCTCTACCGGCTAATGTGTGCAGATGCAGCTTGACATTTAGCATTAGTCTGTCCTCTGCATTTCAAGGGAGCTTTCAGTCTCATAAAATCTTGTCATTGTGAGATCCAGAAAACTTACTGTTCTCTCTAGTTTTTCTGTATTTATATTTGTTTAGTGGTATAAGGCTGAACGAAATTGAATTCACTTCAAATTTTCCAGCATGTTTATGAATTCTAGAATCTATGTGTTTTAAGTTACTGTGCATCTCTAAACAACAGGCAGTGAGGTGAGACCACAGAACTGGGCTTTAAAAATTTTCATCTGTGTTGTCCACTGTATTGAGTATGCCCTCAGTAGCTTCTATCTGTATCTATGAATAATCAAAACATCCCTCTCTTGCCTTTGGTGTTTGGCTCTGAGCTGTCTCCTAATGCTGCCCTGTAGCTGGTTGTCTGGGATGCCACATGGGAAGGATGGGAAGACACACATGGAGGCGGTTAATGATAGATATTAACTACCAAGTATCCAGTGCTTCTTGTATGCCTAAGTACTTCACATACTTCATCATATTTAATCACCACAACAATGTTTTTTACTTTAGGAGGAAACCCAGACTCGGAAAGGTTAAGTAACTTGCTCAGGATCACACAGCTGTGTAGTTTGTGGTAGAATTTGATCCTGATCCTCTGACTCTAAAGTCCATTTTTTAAAGAAGAAAATTCCTTTTACAACAACATCAAAAATAACAAAATATTTAGGACTAACTTTAATCAAAGAAGTACAAGACTTGTACACTGAGCACTACACACATTGCTGAAAGAAATTTAAAGAAGACCTGATAAATGGAAAAACAGCCCGAGTTTATGGAGTGAAACTCAATATTGTTTTGATGGCAAAGCTACCCGAAGTGACTTATTTTACTTTTGTTTTGTTTTGTTTTTTAGACAGTCTTGCTCTGTCACCCAGGCTAGAGTACAGTGGTGTGATCTTGGCTCACTGCAACCTCCGCCTCCCAGGTTCAAGCAATTCTCCTGCCTCAGCCTCCTGAGTAGCTGGGATTACAGGCATGTGCCACCCCATGCCCAGCTAGTTTTTGTAGTTTTAGTAGAGATGGGGTTTCACCATATTGGCCAGGCTGGTCTCGAACTCCTGACCTCAGGTGATCTGCCCACCTGGGCCTCCCAAAGTCCTGGGATTCTAGGTGTGAGCCACCATGCCCCACCTTATTTTACATTTTCTAAAGTCTGTATTCTTAACTGTTATGCTCTGCTGCCTACTAAGCAAGAGACTTGTTCCACATACTGTCTGCCATGTTTCAAAAAACAACTTAGGGTGAAATGACATGCCCACACATCATTTTCCCTTGCTCTCAGCCCATCTTTTTCTCTTTCTCTTCTACCAGTCCTGTGTCTCTTGTTGACTGGGACCTGCTTTTGCCAGCCTCAGACATGAGTAGGTGATGGAGGAATTCAGGCAGGGTGGCACCTGTAGCCCGAAACTCCAAATTCCCAGTGGGGAAAATACACTGAGTGCTGCCCTCCCCGCTTGGGTTTTTCCAGGGCTGATGCTGGAGTGGAGGGATCAGTGCAGAACGTGTCTTTGGCTCTTGGCACTAGGCTAGCTTGTTGACCCCCAACCCCCATTCTTATTTTGAGACAAATGTTCAAGCTGAAATACGATTCTTCCAACCAAGAACATTGAGTGTTCCCAAGACAAACCAAACCAACCCTCTGTCAGCTGGCATAGCAATAATATTTGTGGGAAGTTTATGAAAAATCTTATCTAAGGGACTGTTTTAGGAATCAAGGCACCATCGAATGACCTCTTTTGTTTCCACTTTAGATGCAGCAGCAGGAGCATGACTCCCTGAAGGCCAGCCTGTGTGTCCTGGCCCTGGGGCTGGGCCGCCTTCTTTGCTGGTGGTGGCTGGCCGAGCTGATGGCTCACCTGATGTACATGCATGCCATCTACAGCAGCATCCCCCTCCTGGAGACTGTCTCTTGTTGGACCTTAGGTAATTGTGGGAATCACCAACAGTGGGATGAGCCCCAATAGTCCAACAGTTAGCATCAGAATGGAGCTGGAGTGGGGGGTGAGCAGGGGTGCAGGTGCCTATAGCAAACCCTCTTTATTATTATTTTTTAACCTACTCCTCTTGTGGCCAAGATTGTGCATGTGAGAAGTGGTTGATGTAGCTGACGGAAGTGAGGGCTGTGCTTGTAGTCTGGGGACCAAGAATGGTGGCATTCTTCTCTGTAATGGGAT
This sequence comes from Homo sapiens, assembly GCF_000001405.40. NCBI lineage: Eukaryota > Metazoa > Chordata > Mammalia > Primates > Hominidae > Homo > Homo sapiens. Next base: position 198,319 of record NW_011332687.1, read on the forward strand.
CCTACTGACCTTAGCTGGGTCCACATCTTCACAGCGTAGCCAATATTGTGTTTAGCAGTAGAAGGCAGGAGTTGCTGGGGGCAGCTTTGAGTTCATTCTAAGAGAGAATGCTCCAAGATTGAGTTGTTCCACAGTCTTCCTTGTTCTTTGTGCATAAGGTATTAAAGAATATGAGGCTGGGTGTGGTGGCTCATGCCTGTAATCCAAGCACTTTGGGAGGCTGAAGCGGGCAGATCACTTGAGGTCAGGAGTTTGAGACCAGCCTGGCCAAGAAGGTGAAATCATGTCTCTACTAAAAATACAAAAATTAGCTGGGTGTGGTGAGAGACACCTGTAATCCCAGCTACTCGAGAGGCTGAGGCAGGAGAATCACTTGAATCTGGGAGGCGGAGGTTGCAGTAAGCCAAGATCATGCCACCACACTCCAGCCTGGGTGACAAAGCATGACTCTGTCTCAAAAAAAGAATGAGTTTCAGGATCACACAGCCATAGGTTTGAGTTTCAGCTTCACCAATGACTGGTGTGTAACCTTGGCAGTTTACTTAACCTCTCGGTTCCAGCACCCTCATCTGTAAAATAGGGAGACTTAGCTTTGTGGAATAATAGGAGGATATTAGGCAGCGCTGCACATTGAGGGTGTACCTTGTACACTGTCTTGGGATAGAATAAATGGCGTGTGTGTATTTCCCTCTGTAGATCCCCTTTCCTTATCTACCCTTTCCTGTGTGTCTGCCAGGGAGGTGGCATGGAAGTCTTACTTCCTCAGCAGGGCTAGTCTCCAGTATAGGATTTGTCTGTGGAGAAACCACTGTTCTTTTATTCCTCTGGCCAAAACAGCAGAGCCCACGCCCTTTTCTGAATAAAATCTCTTCACTTCCTTGTTCTCTCTCCTTTTGAGGACTCCCGCAGTGGCTGACTTCTGCCTGTGCTCTGACCTCCAGCCTGTAGCTCCAATAACTGTGTGATCCTCCAGGCAGATCAAGCTGTTCCCTGCTGAGGGCAAGAGTACAAGCCTGACTCCTTCTTTATCTGTTTAACATTTCATAGATCTTCTTAAACAAATCTTGATTGTTCTTGGTATCACACGTACTTAATCAGAATGTTTCCAAGGACGAAACCTTTAAGATTGAAAAAATGCTAAGCTAGTTTAATGATAGTCTCTTTCTTCCAAACAAAACTTTTTATAGTTTGGAGTTGCTAATATTGTAAAGTTTTAATGATACAATTAGACAAACAGAATATGATTAAATGATAGCTTATACTAAGTCAGATCCCAGTTGTATGGGATACAAACTAAGGGACTGTTTCAGCTTGAGGGTTTTTAAACTAAAAGTAATGGAAGACACAACTCAAAATGGGGCTTAAACAATAAGGAAGTTATTCCATATAACAATGATACTTAAGATCGGCACTAGGGGTAGTAAATTATGTGACTCTGATGTCACCAACACACCTTTTGTGTGTCCACCATTCAGCTTAAGAACTAACCAGAATCGTAGAAGCCCTTAGTTTGTACTCGTAATCCCATCAGCCTCTATTACCCTCTCTGAAAAGATTACCTGAATATTGTATTTATCCTTTTCTTCTTTTTCTTTGTACTTTTACCACAGTTAAATCCTTAAAATTGCATATGTTAACACCTCGTCGTATGAATAGATTCATGCTTGTTATGTATGTTCTGTGACTTGGTTTTCTTGTTTAACATTATGTTTTTGAGAAGCATTCATGTTAAGACATGTAACTAGGTAGCACTTATTTTCACTGCTGTATGGCATTCCAGTGTATCCATATACAAGAAGTTATTTGTCCGTTCTACATATACGAGGACACTTGAGTTTTTTACAGGGTTTTGCTATTCCATATAATGCCATTTCTGTGTCTCTTGGAGCTCATGTGTAAGGGTTTCCCTGTAGGGCCATAACTTTCAAACTCTTTGGCACATTACCCACAGTAAGAAATACATTTTGCCCTAATGCTAAATAACGAGTTGATGGGTTCAGCCCACCAGCATGGCACATGTATACATATGTAGCTAACCTGCACATTGTGCACATGTACCCTAAAACTTAAAGTATAATAATAATAAAATTTAAAAAAACAAAAAAAAAAACAAAGAAATACATTTTGCATTACAGGTGTGTGCATGAGTGTATGCATGTCTCTGTGTGTGTGTAAACTCTCACAAAGCCATACTTTACCTTGAACCACCTGCAATGAATACTGACTGATATTTTCGGTTCCATATTATTCTATTTTAAAATATTGGAATATTTTAAAATATTTGAATCTCTGAATTGGGTGAGTCACTATCCAGAGTTTGTCAAGCATTGTTCAAATATATATGTATTCTGAAATAAGTATTGTGGGCAGTATATTTGTTCAGATTTATAAGAAAAATTATTTTTTAATTTGGCGAAACCAATTTATGCTCTTCTCGGCAGTGTGTTTCCATTGCTTGAAATTCTCACCAACACTTGATACTACTCAAAGCAATTTATAGATTTAATACAATCCCTATCAAAGTACCAGTGACATTCTGCACAGAAATAGAAAAAAACCCCTAAAATTTGTGTGGAACCACAAAAGATCCTGAATAGCCAAAGCAATCTGAGCAAAAAGAACAAAGCTGGAGTCAGAACACTGCCAGACCTCAAAATATACTACAAAGCTGTAGTAACCAAAACATCATGGTACTGGCATAAAAACAGGCACATAGATCAATATAAAAAAATAGAGAACCCAGAAATTCACGTATCTTTTAATTTTGAAAATCTGGTGGGTGTGAATTTTATCTCATAGTTTTAATTTGCCTTTCCTTGGCTACTAATAAGTTTGAGCATCTTTTCATAGGCTTAAAGGACTTTGGTATATCATTTCTTAATTATTTTTGAGACAGTCCCACTCTGTCACCCAGGCTGAAGTACAGTGGGGCGATCTCAACTCACTGCAACCTCCACCTCCTGAGTTGAAGCAATTCTATGCCTCAGCCTCCCAAGTAGCTGGGATTACAGGCATGCACCACCGTGCCCAGCTAATTTTTGTATTTTTAGTAGAGACGGGGTTTCACCATGTTGGCCAGGCTGGTCTTGAACTCCTGACCTCAAGTGATCCACCCACCTCGGCCTCCCAAATTGCTGGGATTACAGCTATGAGCCACTGTGCCTGGCCTGGTATATAATTTCTAATGAAATAACTGTTAACTTTTGCCCATTTTTCTAATGGGATTTCTGTCTTTTTCTTGTGGATTCATAAAATTTATATTATTTAAAAAAAGTCATATGTGTAGTTGCAAATATTGACATCTTTTGGTTTGTGGTTTGACTTCTAATGTTTTTATGTTGTTTTTTTGACAGCATAAAAGGGTTTATTTTAATGTAGTTGCATTTAGTCATTTTTATTTATCATTTTTACTTTTTTGGGTCTTTCAAAAATAATTATCTCCTACTCCAAGATGATAAAAATATTCTCCACTTTCTTCTAAAGCTTTTAAAGTTAAAAAAATCTTTAGTTATTGTGTACATTTGCATCATAGACTGATAAAATATAAACCATTCAAAATAATTTTTTAAATTGACAAATAATAATTGTACATACTCATGGGGTGCGTAGTGATGTTTTGATACATACAATGTATGGTGATCAGATCAGGGTAATTAGCATATCCATCATCACAAATAGTTATCATTTCTTTGTGTTGGGAACATTCAGTATTTTCCTTCTAGCTATTTGAAACTATGTAATATATTATTAACTCTAGTCATCCTACAGTACTATAGAACACTTGAACTTATTCTACCTATTGTAATTTTGTATCTTTTAACAAATCTCTCCCTATCCCTCCCTTTCCAGCTTCTAGTATTTTATCTTCTGTTTTTTCACTTCTGTATGAACATTTATTAGCTTCCACCTATGAGTGAGAACATGTGGTGTTAACTTTCTGTTTCTAGCTTATTTCACTTAACAGAATGTACCCCAGTTCCATCTTTGTTGCCTCAAACAACAAAATTTCATTCTTTTTTATGGTGGCATGGTATTCCATGGTGTAAAAATACCACATTTTCTTTTTTTTCTTTTTTTTTGAGACGGAGTCTCGCTCCATCGCCCAGGCTGGAGTGCAGTGGCATGACCTCGGCTTACTGCAACCTCTGCCTCTTGGTTTCAAGTATTCTCTTACCTCAGCCTCCTGAGTAGCTGGGATTACAGGTGCCCACCACCACACCTGGTTAATTTTTATATTTTTAGTAGAGACGGGGTTTCACCACGTTGGCCAGGCTGGTCTCGAACTCCTGACCTAAAGTGATCTGCCCACCTCAGCCTCCCAAAGTGCTGGGATTATAGGCAGGAGCCACCATGCCCAGCTTTAAATACCACATTTTCTTTATCCATTTATCTGTTGTTGGACACCTAGGTTGATTACATATCTTGGCTGTTGTGAATAGTGCTACAGTAAACATGGGGTATAGATGTCTCTTGAATATAATGATCTCCTTTTCGTTGGATAAATTCACAGTACTGGGATTGCTGGATCATATGGTAGTTCTATTTGTAGTTTTTTGAAGGACTTCCATACTGTTCCCCATAGCGGCTATACTAGTTTGCATTCCCACCAACAATGTGTAAGAATTTACTTTTCTCTTCATCCTCATCACCATTTGTTATTTTTTTGGCCACTTTCATAATAGTCATCCTAACTCTGGGGTGAGATGATATCCCATTGTGGCTCTGATTTGCATTTCCCTCATGATTAGTGATATTGAGCTTTTCACATATTTATTGACCATTTCTTTTGAGAAAATATCTGTTCAGATCATTAGCCCATTTTTAAATCAGATTGTTTAGTTTGCTGTTGAGATGTCTGAGTTCCTTGTATATTCTGGATATTAATCACCTGTTGGATAAGTAGTTTGCAAATATTTTCTCCTATTCTGTAAGTTGTCTTTTCACTCTGTTGTTTCCTTTTCTTTGCAGAAGCTTTTTAGTTTGATATATCCCATTTGTTTATTTTTGCTTTTGTTGCCTGTGCTTTAGAAGTCTTATTTATAAAACCTTTCCCTGACCAATGTCCTGACGGATTCTCCTAATGCTTTCTTCTAGTATTTTTATTGCTTCAGGTATACACATAGGTCTTTGATCCATTTTGAGGGTGAGAGGTGGGGGTCTGGTTCCATTCTTCTGCATATGGGTATCCAGTTTTCTCAGTACCATTTGTTGAACAGATTGTCCTTTCCTTAATGAGTGTTTTTGGCATCTTTGTCAAAAATCAGTTGGCTGTAGATATGTGGATTAATTTCTGGATTCTCTATTCTTTTATATTGATCTACATGCCTGTTTCTATGCATGTACCATGCTGTTTTGGTTACTACAGTTTTGTAGTATATTTTGAGGTCTGGCAGTGTTCTGACTCCAGCTTTGTACTTTTTGCTCAGAATTGCTTTGGCTGGTCAGGATCTTTTGTGGTTCCACACAATTTTTAGGTTTTTTTCTTCTATTTCTGTGAAGAATGTTACTGGTATTTTGATAGGAATTGTATTAAATCTATCAATTGCTTTGAGTAGTATTGTCATTTTAACAATATTCTTTCAATCCATGAGCATGGGTTGTTTTTCCATTTCTTTGTATCCTCTTCAGTGTTCGTATTTCTTTCGTCAGCGTTTTGCAGTTTTCCTTGTGAAGGTCTTCACCTCCTTAGTTATTTCACATTTTTTTAGCTATTAGAAATGGGATTGCCTTCTTGATTTCTTTAGTTCACTGTTGGTGTATAGAAATGATACTGATTTTTGTATAATTGTACCCTGCAACTTTACTGGATTTGTTTATCAATTCAAATAGTTTTTTTGGTAGAGTCTTTAGGTTTTTTTTCTTTTTTTTTAACTCTCTGTGTTCAGGGGTACGTGTGCAAGTTTATTACATAGGTAAATTTGTGCCATGGGTTTTTTTTTTTTTGTACAGATTATTTCATCACCCAGCTATTAAGCTGAGTACTCATTAGTTATTTTTCCTGATCTTTTCCCTCCTCCCACCCTCCACCCCGTGATAGGCCCCAGTGCATGTTGTTCCCTTCTATGCCTCCAGCTCCAACCATGTCCCTGCAAAGGACATGATATTGTTCTTTTTTATGGCTGCATAGTATTCCATGGTGTATATGTACCACATTTTCTTTATCCAGGCTATCATTGATGGGCATTTAGGTTGATTCCATGTTTTTGCTATTGTGAATAGTGTTGCAATGAACATACGCGAGTGTGTCTTTGTAACAGCACTATTTATATTCCTCTCAGTATATACCCAGTAATGGGATTGCTGGGTCAAATGGTATTTCTGTCTTTAGGTCTTTCAGGAATTGCCACACTGTCTTCTATAATGGTTGAACTAATTTACACTCTTACCAACAGTGTATAAGTGTTCCTTTTTCTCCACAACCTGGCCAGCATCTGTTATTTTTGGACTTTTTAATAACAGCCATTCTGACTGGTATGAGATAGGATCTCATTGTGGTTTTGATTTGCATTTCTCTAATGAGCAGTGATGCTGAGCTTTTTTTTCCCCACATGATTCTTGGCCACATGTATGTCTTCTTTTGGAAAGTCTGTTTATGTCCTTTGCCCATTACTTAATGAGATTGTTTATTTTTTTCCTTGTACATTTAAGTTCTTTGAGATGCTAGACATTAGACCTTTGTCAGATGCATAGTTTGCAAAAATTTTCTCCCATTTTGTAGGTTGTCTGTTTACTCTGTTGATAGTTTGTTTTGCTGTGCAGAAGCTCTTTAATTAGATCCCATTTGTCAATTTTGCTTTTGTTGCAATTGCTTTTGTCCTCTTCGTCATGAAGTCTTTGTCCATGCCTGTGTCCCAAATGGTATTGCCTAGATTGTCTTCCAGGATTTTTATAGTTTTGGGTTTTACATTTATGTCTTTAATCGATCTTGGGTTAATTTTTGTATGTGCTATAAAGAAGGGGTCCAGTTTTAGTCTTCTGCATGTGGCTAGCCGGTTACCCAGCACCATTTATTGAGGAGGGAATTATTTCCCCATTGCTTGTTTTTGCCAGGTGTGTTGAAGTTCATATAGTTGTACATGTGTGGCCTTATTTCTGGGTTCTCTATTCTGTTTTGTCAGTCTATGTGTCGGTTTCTGTATCAGTATCATGCTGTTTTGGTTACTATAGCCCTTTAGTGTTATTTGAAGTTGGGTAGCATGATGCCTCCAGCTTTGTTCTTTTTGCTTAGGATTGCCTTGGATATATGGGCTCTTCTTTGGTTCCATATGAATTTTAAAATAATTTTTTTCTAGTTCTGTGAAGAATGTCAATGGTAGTTTGATAGGAATAGCATTGAACCTATAAATTGCTTTGAGCAGTATGGCCATTTTCACAATATTGATTCTTCCCATCCATGAGCATGGAATGTTCTTCCATTTGTTTTGTATCATCTCTGGTTTCTTTGAGCAGTGGGTTGTAGTTATACTTGTAGCTATCTTTCACTTCCCTAGTTAGCTGCATTGCTAGGTATTTTATTCCTTTTGTGGCAGTTGTGAATGGTAATTTGTTGCTGATTTGGCTCTCAGCTTGACTGCTGTTGGCATATAGGTATGCTAGTGATTTTTGCACATTGATTTTGTATCCTGAGACTTTGCTGAAGTTGTTTATCAGCTTATGAAGCTTTTGGGCTGAGACGATGGCATTTTCTCAACATCGATAATGTTACCTATAAACGGGTAGTTTTACTTCTTCTCTTCCTATTTGGATACACTTTATTTCTTTCTCTTGCCTGATTGCCCCAGCCAGAACTTCCAATACTATGTTGAATAGGAGTGGTAAGAGAGGGCATCCTTATCTTGTACCAGTTTTCAAGAGGAATGCTTCCAGCATTCGCCTATTCAGTATGATGTTGGCTGTGGGTTTGTCATAGATGGCTTTTATTATTTTGAGGTATGTTCCTTTAATATCTAGTTTATTGAGAGTGTTTAACCATGAATGGATGCTGTATTTTATTGAAAGCTTTTTCTGCATCTATTGAGATAATCATGTGGTTTTTGTCTTTAGTTCTGTTTTTGTAATGAATTACATTTATTGATTTGCATATGTTGAGTCAACCTTGCATCCCAGGGATAAAGCCTACTTGATTGTGGTGGATAAGCTTTTTAGTGTGGTGGTGGATTCAGTTTGCCAGTATTTTGTTGAGTATTTTTGCATTGATGTGCACAAGGATATTGGCCTGAAGTTTTCTTTTGTTGTGTCTCTGCCAGGTTTTGGCATCAGGATGATGCTGGCCTCATAGAATGAATTAGGTAGGAATCTCTCCTTCTCAGTTTTTTGGAATAGTTTCAGTAGGAATGGTGCCAGCTCTTTTTTGTACATCTGGTAGAATTCAGCTGTGAATCCATCTGGTCCTGGGCTTTTTTTGGTTGGTAAGTTATTTATTACTGCCTCAATTTCAGAGCTTCTTATTGGTCTGTTCAGGAATTCAGTTCTTTTCCTGGTTCAGTCTTCGGAGGGTGTATGTGTCCTGGAAATGATAACTTTCTTCTAGATTTTCTAGTTTGACATATTAATAATATTCTCTGATGGTTGTTTGTAATTCTGTGGGGTCAGTGGTAATATCCCCCTTGTTTCTTATTGTGTTCATTTGAATCTTCTCTCTTTATTAGTCTAGTTAGTGGTCTATTTTATTAATTTTTTTTTAAACCAATTCCTGGATTCACTGACATTTCAAGTCTCTAATCCTTTCAGTTCAGCTCTGATTTTGTTTATTTCTTGTCTTCTGCTAGCTTTGGGATTGGTTTGTTCTTGGTTCTCTAGTTCTTTTACTTTTGATGTTAGGTTATTAACTTGAGATCTTTCTAACTTTTTGTTGTAGGTGTTTAGTGCTATAACTTTCCCTCTTAACATTGCCTTAGCCGTGTCCCAGAGACTGTGGTATGTTGTATTTTTATTCTGGTTAGTTTGAAAGAACTTGCTAATTTTTGCCTTAATTTCATCATTTACCCAAAAGTCATTCAGGAGCAGGTCATTCAATTTCCATGTAATTATATGGTTTTGAGTGAATTTCTTAGCCTTGATTAGTAATTTGATAGTGCTGTGGTCCAAGAGACTATGTTATGATTTCAGTTCTTTTGCATTTGCTGAGGAGTGTTTTCTGATTATGTGATCAATTTTAGAGTATGTGCCATGTGATGATGAGAAGAATGTATATTCTGTTGTTTTTGGGCGGAAAGTTCTGCAGACATCTATCAGGTCCATTTGATGTAGTGCTGAGTTCAGGTCCTAAATGTCTTTAATTTTCTGTCTAGATGATCTGTCTAATATTGTCGGTGGTGTGTTAAAGTCTCCCCTTATTGTGGGGGAGTCTAAGTCTCTCTGAAAGTCTCTAAGAACTTGTTTTATGAATCTGGGTGCTCCTGTGTTGGGTGCATATATATTTAGGACAGTTAGATTTTCTTGCTGAGTTGAATCCTTTACCATAATGTAATGCCCTTCATTGTCTTTTTTGAACTTCGTTGGTTTAAAGTCTGTTTTGTCAGAAATTAGGATTACAATCCCTGATTTTTTCTGTTTTGCATTTCCGTCCATCCACAGTTTTACAATGGAAGCATTGTATTGTCTATCCAGAGATCAGTACTGATAAACTCTCAATACTTGTCCTTCCACATCATTTTTTTCCTATAGTTCTTTATACACACATTTATGTTTTCCCCCAAATGAGCTTATACTATATATATATATATATATATATATATATATATATATATATATATATATATATATATATAATTTTGTAGTCTAAGATTCATTTTAGTTAAATGATCTCTATCCTTTCACATTACTAAATTTTCGTTCTTGTTTGATACCCAGACAGTAATCATATTTTACTAAGGTCCTTTATATCTGCTTTGGCCAAGCTGGTATCCAATCTAGGACTACACATTGGATCTAGTTGTTTTGTTCCTTAAGACTGTCTTATTTAGCACCATCCTTTTTTATGACACCAGCTTGTTGAAGGGACCAGGCCAGTTGTCTTACAGAACGTTCTATCACCTGGCTTCTTATAATGTCATTTAGCATATTCCTTTATCCCTTCTGTTTCTTATAAACTAAAAGTTAAATCAAAAACCTTCGTGGGCCAGGTGTGGTGGCTCATGCCTATAATCCCAGCACTTTGGAAGGCTAAGGCGAGTGGATGGCTTGAGTCCAGGAGTTTGAGACCAGCCTGGGCAAGATGGCAAAACCCCATCTCTACAGAAAATACAAAAATTAGCCAGGGTGGTAGTGCGTGCCAGTAGTGCCAGCTACTCAGGAGGCTGAGATGGGTGAATCACTTGAGCCCAGGAGGTCAAGGCTGTGGTGAGCTATGATCGCACCACTGCACTCTAGCAGCCTGGGCAACAGAGTGAGACTCTGTCCCTCGCTTCCCCTCCGCACCCACCTCGCTCCGGCAAAAGACAAAGCTTCATAGATTAAAGAGGTTAATTATTTTTAGCTACAATACCTATCATATCACCTATGAAGTCATAAGATGATACTTAAACTTTTCCCCAATTCTTATGAGAAATTTTAAATATCTAGAATGTTTGAAGGAATTATATAACAAACACAATGGATCTACCATGTAGATCCAACAGTTGTTAATTTTTGCCCCCGAGTAACATTCTCCTACCTAACTACAATTACATATCACACTTGATAATAGTACTTTTCTAATATCTAATATCTAGTCTGTCTTCACATTTTCCTAGTTGTCTCCAAATATATTTTAAAGCTATTTTGTCAACCCAGAATCAGCCAAATGCGTCATTTGGTTTCATGTCTATTAGTCTACTTCGATCTAGAATAGTTCAACCATGTTTTAAAATGATATGACTTTTTGAGGAGTCCAGACTTATTGTCTTATAGAATGTCCCACACACTGGATTTGACTTTTTAAAATTGCGTTATTCTTAAATTTGTTCTTCTATCCCATCTGTTTCTGTAAACTGAAAGTTAGATCTAGATCCTCTAGAGTCCTGATTTAATAAAACAATTTTTTTTTTTGCAAAAATAACTTCATATAGAATGCCGTATGCTTCATATTGTATCTGTGGGATGCGTATAATGTCAGGTGGTCCCCCCTGTTTGCATTGCTAAGTCAAATCACTTGCGTATGGTGGTGGTGCCAGATCTCTCCCTTGTAAAGGTACATTTATCCCTTTGCAATTAGCAAGCAACATGTGAGGTGTTAATTCAGTGCTATCTGAATATCTTCTTCCCCAATAACCTGGAAAATAGTGAATAGTTTTAGCATTTTTTGGTGAAACTTGCTTGAATCAGTTTTTTGAGTGGGAGTTTGAAATGCTGATTTTCCAAATCTATCATTATGCTTGCATTTGATAGGTGGCATTCTTCTGTAAAGAAGACTTTTCCATCATAAACTGGAGCTGAATACAGTTTATCATAAAAAGCCAGGGCAAATGTGTAATCGTTCCTCTTTAAACATCATTTTATAGAATAAGGAGTTCAGTGAAATATTTTCCTTCAATAGTAGTGTCAAATAATTTTATATTTTACAATTCAATGTAGTAATTTTCCTTTTGGATGCTAAAATTGTCCCAAATTTGGTCAAGCTAGCTTCTGTGTTCTCTTGATGAGCCTTTATTTGCCTCTGTTTCCTTAGTTTCTGGAACTGAAAGATATCCCAGTGCTTACCTTATATTTTCCTTAGCCCTGTATTGGAATCAGCCAAATCTTCAAAGCAGCCTTGATTCCTTTTAGTGGGGGAATTATATTTAGGAGCCAAGATCCGAGTCTGTCCATTACTACAGGGTTGTTATTGTTCGGAGGCCTGAACATTTCCAGTGAGTAGACCTGGGGAATATGGTTTTATAAAAACATGAGTTTTATAAAATGTGAGTTCATACTGAGATTTTAAATTCAGATTTAACATTACTATGTTTTTTCTTAGCAACTTTGATTTTATACTTGTGCCTTTTCTCTACATTAATGAAGATCATAGTTTCTAATTACATGAGCGTATTATTTGTGGTGACACTATGAGTAGTTTCAAAATTATAATGCTCAACATTTTGACAAAAAATCACTGAATGACAGTTAAGAATCATTTCAGTTCTTTTTTCTCTTAGGGTGGAGGTATACTGAGTGCTCTGTATTCAAAAGCCATTTGAAATAATGCTTTTTAATGTGTGTTCATATTACTGATTTGATATTTGGTTAAATTCTTCTAATTTTGAATTTGCTTTTTGTCTTTTTGATTTATCAGTCCTATTTTTTATATTTACAAGTTCTCTTTGATGCTTTTGTATCTGTGAGGTCTTATAGTTTCTTTTCCTTGCATATTCTTTCAAGTTTACTTATGTTTTCAAACATGATAAACATATTTATCTTACATTCTATAGCTGGTAATTCTACATCTGCAATCTTTGTTAGTCTGATTATCCATTTTACTTCTGTCAGTTCTCACCCATATTTTGGGATGTTTGATTGTGAGCCCATGTTAATTGCTGCTTTGTCCTTGGGAATTCTTTGGTGTCTGTGTTTGGAATACATTCATCCAGAGAATATTTAGGTTTATTTCTGCCAGGTGCTTGGAGTTGTTACCAACGTGGTGCTGCTTAAATTTCTGGCTTGGGGTTTTGAGGGGACACACAGGCAATGGGAATTTTGGGCTTTGGAAATCTGGATTTATGTGGGCTGTCACTCTAACCTCCTATGTGTATGGGCTCCCAGGACTGCCACCTGTCCCCACATGTGGCTTGTGAAAAGCAAAGCCTAGGTCTTTGCAGCCTGGCAGGTTCTACCAGGGTAAAGACATGCACGACCGCTCGCCCATTTTTCTGCTCTTGCTTTATATATATATTTTTGGTCTCCAAGGACTTTTCCAAACAGCTCAAGTATATATTTGAAAAAGATGCTTTCACATATTTCATTTAGCATTTCTTAGGTGTTCTCCATTGGCATGATTTTCAAGATGGGACAGTCTGTTATATTGCCAGAAATGGAAATTCCACTATACCTGTTTTTAAGAAGGAAGAAATCTCACAAGAAGCATCTCCAGCAGCTTCCCCCTTTATGTACCTTGTGGCCATAACTGCATCATCTGGGTCATATGGCCATATTATAATCATCCCATGATTAGTTGTAACCAGGAATTTCTTCCAGGTTACTATGGGGAAGAGGTTGGACACGGGAATGAAATTCCCTTTCCAATGGCAAGGACTGGGGGAAGAGAGTTGTTTGGGAGGCAGCCAGTACTTTGTATTAGAGCAACTACTTCTGAATACAAAGTAGCAGTGTAGTGTTTCAAATTGGAAAATTTGAAAAGTAGTATAATAGGCAGCCAAGAAAATAGAAGATTTAAATGTTATAATTGTTTTATTCGACTCTTAAAACAATTAATTTGAGGCTTATGATTTGTAGAGTGACCAAATATCCCATTTTGCAGTCCTATTCTATATCTGTTTTCCTGATATCATTATTAATAGTTTCTTTCATTCTCAAAAGTGTCCCTGAAAAGTGAGCATCCATGGATTTTGGTATCTGTAGGGGTTCTGGGAACCAATTTCCCAGGGATGCGACTGGAGCTCAGGAGTGAGATTGGCAATGGAGACAGGTACGTGGGAACTGTTGCACACATGTGATAACTGAGGCCACAGGAGTAAAAGGACTTCCTTGAAAAATGTGTAGAATGAGAATAAAGGAGGGCCAAGTATAGAACTTTAGAGAATGTTAAAATTTAAGAGGTGAGCCGGAAAAGGAGTCAGTAACGAATGAGAAGGAATGTTAATAAACAAAGGAGGAAGCCAGTGGTTTTGTGAAGGTTGCAAGAAGAAAGCTCAATTTATCAGAGGTTGAAAAGAGGCTGCGTAAGAGGGGATTTAAGAGAGTCTTTCATTTTGGCAAATGGGAGGTCATAATTGACTTTGGTCATGGTTGACGTTGTTCATTTTGGGGGACTAAAGACCAGGGCTACAGAATAAATCAAAGGTGAAAAAATAGAGGCAGAAGCTAATATGCTGCTTTAGTTGTGTTAAATGATGACTTAACTGCCACGTAGTCTTAGATGGCCTTGCTATCACATAGCCCAGTGGGTCCTGACTGCATCTTTTTACCTTCTGGTGGACCTGCCATTTCCAGGCTGCTCCTCAGGGTCTCCGTCTCTCCAGGCTGCCATGATGTGGAGTATAGCATGGCAAACATCCCCTTTCTTTCCAGCACATGGGCACCTTCAGCTTCAAGGTTTTGGTGCTAATCCTTCTTGAGATGTTTCAGAAAGATAAAATAAGCATAAGGGGGTTATAAGGTTTGCAGAAGGCATGTGAGCTTTGGGCCCTGGTGGCAGCCTCTGATTTCCTTCTGAACTAATACAGAGATACTGTAATTTTTTTATTCTGTCACTTTTAACCTCTCGATGGCAGGGCTCTCATTCCACTAAGGCCCTTTTTTCCATCCAAAAGTTGCGGTTAAGTGTGAGACAGCAGCACAGACAGTAAAAGATGTCTCTTTGTCTTACATGGAAGAAGATATACAACAGATCCTTCATCTCTAAATCTCAGGACTGGGTAACATTCTACCCTGTCCAGGAATGACCCCCTCTGAACACCCCAAGCTGAGTGAGAGCTGCTTTAGAGATGCGCCTATACCACTGCCTCTGGGGTCTTTCTCCTGCAGCACTCACAGCGCAGGTGCTTAATGAGTACTTCACTTGCAGGTTCAGGTGAAGTAAAATTTCACAGGGACTCTGCCTGGCAGTTGACATCAGATTGGTGTTAGTGTGAGCAGCCAGATATCCAGATGAGTGATTGATACAAGATTTTGCATAAGGCAGCAAAGGGAAATCATGCGTCGTACATTATTGCTCCAAAAAGGGATCGCTGCAAGTTAACAGAAATAGAGAATATAAATAGAGGTTGTTTCTCGTGGGATTGATTTGATGTGGTTAATCAAAGGAGAGAAATATTCACATACTCCATGGAAGGTGTTTAATCCTCTCCTGGTGGGGGTGGAAAAAAAACAGTGGTGGCTGCTTGTCTGTCAGGGCTCCGTTGCTACTCCCTGGGATTGAGAGGACATTGGGAGCTCCATGGCAACAGGGTGACATTTGTTTTTCTTTCATTTCCCTTAATCCTCTCCTGGAGATATCAAACTAAAATTTTCTTCCCATTTATTTTTCTCTCTTTTCAGGGTGATGTTGATGATGATTATTAATTTTAACCTTCTCCTTCAATTTCTAGTGAGAGTTAGAGCTGCTGTAATCAGGCTCTCAGGTGGAGGCCAGGCTCCAGGAAGATCTTCCTGAGCACTGCCTGGGCAGGGCATTGGGCTGTGGATGTTGTCCACACCAGCGTTGTACCAGTCTACATGGGGTTACCTCTGCCCCCACTGTGGCTGGCCCAGCACCTGCATTAGACATATCTTACTGGAAGGATAGAACTTTAGAGAACACTGATATTTGACAGGTAGATAGAAAAAGAGGGCTATCAATGAATCAGAAGGAATATTAATTAATGAGGAAGTAAACAAGTGTCTTGTGAAGGTTTAAAAAAGAAGAAGGTACACAATTTATCAGAAGTTGAAGAGAGGCCAATAAGAGGGGAATGAAGAAAGTCTGTTTCAGTTTTGGCAAATGAGTCGTGATTGACTTTGGTCATGGTTGCCACTGTTCATTCGGGGGAATATAGACCAGGGTTGAATAATAATCAGACGTGAGAAAATGGACATAGTTTGGGGGAAATTTTAAATGTTTCTGCTTTCAGTAACTAAAAGCAATCAGAAACTAGTGGGAAATGTGATAGTGATTATAGCTTTCTGAAGGCCAGTGGGAGGCTGAATTCTCTTAATATGCAGGAATGTTCAGGAAGAGGGTACTGAGCAGCTCCTTTCCATGTCGGCCGAGTTCAAACAAGGTTTAAGTTTAAGCAAGGAAATGTTATTAGATATAGTCCTCAAGGGGTATACCACAGACTGGACACCTTCAGGAAGACACACACTATCTCTTATACAGCTGAAAATACACACATCTCTTTCCCCAAGTAACTATTCAAGTCCAGGCTCTCAGTGGGCTCAAGGGAGTGTCCACATCTCCTGGAATTTGGCCATAATGTTAATATCCTACAACTGTGGGCTCAGTTGTAGAGTTAGCTACCATTGACACCTTTATATTAAATAGAAGGGGAAAGAGATGGGAATGAAGAGAAATACTAGCTAAAATTTACATGTAAATGCATTACACAGCAAATAAGAAAATACAGGTAATCGTTTAGAGCTAATTTTTATGTTTTTCATTAAGAAAACTTTTTAACTTGTAAAACTGATATATGATGTACATATTTTGGGGGTATATGTGGTAATTTGATACATTCATATAATCAGAGTAATTGAGATCTCCATTACCTTATTTACCTTTTTAAATACTAGGAACATTTGAATTATTTTCTTGCTGTTTTGAAACATACAATCAATTAATGTTAACTATAGTTACCCTGTTGATCTATTGAACAGCAGGTCTTCTGTCTTCTAAGTGTATATGTGTACCCATTAATCAACCTCTTTTCATCCTCCCCTCCTGCTTTCCCTTCCCAGCCTCTGGTAAATCACCAATCTACTCTATCTTGATGAGATTCACTTTTATATCTCTGACATGTGAGTGAGAACATGCAATGTTTATCTTTTTGTGCTTGGCTTAGTTCACTTAACATAATGACCTCCAATTCCATTCATGTTTCTATAAATGACAGAATTTCATTCTTTTTTATGGCTGAATAATATTCCACTGTCTATATATTTCAATTTTTTAACTCCATTCATTAATGGACATTTAGGTTGATTGCATATTTTGGTTATTGTGAATAATGCTGCAATAAACATGGGGAGTACAGATATTGCTTTGACATGTTGATTTCCTTTCCATGGGGTGTGTATCCAGTAGTGGAATTGCTGGATCATATGGTGGTTCTATTTTTGTTTTTTGGGGGCAGTTTTTATACTGTTTTTCATAGTGGCTGTAGTAGTTTACATTCCCACCAACAGTGTATGAGGTTTCTCCTTTCTTTACATCTTCACCAGCATCTGTTATTTTTTTGATAAAAGCCATCCTAACTGGGGTGAGACGATATCTCATTGTGGCTTTGATTTGCATTTCTGTAATGATTAGTTATGTTGAACACTTTTTCGTATATTTTTTGGCCATTTGTATGTCATTTTTTGAGAAATGTCTTTTAGATCTTTTGTCCATTTTTAAATGGGATTCTTTCTTTTTTTTGCTGTCGAGTTGTTTGAGCTCCTTGTATATTCTGGTTATTAATCTTTTGTTAGATAGTCTGTAAATATTTTCTCCCATTCTGTGGGATGTCTCTTCACTTTGTTGATTGTTTCTTTTGCTGTGCAGAAACTTTTTAGCTTGATACAATCCATTTATCTATTTTTCCTTTTGTTGCCTGTGGTTTTGAGGCCTTGCCTAGAATCTTTGCCCAGACCAGTGTCCTGGAGTATTTTCCCAGTGTTTTCCTCTAGCAGTTTCATAGTTGCAGGTCTTGGATGTAAGTCTTTAGTGTGGTTTGAATTAATTTTTGTATATGGTGAGAGATAGAGGTCTAATTTGGTTCTTCTGCATGTGGTTATCCAGTTTTCCCAGCACCATTTATTGAAGAGAGTGCCCTTTGCCTATTGTATGTTCTTGGCACCCTTGCTGAAAATGAGTTCACTGTGTATGCATGGATTTATATCTGGGTTCTCTATCCTATTGCATTGATCTGTATGTCTTTTTTTTTTAATGCCAGTACCATGATTGATTTGGTTTCTGTAGCTTTGCAGTATATTTTGAAGTCAGATAGTGTGATGCCTTCAACTTCGTTCTTTTTGCTCAGGGTTGCTTTGGCTATTCGGGGTCTTTTGTAGTTCCATATGAGTTTTGGGATTGTTTTTTCTATTTCTGTGAAGACCGTCATTGGTATTTTGATGGGGATAGAGCAGTTTCTGTGCCTGATCAGGGGGTTTGTGACTCTCCCCTTCATTCTGTGTTCTTTTTGTCTTCGGTTAGTACTTCTGCTGTTGGGGTTCTTAACTCTGGTGTGATCCAAATTTTGATTCTTCACAGGTCTAAGCCATTGCAAGTCCTGCTGTTGTCTTCCATTAACCAGTAGACATGGCAATACTAGGTGATACCCCACAAAATCCCCTAAGTTTCATTTATATTCCTCCTGCCTCCATTGTGTAGGAGTAACTCAATTTCCCTTTGGCAGTAAGGGTTAGGCCTCTCAGCTTGTACTATAACTCCTCTTTCACTTGTTCTCCTAGTTCCATGAGGAACCCCAAATGGCTGGGTGATAGTAGGTTGTTTTGATTTGATAGAATCATTGTTTCATCCCCTGGTGGAAGCACTTCTTTGCTGTGTGGTAAGACCTCTAACCAAGCACATCACAGAGTTTCAGGGATGGGAAGAAGATATCTTAGGAGTAGGTTAAGAGGTGTAATAGTGAGGTACCACTCCCTCTTCCACTCTTTGAATACTGACTCTACATATTTAGGTTATGGGTAAGAGCACCATATGGAGTTTGCTGGCTCAGAGCACATTCTGTATCCCGTGGGATAGAATCTCAACATCACATGATGATGTATATGGGAACCTTTGATAGACTATTCTGTAAGGCTAACTGCTTTTGAATGATGGGATAAGACTAGTGAATCCCATAGCCCATCGTCTGACTTCATTTGCTACAAAGTGAGGTCATTAGACAAAAGTGATGTTATGTCTGATAACATGACAGTGACTAAGATGGTCAGTATGTCCATGGATGGTGAAACTGGCAGACACGTTGGTGAATTTGGAAAGCAGATTCACATCGAGAATAAGGGACGACTCTCTGGCCCCTCCAAAACAGAAGAGGTCTAGTGTAATCAGCCTGATACCAGAATATGGAAGGTCATAGAAAACCGGCAAATTAGGGACTCAGCTGTGCTAGTAGCCAGGTTAATCTTGGTGAGAGGCTGTCCACATTGTTGATCCTGTGCAAAGCTTTCATTGCTGCCATTGCAGCTACTTTGGTGATGAGCCCATTAGGACGGCTGTGGAAAGAGGCTGGCTGATGTGCACAGGCCATGCTACCTTGTTATTTAGACTGCCGGGCCCTTTTGTTGAGTATTTACATGGGTCACAAATATCTCCCCTGGGCTCATTTTGAGGTGTTCATTTATATGCCTCTTTCCTGATTTTAAACGTCTCCTTATTAACATTTATCCAATTGAATTCCTTCCACAATCCTAACTATCCCAGGAAACTATTGGACACTCCCATGAATCAGTTTTAGATTCTTACAGACAAATTGGCCAATGGCATGTACCACTTGAAATTCCACCCACTGTGAGGCTTTTTCCTTGTTTGCTGTCCTTTGGGGCCATCTCACATATAAGGTTGCAGCTGTTCATTTCCAGCAGATTCCATCATATCTTGGGCAGTCATCAGTGAACAGAGCTGTTTCCCCTCCTCTACCAAGTCCTCTTGGGGCCTTAGGTGTGGGATGAGAGAAGGATAGCCACATAGCAGGAGTCAGCATATTGGGAGGAGGAGTTCTCTTTTCCTGCAACTTAATTGTGACCTCAGGATTCTCCGTGTTTGTGTGTGTGTGTGTGTGTGTATACACATGTGTATGTATCCATTGATAATGGAATGCTTCCTGATATTGTGGCTAGGTGGATCAGATAACTCTAGTTGATAATGGACCACTCAGGTAACATGGTTCTTTGGTGTCCTGTGGTCAGGGATAGCTCACCTGGTGAATGAATTAGAGTGGCCTGCACAGTTACATACATATCACCTCCAAATTCCGAAGAGGTCTACCAAAGCTGTGCCTCTTTCTTATGGATGAGTGGCATAAGGTAGACCAACTTGTCCTTTACTTGTGTCTTGAACTCCCAGAAACTGCTCTGAAGTGATATACCCACATATATATATGTATGTTTATTTCTGATATGCTCATACTTATTAAGGCATCTGGTATACCTGCCACTCCTAATTTTGTAGGTCCTATTGGCATGCTCTGTTCATGATTTTTCTTACGGTTATTTGGCTGTTTTAGGGTCTTTAGGTCTGTGAACTGACTCAGGTCTGGAAATTGGGTAAATGATCATGGTGGCTTAAGTTAAGCCTTGTTCACTAAAACTAGATTATTTGCCAGTTATATAATGACAATAAAAATAACCGTAGTGGAAATGATAGCTAGCATATATTGAGCACTTAATCTGTGCCAAACACTGCTTTAAGAGCTTTATATTAGCCTATGTAATTCTCACAGCAGCCCTATGAGCAGATAGAATCGTATCGCTATTTTACAGTGAGGAAATGGAGACACAGAGAGGTTCAACTTGAGTATCTGTCTGTCTAAGGTCTATGGACCTCATGATCAGTTGCCCTTCTCCAAACATCCCAGTGAATCAGAGCATCTGACCGCCAGGAAGGCCATGTGGCTTACTGTGGTCATCATGCACACGTCACCTTGGGGTTAAGTGGCATTATTTAGTCTATTACTTAAGGGGTTTGGTGTCCGCATTGAAATAAAGAATTTCGTTGTCTCTTAACAGCATCCTCAGCCCACAGAGAATGGCCTTGGCAACACATTTCTGAGACGCTTGTGCTCCCCTCACTAATGTATTTATTTCTCAAATTCTCAGTGAAGGGAGTGTCTTCTGAGCTCTCTTGGGGGCATAATTAGGGAGTGGGCTAGCAGGTCACACATGATAAATCCACTCAGACATTCTTATCTCCTGAAATCATTTTATTACTTCCTCTCTTGACTTCCCAAAGAATTTCTGGCATCTCAGCCCCATACATATGGGCAGCTGTGGTGTCTGGGTTTCCAAACTCATACAGTCAGCTCCACTCCCAGCTGCTGCAGCTGGCATGTGGAATCCTGACTTGCTGGTAAGTGTGCTCATATTGATCATTCCACCCCATCTATTTAGTCTTCTTCCCTCCATCTAGATTCCTTAGAATCCCACATATATAGGTCAGAGTTTTGCTAATGTAAAGTAGAAAAACCTTGTGGTTCTTTTGGAGTGAAAGCCTTGTAATAGGCCCCTTGGGGCATGCTGGGGCTCATTTCTAGACAGTGAGGCGTGATGAGCAGGAGAGATGAAGAAAATCTGCTTCTCTTGCAAAGTAATTCCTTCATGAGACTTCATTAAAAGGGTCTTCAGGTAAGGCCAGATCAGCCTCATCTGAAAGCCTTACACAGGGAGAAAGGGGCTGTCGCTGCTGACAAGTGATGTTCCCTGAGGTTTGGGGACTTGGGCTTTTCTTAATCACCTTAAATCTCTGTTTTAGTTTTTAGGAGTTTCACTCTTTGTAGATTGGTAGCCCAGTCTATAGATACCTTGCAAGGGTGAGAATTCAGCTGACATTGTAATTTAATAAAGCTAAGGATAAAACTTCTGGGGTTTTTTGTTTATTGAGCCCGCTGACTAGAAGAGATAAGAGATGGTTTTTAGCAGAGGCCAAGAAGGTCCCTGGGTTTCAGTCCATACCCTAAGCTGAGAATTTAGGAATTGGAGCCTGTCATTCTCCTCTTACTCTCATTCTTTACGCTCTGCTTGGCAGCCTACACCATATTTCTTGGAATTAAAGACATCATGCCCTTAGTAGTTGTAAGTTGGGTTCCCCAGGGAGGCTAGTTTGTAGGTGTTTATTAGGGTGTTCTCTTGAGATTAATTCCTGTAGGAGGAAAGGGGTGGAAGGAGGGCCTGACAGAGGGAGGAGCCAACTGTGACGCAGTCTTCATGGAAGCTCCAGTCGATTCTGTAGGGAGTTCTGCAGGTTGGGTAATTCTTTGGAGTGGTCCCAAGCAGAGTGAGGAGGCTAAGCCTTTCTACCCCCATGGCAATCAGTCCTTGGATGTAGCCCACCCCAGAAAGGCTTGGGTGAGGTAGCTTTCCTGAGTGGACGCAATCCCCAGTGGAGGTAATCCCCAGCTGAGAGTTTCTGCTGGTCACTTCCCATCAGCTGGGACAGTGAGTCCTTCATTGCCTAAGGAAATCTGGGCAGTGCATCCTAGTATTCCCCATAATAGTGTTTTGTGGAATTGTCTACTCGGTCACCCAGTCTTGGCTTCAGTGGTTGCTTCTTTCCAGGTGACTCCAGACAGTAATTTGATGAACAATTTCAACACTGTGTACCTGGAGCTTCCAGACTCTCACTGTTGATTAGTAGCTGGATTTTCACTGCCTTGAGCTCCAAAGCATCAAGACAGCCAAATCTAGGTTCCCTAGTTTTTCCTGAGTGTCTGATGCTGACGGGTACTGAGTATCAGTTTCTTGAACCTATCAGTTTCTTCTTTGGAAGTAGGAGAAACCAACTTTGGATGATTTATGCAGAAAATAAGATTCATTAAAAGGAAAATGAGTAGCTCATAGAATCACAGGGCTCTGAACTCAGAGGACTGAATCCAGGCTATGCAGCCAGGACTCAAACCCCACAATATGCCACAGTTTGTGAGGATGCCACCCCCTCCTAGTGTAACTTGAACTAGCCACTGCGTGCTGCCACTAATGTCACTGCCACTAGAGTGTGCTTGTCCAGTGGACAGGGCCTATTCAAAGTGCAGAGGAACCTGCAGGGACTGTGTGATGTGGATGGAGGGTAAGGAATGAGGAACAGGAGAGGGACTGTGGTCAAGTTTCACAAATGCCCATGTTGATTTTAGACAGCAGCAGCTTGTTGAATGGCTTGAGAATCTGAGTTGCAAATGAGGCCTCATGGGAGTTACATAGGAAATCTGAAGCCTGCTGGGCCCAGAGGGACAGAAAACTCAGTAATTTTTTTTATAGAGGTGCTGGTCTGAATGTCAAGTGTCTTTGCCAAAAGAGACCTTGCTCGCTTTTCCAATCAATCTTTCTCTGCACCCTCTGGCTGTCAAGTAGTTACCTAAGTGAGTTTTTTGGTGGTTATTCTACAAATATGATAATTTTTCAAATTATTTGCATTTTAATGTCAGTGAAAGTCAAGCTTGTCTTTAGATTTTGACAAGGATAGCCCTATGGCTCACCAAAGATATTAGTTCAAATTGTTCTTTTTAATAGTATAGTGATAATAGTAATATATTTTCGTCACCATGAAAGTGGAAATGATTGGTAGTTGGAAAAAGTATTTGTTCATTGACATCTTCTCCAATTTGTAATTAAGAGCAACAAATAATCTGCTAGACATTTTAACACACAATAAATATATATATAAACAGATATACACGTAAACATGTGTATATGTATATATATGTACACACACATATATACACACACACACACTTTTTTTTTATTATACTTTAAGTTTTAGGGTACATGTGCACATTGTGCAGGTTAGTTACATATGTATACATGTGCCATGCTGGTGTGCTGAACCCACTAACTTGTCATCTAGCATTAGGTATATCTCCCGGTGCTATCCCTCCCCCCTCCCCCCACCCCACAACAGTCCCCAGAGTGTGATATTCCCCTTCCTGTGTCCATGTGATCTCATTGTTCAGTTCCCACCTACGAGTGAGAATATGCAGTGTTTGGTTTTTTGTTCTTGCGATAGTTTACTGAGAATGATGATTTCCAATTTCATCCATGTCCCTACAAAGGACATGAACTCATCATTTTTTATGGCTGCATAGTATTCCATGGTGTATATGTGCCACATTTTCTTAATCCAGTCTATCATTGTTGGACATTTGGGTTGGTTCCAAGTCTTTGCTATTGTGAATAATGCCGCAGTAAACATACGTGTGCATGTGTCTTTATAGCAGCATGATTTATAGTCCTTTGGGTATATACCCAGTAATGGGATGGCTGGGTCAAATGGTATTTCCAGTTCTAGATCCCTGAGGAATCGCCACACTGACTTCCACAATGGTTGAACTAGTTTACAGTCCCACCAACAGTGTAAAAGTGTTCCTATTTCTCCACATCCTGTCCAGCAGCTGTTGTTTCCTGACTTTTTAATGATTGCCATTCTAACTGGTGTGAGATGGTATCTCATTGTGGTTTTGATTTGCATTTCTCTGATGGCCAGTGATGATGAGCATTTTTTCATGTGTTTTTCGGCTGCATAGATGTCTTCTTTTGAGAAATGTCTGTTCATGTCCTTTGCCCACTTTTTGATGGGGTTGTTTGTTTCTTTCTTGTAAATTTGTTTGAGTTCATTGTAGATTCTGGATATTAGCCCTTTGTCAGATGAGTAGGTTGCGAAAATTTTCTCCCATTTTGTAGGCTGCCTGTTCACTCTGATGGTAGTTTCTTTTGCTGTGCAGAAGCTGTTTAGTTTAATTAGATCCCATTTGTCAATTTTGGCTTTTGTTGCCATTGCTTTTGGTGTTTTAGACATGAAGTCCTTGCCCATGCCTATGTCCTGAATGGTAATGCCTAGGTTTTCTTCTAGGGTTTTTATGGTTTTAGGTCTAACATTTAAGTCTTTAATCCATCTTGAATTGATTTTTGTATAAGGAAGGGATCCAGTTTCAGCTTCCTACATATGGCTAGCCAGTTTTCCCAGCACCATTTATTAAACAGGGAATCCTTTCCCCATTGCTTGTTTTTCTCAGGTTTGTCAAAGATCAGATAGTTGTAGATATGTGGCGTTATTTCTGAGGGCTCTGTTCTGTTCCATTGATCTATATCTCTGTTTTGGTACCAGTACCATGCTGTTTTGGTTACTGTAGCCTTGTAGTATAGTTTGAGGTCAGGTAGTGTGATGCCTCCAGCTTTGTTCTTTTGGCTTAGGATTGACTTGGCGATGCGGGCTCTTTTTTGGTTCCTTATGAACTTTAAAGTAGTTTTTTCCAATTCTGTGAGGAAAGTCATTGGTAGCTTGATGGGGATGGCATTGAATCTGTAAATTACCTTGGGCAGTATGGCCATTTTCATGATATGGATTCTTCCTACCCATGAGCATGGAATGTTCTTCCATTTGTTTGTATCCTCTTTTATTTCCTTGAGCAGTGGTTTGTAGTTCTCCTTGAAGAGGTCCTTCACATCCCTTGTAAGTTGGATTCCTAGGTATTTTATTCTCTTTGAAGCAATTGTGAATGGGAGTTCACTCATGATTTGGCTCTCTGTTTGTCTGTTGTTGGTGTATAAGAACGCTTGTGATTTTTGTACATTGATTTTGTATCCTGAGACTTTGCTGAAGTTGCTTATCAGCTTAAGGAGATTTTGGGCTGAGACAGTGGGGTTTTCTAGATATACAATCATGTCGTCTGCAAACAGGGACAATTTGACTTCCTCTTTTCCTAATTGAATACCCTTTATTTCCTTCTCCTGCCTAATTGCCCTGGCCAGAACTTCCAACACTATGTTGAATAGGAGTGGTGAGAGAGGGCATCCCTGTCTTGTGCCAGTTTTCAAAGGGAATGCTTCCAGTTTTTGCCCATTCAGTATGATATTGGCTGTGGGTTTGTCATAGATAGCTCTTATTATTTTGAAATACGTCCCATCAATACCTAATTTATTGAGAGTTTTTAGCATGAAGGGTTGTTGAATTTTGTCAAAGGCTTTTTCTGCATCTATTGAGATAATCATGTGGTTTTTGTCTTTGGCTCTGTTTATATGCTGGATTACATTTATTGATTTGCGTATATTGAACCAGCCTTGCATCCCAGGGATGAAGCCCACTTGATCATGGTGGATAAGCTTTTTGATGTGCTGCTGGATTCGTTTTGCCAGTATTTTATTGAGGATTTTTGCATCAATGTTCATCAAGGATATTGGTCTAAAATTCTCTTTTTTTGTTGTGTCTCTGCCTCGCTTTGGTATCAGAATGATGCTGGCCTCATAAAATGAGTTAAGGAGGATTCCCTCTTTTTCTATTGATTGGAATAGTTTCAGAAGGAATGGTACCAGTTCCTCCTTGTACCTCTGGTAGAATTCGGCTGTGAAGCCATCTGGTCCTGGACTCTTTTTGGTTGGTAAGCTATTGATTATTGCCACAATTTCAGCTCCTGTTATTGGTCTATTCAGAGATTCAACTTCTTCCTGGTTTAGTCTTGGGAGAGTGTATGTGTCCAGGAATTTATCCATTTCTTCTAGATTTTCTAGTTTAATTGCGTAGAGGTGTTTGTAGTATTCTCTGATGGTAGTTTGTATTTCTGCACACACACACATTTTTAAATAGAGACTGGGTGTCACTATTTTGCCCAGGCTGGCCTCAAACTCCTGGATTTGAGCAATCCTTCCACCTCAGCCTCCCAAAGTGCTGAGTTTACAGACGTGAACCACCATGCCCAGCCGATATATAACACACAAATGAGGTTTTTTTGTTTTTCTTTCTCCTGAGACAGAGTCTCACTCTGTTGCCCAGGCTGGAGTGCAGTGGCACGATCTCGGCTCACTGCAACCTCCGTCTCCTGGGTTCAAGCGATTCTCCTGCCTTAGCCTCCTGAGTAGATGGGATTACAGGTATGCACCATCACACCCAGCTAATTTTTGTATTTTTAGTAGAGACGGGGTTTCACCATGTTGGTCAGGCTGGTCTTGAACTCCTGACTGTGTGATCTGCCTGACTCGGCCTCCCAAAGTGCTGGGATTACAGGCATGAGCTACTGTGCCCAACCAACACACAAACGAGTTTCAAACAGTGGTCACTTGTTGACTAGTGAGCATAATAGTGCGGAGAATATAAAATAGAATTGTGCTAGTATCTCTCCCTAGCCCCCTCTGCCTTTACTATTTGCCTTCTGCATTTTGTCCAGATAATCTACAAGGATTTGCAAGCCCTATGTTCTTTACAGACTATTTTCTTTTTTTCCTTTTAAAAGGTCACCTTGGCTTCAGAGCTTTCAACCTACTTTGAAAGCTTACCGTATTATGAACTTTTCCTCATGTGGTGAAATAATCTTTTAAATTTCATTCTTTTAGAGTATATTTTTTACTAGTTTTAAGGTATTCCTTTCTATGGCTTTACTGTAATTTAGTTAACCAATTCTCTGTTGTTGATTATTTAAAATTTTGCCTCATTATAAATAAGGCTTTAGTGAACATATTTACATAACCCTTTTAAAATTCACCTGGGATGATTTCCTCAGGGTAATTTCCTAGGTCAAAGGCTTTTGCAACTCATTGCCAAACCAGACTTGAGGGAAGGTAGTGTCATTTTTCTTTGTTGACATCAGCAGTGTTTGAGAGAGGTGGTTGGTGGTGGACTGATTTTTTGTTAATGCAATTGATTTCTATTTAGAAGGCTAGACATCTCCTGCCACCTGCCCCACCCTTCTCTATTTTCTGGATTCTCCTTCCCTGCTATCCTCTTAGGGTGCTTGTGAACATTCCTTTGCTCTTGGACAGTTACAGGCTCTTTTTTTTTTTTAATTCTGTAAGTTTTAGGGTACATGTGCACAACGTGCAGGTTAGTTACATATGTATTCATGTGCCATGTTGGTGTGCTGCATCCATTAACTCATCATTTAACATTAGATATATCTCCTAATGCTATCCCTCCCCCAGGCTCTATCTTTGAATATGGAGCAAGCTGCAGTCAGGGGCCATCTAAGCAGCCAACTGTGGGAAGAGCGCAAAGGGCGGAGCCTGTGGGAGATTCTCTTGTCGGGTGGGCGAGGGTGTGGAACTCTGGCCTCGTCCCCAGCCTTTTGGAACTGAGCTTTCCCAAAAGACAACTGGGGCCTCACGGGAGCCTTACAGGGCTTCTTGGAGGTCAGATTGCCTGAGTATTGAGGTTATGAACCTACCGCTTATATATATGAGTTTTTAGATAGCAGAAACTTTTCTTCTTGAAAGATTATTGTTTGAAGCCTTTCAAATATGTTCTTCCTGTTTATGGAAAAAATACCATATTAACCAAGATACCAATCACTGGATGCTAGGAATAATGGGACGATCAGGACTTTGGGATTGTGGGGTGTAAAACTTGCTCTACAATGATGTGACCTTGTTAAAAAGCAGAATGTTTCTGCAGTTGTGTGCTGGCTTTTCATTGAGCTTAGAATAAAGCCAGTCTGATCCTCCTTAACAAAACACCACGTGGTCCGGCACCTGCCACCGTGACTCATCTCCTCCCACCCTTGCCCCGGCCTCTGTGCTCCTGCACTGTGGGCTTCCTGCTCATCTTCAGAAAGAGCAAGCATGGTGCCACCGCAGGGCGCTTTTATGAGCTGTTCCTTCATCTTAGAATGCTCTTGCCTTTCGTCATCATATGACTTCCTGTCATTCCCATCTCTGCTTAAATGTCATTGCCCCAAAGAAGCTGTCCTTGGTGACTCAAAGAGAAACAGACAACCAGCGTTCTGCATCACCAGATTTTTTTCTGTGCGTAGGACTCATTGCCATGTGAAATTTTCCTCTTTTGTCTGCCTTCCATCCCAGAGTCTATGTTCCATGGACATAGGAACCTTAGTGAACTTGTTTGTCATGGTGTCCCCACTGCCTAAAACAATAGATAGCTAATAATTGACACTCCATAAATATTTGTTGAATATATGAGTAGTGCAGCGGGTCAGGCTAAACCCCTTTATAGGTTGTTAAAAGCAAGTATCCTCAATAGACTCATTTGGGGTCTGAAGATCTGAGCTTTAGTCTTAACCCCATATCCACTAATTCTGTGACGTTGGGAAAACCACTTATCATCTCTGAATCTCAGTGTACTTATCTGTAAAATAAGAATCATAGTACTTACACAGAGAACCTCATATGGTGGTTGAGAGGAATAGCTGTGACAGTAGATGTGCAAGCTGTCTGTAAGCTTTTCAACAAATGGACATTATCTCTACTGGTTTATTACAAGTAATTACAGGAGACTACCATAGGGTGCTTCCAAAGCTTGGAAAAAGGGAAAATACAGCCCACTACAGAGAGAAGACTTTTATATCAGTGCACGATGGATTAGAAACATGTATTTTGGTGCGCACTTGATTGAGGATAATTTAATTGGAGGCTTTAATCATACCCTTGGAAAGATTTTGCCGATCAGAAAGGGAGTTGGTTTAGTCAGAATTAGACAAGGAAACATCCAAAAGGCAAATCCTGACAATTCCCAGTCAAGCATTGGCTGAGGAAAGATGTCCTGGTTCAGCAATTTGCTTTGTCATGTCAGGTGGCAGAATATCCCTGTGGAGGAGACAGGTGCCTCCAGCTTTCAGAGCTTGAAGTCACTGAAGATCCAGGTTCTTGAACCAGGGCCAGTGTCCTGGCCCTGATTTCTTTCTCACCAAGCTCTCTGAGTGCATAATTTGACTTCTTATGTGGCTGACTTAGAGAAGATACGAGGCCCCACATTCTGGTAATATAGATCTGTCTCTATGAGCTGGGTTAATGTGTGTCTACCCCTAGACACAGATCTGTCTCAGGGTGCTGACAGATGAGGCTCCTGACCCACAAAGCGGAGGACCCAGACCCTGGCTGAGGTGACTGTCAGTGTACAGCCACCTTGAAGGGGATGTGGCTGGATGACCAGCTGCCTCGATCAGGGACTCCCACTCGGTAGCATAACTTTCCATCTGCAATGTGGTGATAGTTTAATTTGACAGTTTATTTGGTTAGAGGTTCTTTTTTTTTTTTTTTTGAGATGAAGTCTCGTTCTGTCACTCAGCCTGTAATGCGGTAGCTCGATCTCAGTACTCACTGCAACCTCTGCCTTCCTGGTTCAAGTGATTCTCCTGGCTCAGCTGCCTGAGTAGCTGGGACTGCAGGCGCCTGCCACCATGCCTGGCTAATTTTTGTATTTTTAGTAGAGACGGGGTTTCACTATGTTGGCCAGGCTGGTCTTGAACTCCTGACCTCAGGTGATCTGCACACCTCAGTTTCCCAAAGTGTTGGGATTACAGACGTGAGCCACTGCACCCAGCAATTAAGAGATTCTTGAATGTAATTGGTATTTTGTGTGTGCATATGAGGGTTTATCAGTCTTAGCGTAATAGTTTAGGGTAGACATACTAGAAGGGGCCAGGAGGTGGCAGTAAAAGATAGCTAGTCATTTAAGCAATTCAAATTAGACCAAATTAGCCTAATATTCAGCCTCTCCAGGGCAATTTACGAAGTATTGAGATTGGAGGAGGCAGGATGGGTGTTGCTTCTAGACCAGAGAGAGAGAGTCTACCAAAGTAGCCATTCTCATCCCAGCTTTCATGATTTCCCTGAATCTTACTTTAAACTGTTTTTCATTAAATTTTCCTGTGAAATTAAAAAAATTCTCAACTTACTCTAGTTTTCAGATTTTATGTAGAACATGTTTTTATATATAGGCTGTAGGTTGGATTGTCAGTGGATTTCAGCAGTGAGGGTCTCCCAGCCCCTTAATTTCTAGATAAGGTGGACCTGACTCTCTATTCCCTAGATGGAGCGGGGCTCAGTGCTGTCCTGAGACATTTATTCCTGAACCGCTTCTGTCCCTCACCTCATGCATACATGGAATTGGTTCTGTTTGGGGATCATATCACTGTCCCCACTGAACATCACCCTGGCTCTCATGTGGCATTTGGCTATTTTTCTTAATTTGTACACACACACCATGCATGACACACACAACCACCAACAAAAATCATTTAGATGCAGCGTGTGTTAGAGGACTTTAATAAAGGTTTAGGAGACAATTCCACAAGCAGCTTAAAATTGGTGGTCGGACCTCCCGGGTCCCTCTGCCATGTCTGACACTCAGACTCTGGCCTCTGGCCATGCTGTTCTGTCTTCTCTATCTAGCTCCTTTTTCTGCCTTTTCCCCCCTTAGGAACAAAGCTCATCCTCTACTTTTTTTTTTTTTCTAAACAGACCAATCTTTCAAAAACACAAAATAAATCATATAATTTTCTTATTTGATTTCCCAGGTCTTCCTCTATAAAGTCGTGCTTCGTGGCTGACGAGTGTGACCCTTTCTGATCATGCCTTTCCCGTCGCTGAAGTTGCATCACCATTCCCGTCTACACTTTTTCCTCCCCAGCTGCGCTGGGATGGTTCATTTCTTCATGCTTTGTCTATGCCATTGCTTCAGGTTTTCTTTACCTAGTTAATTCCTCCAAAACATCTCACTTCTGAGCTGCTTCCCCTGAGTCCTCAGGTTTAGAGGGAGCCTCCCTCTGCTCCTTCATGGCTGTAATGAATTACTTTTCATTGGGAGAGAGAAGCTGAGTGTTCCAGTCCTAAACTGTTACTAATTTTGTGACACAGGGCATATTAAGGGAGGCTAGACGGGCTAGATGATTGTGAGTTATGTAAGTGCTGACCTTCCTCAAATGTAACTGTGATCATTGAAAAAGTGATGGTCATTTAATTCACATCAGTTCATCAAAGTTTCATTAGGTCTCCATAAAGAAATTTCTACTCGCTAATTCGCTCTCTAAATGTTGGGTGCCAGGTGCTGTGTCGGGCCACAGGGACAGAGAGGAAGTGGAGATTTCCAGAGGGAGGATGCATCCACAGTTCTGGAATTCGGGGGAAATATCAAAGTTAGCGATACGTATTTGGGATTCAACAGTGAGAATATGGGCTTGGCGTGGTGGCTCACCCCTGTTATCCTGCACTTTGGGAGGCCGAGGTGGTTGGATCACAAGGTCAGGAGTTCAAAGCCAGCCTGGCCAACATGGTGAACCCCATCTCTACTAAAACTACAAAAATTAGCGGGGCATGATGGTGGACGCCTGTAATTCCAGCTACTTGGGAGGCTGAGGGAGGAGAATTGCTTCAACCTGGGAGGCAGAGGTTGCAGTGAGCCAAGATTGCGCCACTGCACTCCAGCCTGGGCGACAGAGCAAGACTGCGTCTCAGGTGGGGGGGGTGGGAAACAGTGAGGATATGGCCATTAAAGCTATTGGGAAGGGTGCCAACTGGGGAAAATGTATGGAAGATCTGCATAGATCACTGGAGCCTTGGATACATCCTGCTTTTCAAACATTTCTTCTGTGAAAGGGAAGATGTTCTGAGTGCAACTTTCCTATTCTGAAGGATTAAAAAATTATTTTGTATCTTATTTTTAAAAAAATTTTTTTTGAGATGGAGTCTTGCTCTGTTGCCCAGGCTGTAGTGCAGTGGCATGAGCTACCGCACCTGGCCATATCTTTTATAATTGGTACATTGTAAATCTTTTTTTTTTTTTTTACATACCCCAAGGACTGTGACAATAGCAGAGGGCACATTTTATAATGAATCTACATATTAAATAAATATATAGATAAAATGTACAAACAGCTTTCCCCTGGAATGCTAGCAAATTTGAAAATTAGCTGAGGATTTATCTTTTGAGGGAGCTTTGATAACTGGCAGTAACGTTTTTTCTCTTCTACTTCCTACACTATGGGATAGGGTGGTGTTAAGTTTTGTTAAAAGTGCGGGCAGATCACGAGGTCAGGAGATCGAGACCATCCTGGCTAACACGGTGAAACCCCGTCTCTACTAAAAATACAAAAACAAAAATTAGCCGGGTGTGGTGGTGGGCACCTGTAGTCCCAGCTACTTGGGAGGCTGAGGCAGGAGAATGGTGTGAACCCGGGAGGTGGAGCTTGCAGTGAGCCGAGATCATGCCACTGCGCTCCAGCCTGGGCAACAGAGCGAGACTCCATCTCCAAAAAAAAAAAAAAAAAAAAAGTTGTTTGTAGCACTATTTGTGGAAGTATTTTTAGCAGAACTCTGCAGAGAAGCTTGGAGCTTGGTTTCTCTGGTAGGGAGTATTAGATTGGGTCTGGGTCGCCGCTGATCTTTGCTCTCAGACTAGCAGAGCATTGTTTCTTCACAACTAAGTTGTGCTTATCAAAATGATAGCAGTCTTTAGCTAATAAAATGAAAGGTCACTTCTGTGGCATAAGATTTCTCTTTGAAATTCCCTGCATGTTCTCTTTTTGGATAACTCAGTGATGAATGTCAGAATGAATTTGGAACATTACCTTTGAAATTCTGCCACAGAACAAACTGAACGAGAAAGGTGACTTTTTTTCTTTTCTATACCTGAAAATCAGAAAATATTAATGAAATTAGTATTTGGAAAATTAAAACAACAGAAAGGTAATTTCTATTTTTCCAAGAAAACTGCTATTTACACTTTGAAATATCTTTTTATATTTATATTTATTTATTTAGAGACAGGGTTTCACCCTGTTACCTAGGCTGAGGTGCAGTGGTACGATCATAGCTAACTACACCCTTGAACTCTTGGGATCAGGTGATCCTCCCACCTCAGCCTCTCAAGTAGCTATGACTGTGGGCATGCATTACCATGCCTGACTAATTTTTAAATTTTTTATAGAGACATGGTTTTGCTATGTTGCCCAGGCTGGTCTCCAACTCTTGGTCTCCAGTGATCTTCCTGGCTCAGCCTCCCAAAACATGATATATCTTTTAAAAAATGGGAAAAGAAAGTAGGGTATGGAACTTGTAACCTAGATCTCTAAAACTTGACTGGGCATAATTTTCTAGTGCTTGTTTTATATAGAGATTTCAGATCTCTGGCTCAGATACTAAACAGAATCTTTCAAGGAGAGGCTAGGATTCTCTGTGATTATTATCCCAGAAGGTGTTTAGGACCAGATGAATTTCAGAAGTGCTGTTGTAATTGCTAAAGATCACCATGGGGCATCTTGTTATAGAAAGATATTCTTCTTCATAGACTGCCAATTCCCAGCGATCTAAGGACTGATAAGCTAATTCATTATTCTGATCCTTGGCATTCTCCCCCTTCTCCCTCCCATAATTCGCCTCTCCATTTTTCTATTTTTCATGCTTTCTATGCACAAAGGCTGAGCAAGGAGGTGGGATTGTGCTGAGATAAGCCCATTTTGCTCATTGCCCCCTGCACATGCATTCAATTGGTAGTGAGGAGGAAGTTGAATATTTAGGGTTCAGGTGGGGGCTCTCAGTGCCTCCCCTTTTAGAATATTGCATTCTGGAAAATTAAAAGCATAAATGTAGAATTAACCCTAATGTATTCATCTCCCAGGTTCAACAATTATCAACTCCTGGCCAGTTTTCTTTCATCTGTACTCTCTCCCGTATTGTTTTGAAGCAAATCCCAGATATCTTATTATCTATGAATATTTCGGTAGTATCTCTAAAAGATAAGAACTGTTATATTCTTTTGAACTTCAGAATCTTCTAAGAAAACAGAACATGGCAGAGTGGAGCTATACCCTAACTAGGCAGAGCCTAGGATTAAGAGGAGCAAAGACAGTGACTTGAGGTTTTTCTTTAAAAGAGCTCAGAAAGGTAATATTTCTTCAATTTATTATTGAATGGTGCTTCTCTATGGTAAATCCATGGTAAATCCAGGTATATGAGTTTATGGGAGAAAAGAGAGCTTTAGCAAGGGATTTGAGAGTGAGCGAGGAGATAGAAAAGTGAAAATAATTGAAAGTTGGTTGTTCTTACATGGCAAAGTTTATAATAAAGCTTTGTGGAATGTACATTAGAGTCCTTTTTGAAAGACTTAATTGTTCACTGATTGGAGATTAAAAACCTGTCTAAGTGTAAGTAATCAGAGTTTTTTAGCTCAGTGTTTAAGTACCAACTGTTGTTGAAATAACGCCTGTGCACCTATCTAAATGGTAATGAAATGCCAGCAAAGTTATCCATTTGCTTTTTCTCATTCTACAACATAACAGTGAGAGGAAAGGGATAAGACATTTGACGTCTGATCCTTGTTTTGAAAGCTGGGGAGACAAACATATATCAGTTAGCATAAGATTCCTTTCTTTTTCCCCTCTTTTGAGGCATTAAACATTCTAAGGTTCGTTAAGATACAGTAGAAAAAATTTTTATAAATTTTCTTCTTGGATTAGAATCCTAAGGTTATTTAAAATTAATGCAGTGTAAACCTAAAGCTACTCTGGGATTTACTACTCTGGAACTTGACTGTTCAATTACAGATATTCTATGTAGTGTGAAGATAATTTCATGGTGCATGCTTGCAGAATGGAAGAGATGCCTGCTTGATGTGCTGTTATAAATATATACTGAAATGTAGCAAGTTGCAGCACAGTTATTTAAAATACCCCCTATTCCGTGCCTTCCCTTTCCCCCTTTCTCTCCTTCCCCCATAGTCCCCTCAGAATACCATGATCTTTGTTCATTCTTAACTAACTCATTATTGTGCTGAGGTAACTTGGTGTACGGACAACTTCTTAGATGCAGAAAATACTTGTATGTTTCTTTTAAACCAGGTTGACATATGGAAATCTGAATTTGTTGGATACTTTGAGGGGGGTAATTATTTGCTTTCTAAAGGGATTCTTTACTTTTTTGAAGGATTTGCAATAGAATCCTTTAATTAGTAGTTAATTTCCAATTCAGTCTACACATAGATTTTACAGAGCACTTCTTTTAGGCAAAGTGAGTGATGGACTGTATTAGTTTGTTTTCACACAGCTGATAAAGACATACCCGAAACTGGCAATAAAAAGAGGTTTAATTGGACTTACAGTTTCACATGGCTGGGGAGGCCTCAGAATCACAGAGGGAGGTGAAAGGTACTTCTTACATGGCGGTGACAAGAGAGAAATGAGGAAGAAGCAAAAGCAGAAACCCCTGTTAAACCCATCAGATCTTGTGAGACTTACTATCACGAGAATAGCGTGGGAAAGACTGGCCCCCGTGATTCATTTACCTCCCGCTGGGTTCCTCCTGCAACACATGGGAATTCTGGGAGATATAATTTAAGTTGAGATTTGGGTGGGGACACAGCCAAACCATATCATGGACTCTGCCTGAAAATGTGCTTTTTAGAATTTTCAGACATTTTGCCCTGTGTAAAGCTCCCTTCGGCCGGGCACGGTGACTCACGCCTGTAATCCCAGCACTTCGGGAGGCCGAGGTGGGCAGATCACAAGGTCAGGAGATTGAGACCATCCTGGTGAACATGGTGAAACCCTGTCTCTAATAAAAATACAAAAAAATTAGCCGGGCGTGGTGGCGGGTGCCTGTAGTCCCAGCTACTTGAGAATCTGAGGCAGGAGAATGGCATGAACCTGGGAGGTGGAGCTTGCAGTAAGCCGAGATCGTGCCACTGCACTCCAGTCTGGGTGACAGAATGAGACTTTGTCTCAAAAAAAAGCTCCCTTCTTGTCCCACATTATTTCATTAAGTCTTGCCTGGCTATGTGTGTGGAGTATTACTTTGCTTCTGCTGTGTGGGATCTTCTTCCCTGCATTTCTTGAATCAAGTACAAGATGTCAGCAGGTGATATCCTGAGGAACAAGATGGGCAAATAGGATTTAATATTCTACCTAGGTAAATTGTGTCCTCCAGCAACACATCTTTCCTTTAAAGAGGGACATTTTGGTGGTTTGAGCCCGTTAAGAAGCAATTTTCCAAAACCAAATTTTTCCATGTCTAACATGTTCAAAGAATAGTCACTCTGGGAAGTCAACTCTCTCTTGGGTTTCCAAGTTAATAACCACTCATTGTGACCTTGAAAGGATCAGTTTGGTGTTAAAGAAAAAGAAGAAACAGTTACCTGGGAGAGTGTTAGTTCATGGTTGCCCAGTGTAGAGCCCTTTCTACAGATCACTGGCTCCTCTCATTTAAGGACAAAGCAGGGGAGGCTGATGGGAGGCCAGGAGGCAATTTTCATGCAGCTGTTGAAGCTCTTTCTGGGGCTGACTCTTGACCTTGACCGAGACCACCTCTGGGAGCAGCTGAAAGGCTTCCCGAGATTGATGGTCCTTGGCACACTAAGTGCCTGTCTTCTTGTCCCTGTCTTTCACGTTACCTGCCCTTTATAGCAGAAAAAGGTATCTCTCATTGTGCCTGTGCTTCTTTGACCTGGTATTAGTTAGCTTGAAACAACTCAAAGAGCAAATCTGTTCATCTGGAGTTGCTCACCACAACACACCGCACCCTCATTTGATTTCAAATACCTTTGCATACGTTGTGCTCTTTGAGGCTGGATTTTCTGAGGACCTTTAGAGCTCGTTCCCTTTGTTTTTTTGGTTTGTTTCTTTGTTTCCTGCTTGAAATAACCTCTGTCAGCTCCCTTTAACAACTCCCTGGTCAGCTTCACACAGGCTCTGTTCCACGTCTGGCCTCAGTTTTGTGTGAATCTAGTAAACGTGGTGACTTGGAGACAGCTGACCCGATTCAAGTTCCGACCCTGCCACTTGTTACTGTGTGATCTTAGGCAAATTTTGTAACCTTTCTGTGCCCAGGTTCCTATCTGTAAAATGGGGAGTAATAGTAGTTCTCACCACAGAGAGAATGGAGCAAACACTGGTTTCTCCATCCTTAGTTTAAGAAATAAAATATTACAACATAGTTGAAACCTGATTGGGTTCCCTCCTGATTGTGTTTCCCACCCTGCCCCTAAATGGCAGCCACTATCCTGAATTTGGTATTTTTATTATTCTGTATCTGTTTATGCTTTTACTGTTTGTGTGATTATTGTTTTACATGGATATTGGTAAATAATAAGGCCCATGAGAGACGAGATGGAACTGTCTGAGAAGCCACGCCTGAAGGGTGTGTAGATCCCACTTTAGCAACTGTAGGTAGAGGAGAGTGCAAAGCTCTGCCATAGCTCTCATCAGGAGAGCACCAGGTTTTGGCTTTGTCCCCTTCTGTTTGGCTGCTGTCCCTCCAGGCCTGTTGATGGACCCAAGGAGCACAGCCTGGCCTCTTTGTATTGTTTTGTGCCTTCACGCAGAAAGGAATTATGCAGCCAGAAGTTTATAGCCCCAAATCACTCTCTAATCCACTCAAGTCTGTTCTTGCTTCATTTTACCAACATCTGCTTTGTTCGTTTCTAGTTTTAGGGATGTGATTAATGTTCCTCCAGCTTCTGACTCGTTGCCTTTTTTCCCCTTTCTGTCTCCCCTCTCTCCCTGGTTTGGTCTTACTTACTCTGAATACTCAGTCTTTGCATTTCCTGGAAGCAGCCCTAAAGCCTCTTCTGTGAACTGCTCACCAGCCAGATGCAGCGGGTTCCTGGGACCACCCCCTTTTTGAGCACCAGAGGGTCAACTACCGGATGTGCATGGCCTTGCCATCAACATGCACAACCAATTGTTTAGAGCATATTATTGCTGTACTATGAGTAGGGGATTTTGTGATATAGACCGTGCACAGGCAGGTAGATTACATGTGTCTGTCCCTCTTGGTCAGAGATTCAGCTTAGGATCTCCTAGTGGATGAGTCTGAGCTACTGGTTTCTGACCATTTGTCCTTCAGCAGGCCAATGACACTGTTGAGCTCAGAAGTGGGGACACTAGCTTCTCCCTGGTGGGGCTGCTTCTAGCTCTAGAGGTTTAGGTTGAATTGAAATGACACCAGTTGCTGTAGTCATTCATTTCCAGAATTCAATGCTAGAGATGACTGAATTCCTTTTGCTTCTTTAGCCCCTCTGGCCGGTCAAGCTTCACGTGAGGTGTCCCTGGTACCTCTCCCCCACACGCTGCTCTTCCTTCTGGGCTGTAGCACTTGCTGCTCTGGAGTATGTGGCAGCTGTTCCTCAGTTCTGCCCATGACCTCACTCCCTTCCCCTACCAGTCACATTTACTGACTTTGGTTTTCTGGGTGCTGATCCATCTCCTCCTGACCAAGCACGTTACAGAACTCCTGTGGGGCAATAGCTACCTTTTGTTCAGTGTGTCTGCAGAGCCATCATGATGACTCTGAGCACTGGTGGGTTGACCACCTCAGGACATTAGTTTCTCTTCCTCCTTCACCCCCGGCGGGGAGAGAAAATCTCCAAGTCTCTGTTGTAGCACTTCCACCTTATGTTGAGGTTCCTGGTCTGTATTATTCTTGATTCGTCTTTATATTTCCAGTACTTACCCCACATCTTATATATGAGAGGTTCTTATAAATAACCTCATATGAGAAAAAACTTATTAAAAAAAAGTCTAAGCTTCTTGAAGCTACAAAGCTTTAATCACAAAAAAAAGTTAAGCAAAATCTAGAGTAGGTTTGATGTGGACAAAGTAAAAGTTATTAGAGGGACTTGGAACAGAAAATGTCCAGACGAGAGGTCAGGCCACGGACTGACACAGGGGCATAAGCTGGTACACGCAGATAGAGCATGCTTCCTGAAGCTGAGGGAATTGGGAGCCAGTGCCTGACACACACGATGAGATTCGGAAGGCAGGGGTCAAACATGCAAAGATGGCAGCTCTGCAGCCAGCCCACAGAGCTAAGGGGCACCTCTCTCCAATCCTGGCAAACGCTGGCACAAGACACAACTGGATTCTTTCTGTTGCTCATGAATTTTCATGAGGCAGTTGGTGAGTTGTTCTCCAGGTCTGTGGGGGAATTAACAATTCAAAAGGTGATCTCATACTACTCAGACCCTTGTGTTTACCCCCGGGAAGATCTTCTGATCATTAACAAGGTTCACTGGACATGCTACTCTGTGTTGTGTGCCTGTTGCTTGGAGGTCCTGATGTTCAGCCATGTGGGGATGGGCTTTGGGCATCCTGTAATCTGGCAGACAATATCAGCAAGTACAAAAAGACCTGTAAGGTAATGAGTAGTAGAAATGTTAGTTGCACTTCCTCATGTGTGATACAGATAATAGAATACTAGAATTGAAATCATATAAGTAAAACATTTTTTAAAAATCTAAAAATTTATATGTAGAGAAGGTACTTTTGGAAGCATGGCCTTTGGAGAAGATGCCATTGATTTTGGAGCCAAGA
The DNA here is from genome assembly GCF_000001405.40 of Homo sapiens. NCBI lineage: Eukaryota > Metazoa > Chordata > Mammalia > Primates > Hominidae > Homo > Homo sapiens. The sequence continues at coordinate 237,882 of NW_011332687.1, forward strand.
GACCTGGGTTAAAGTCCCAAGTGTGGATTGACTCTGAGGCTTGTGAAGGTCACTTAATCCTAATCAATCTTTGCTTTCTAATATGATATATGGGGGCAATACTTGTGGGATAGGGTAGTAAAAATTAACAGTGGGATAATATACATGAAAGTGCATTCATTCTTTCATTCCATTCATTTGTTCAGCAAATACTCATTGCTTGTTTTGTGTTATGTGCCAGGCACTGGTTGGTGCTAAGGAGATGAAATTAAAGAAGAAAGCTGTGATCATTGCCCTTCCGATCTTATAGATAACTAGACTATACAGAAAGCTGAACCACATTATGTACTTGGAAAGTACCATGTGACTATTTTAGCTGGGGCAGTTAGAAAAACTTTAAGAAATATGGCACTTAGATGGGTAATGGCACTTTAAGGGTAACTCTACCCTTAAGGGTAGAGTTTTGACAGACAAAATGGAGGAAGGGGACCTCTAGGCAGAGAAATTGAGTGTGAGCAAAGAGAAAGTGAAGGGAATAATTGGATAAAATGAGTGGTTCAATGAGGACAGGAATGTCAGGGCAGGAAAAATAGATTGGGCTTGGCCTTGGCTTCTCCTTCCCATTCCCTCCACCTTTCAGCGTGAGATTTTTAGCCGCTCATTTGTGGAATAGAGCTGAGAGGAGGGTGATCAGCCACATGGGATCCAATCACTAGCTTCTTCATTTTTAGTTAAAATTATGACAAGGCAAGATTAAACACAAAGAAGGGCTGGGTAGGTATGTATGTCAATCTGGGAAGGACTAAATTCTAGGGGAGCTAGTTGGGATCTTTTCTCTAGCCCTCCTAGAAGTCTTGTAGAATTTGACATTCATCTCCTTTTGTCTTGAAAATCTGTGCCATTTATAGTTTTCAGGGGGAGAAGCTAAATTCTGTTTTTGATGAGCTGAGTTTAAGATGGCCCGTTTGGAAGTGGCCCGTTGTTAGGCAGAATTAACTACACATTTAGTAACTTCAAGGCAGTACCTAACCTAGTGCTAGGACTTCTTTCTCTCCTTTTTACCAATGTTCTTGATACTGGGAATACAAGGTCCCAAACCTACAGAAGACTCGTTGATTTGGTGGCAGGTCTGAACTTCAGTAGAGACTTAAAAATCCTCAGAGCTGACTGTATACACTTCCCGGAAGTACTGTGATACAGTTCGTCTTCCTACTGCGGTATAAGGTGAATTATTCATTCAGTTACTTCTTAAGGAAATGCTTATCAAACATCAACCATATGGCAGATATTAAGTGCTGGGAATGCAAGAGGTATAAGACACCACTCCTGATCTTAAGGAACCTACGGTCTTAAGCTGTACACACATGTGTACAACTGTGGTCTGATAGGATAAGGACAGACAGATCATAAGAAGGAAGTATGATGAGAGAGGACAGATCATAAGGGAGTATGATGAGAGCCCAAGAGGAAGCAGGGTGGCTGCATAGCTGACCTCTTCACCCCCTTCAAGTTTTTGCTCAAATGTTCTCATTTGGATGAAGACCACCCCAACTCTCCTTTTAAAAAGGGCAGCATCTGCCACCTCAACAGTTCTGAGCTCCCTCACCCTGTTCTACAGTTTTGCTTTTTCCATTGCATTTATTGTCCTCTGTCCCAGTTGGCTGTCGCTGAATAACAAACCATCTACAAACTTACTAGCTTAAAACAATGATTGCCTCTGTCTCCCTGTTCTGTTGGTTGACTGTACTTGGCTGGGTAGTTCTTGCTTGGGATCTCTCCTATAGTTGCAGTCAGACATCAGCCAGGGTTGCCATCTTTCAAAGGTGTAACTGGGCGGGATGTCCAAGAGGTTTTCTCACATGGCTGGCTATTGAGGCTGCTGTCAGCTGGGAGCTCAGCTGATGCTGTTCACCAGAACATCTTCATGTGGCCACTCCGTGTGGCTTGGGCTTCTTTATATGACAACTGGGTTCTAAGAGATAGTGTTCAAAGATTGAGCATTCCAAGGGGTAGGAAGTGGAAGGTGCCAGGCCAATGGCAGACCACCTTTGGAATTAGGACAGCATCACTTCTTCTATATCTATTGGTCCTAGGACCTGCCCAGATTTACTCTTGCTGGGGGAGTGGCAAGGTCACATTGCAGAAGACCATATGGGATGAAAGATACAGTTGCAGCCATTGTTGGGAAGTCATTCTGTCATACTTCCTAAGTTAATATAAAGTTTATTTTTATGCCTATTTTTTGTTGACTCTTGCTAGGGTATAAGCCCCATGAAAGCAGGTGTACCCACTGATGCATTCCAAGCACCTAGAACCATGCTTGGCACGTATGTACACAATGAATGTTTGTTAAATGTTCAATGAATGGTGTCTGTTCCTCTGCGTTTAGGTTGTTGCCTGTCCTCGGGGTGTGGGTATTAATCTCATTCCTAATTTACATTCTTTTCTCTTTTAACAGACCGTAACACTCTATAAGGGCTGTTAGCATGCCTTTTTATTCACCACCATATTGCTCAGTGCCTGGCAAGGAGCTGATGTTCAATAACTGTATGTTAAGTGAATGAGATGAGACCATATTTGAGCTGGGATCTGAAGGATACATAGTATTTTGCCAAGAAAAGAAGGAGGGGTAGAGCACAAAGGCAGAAGAAAATACTGTGTGGTAAAAGAGAAGGATAAATGAGACTGCAGTGAAACTATGAGTCCCCTGAAGCTAGGTCCCACCCGATTTGACCTCTAGTCTATTTCTCATAGGACATAACTGGTGATTCCATTTGCCGTACCCTCTGCACATGCTTGTTGAATGAATGAATGTCAAAAGAGTGTGTAATACATGAACTCATATATGGCTTTTTTTGTGGGGAAGCAGTTGGGTTAGATAAAATCAATAATAACTCTTGCTAATTGAGAAAATCTTATACATACAAACCCAGAAATATTTGTTAAAGTATTGAAAAATAGTAAAATGTAATATTTTTGAGCATAACAAAAGCTAGTTCAATTTGTCACATAACTTGCAATCAGAGTAGAGTCATTTATAGTCTTATGTTGCCTTCCTGCCCATTGTATGCCCAAGAGAATGCGGCAAAATATTTAGGGTCAACCCTGAAACTTAGACCAAATCTTAAAAGGGAAAGAGACTAATTTTTAGGTCAAGGGGAAAGAAGAATGAGCCATGCATTTTTCTTTTTTCTTTTTTGAGACAGAGTCTCACCCTGTCACCAGGCTGGAGTGCAGTGGCATGATCTTGGCTCGCTGCAATCTCTGCCTCCCAGGTTCAAGCGATTCCCCTGCCTCAGCCTCCTGAGTAGCTGGGACTAGAAGCGTGCACCACCATGCCCGACAAATTTTTTGTGTTTACTTAGTAGAGTTGGGGCTTCACCATGTTGGCCAGGATGGTCTCGATCTCCTGGCCTTTTGTGATCTGCCTGCCTCAGCCTCCCAAAGTGCTGGGACTACAGGCGTGAGCCACCGTGCCTGGCTGAGCCATGCATTTTTCAAAGGGATAATGAAAATCAACAGCAAGACAGCAGAGTAGTGAAATCCATGGTACAAACACAATTTTTAAAGAAAATTAACACAAATTACTATTTGTAATTTAATCTTTAAATTTAATAATGCTTTAAAAATCTTGTGTCTTTTCTATAAGCTTGTAAACCAGATATTAAAATTTCAAGGAAAAAAAATCTATTTAAGCCTTTCATATCTTAAGCCGTAAGAAATATTCAGTGACAGGAAAATAGAGCACTTGTATGACTTCTTGTGCTTTCCATTCACATAGTGGTTTAAAAAAACCCCAAAATCAAGCCCAATTACCTTATCTTTAATTATATTTAGCAGTAGAGTTTATTAATCGTCTATGCAAAATCAATCTTTTCCTTTGCCCAGTTCTGTATGAAAGTACTAACAAATAGTGAATATTTTGTGCAAATAATGACTCATAAAAATGTAGACTCAGCCATAGATTTTAATTTATATGCCTTGAATCTGACAACTGTACAAAAATAATGTGAAAAATAAAGCAATACTTGAGACATGAAGCAACCCATTTTTCCTGATTTGGCATCCTGTTAGCAGGGAGAAGTCTGTGGTGCTTCATATAGGCAAGAGCTTGGCACGGCCTTAACCATGCATAGTCTTCCATAGGTCCATTGATACCTTCAGTTCTTCAGGTGGATCATTTTCAGCTCTGGAAGCATTGTGCGCTTTAATCAGTCATTCTTACTTTTATGTCCTGCCATCTCTAGTTGTGGAATTTTTCTGGCTAGAGCCTAGTGGTTCATTTTGCATGAGTTGCGAGCCTCCCTCATTGCCATCTCAGCCAGTGAAACTGATTTATCACCCAGAGTGATCACATGCCCTTCAAGTATTTTATGATAGTATTCACATGTATATATATTCACACACACACACAAATCAGATTTTTTCCTGACTCTTTATCAGGCACGTCCAAGAATGCTGAAAGTTTATTCCTAGCCCTTCCAGCAGGTATGACTGTAGTCTGATTTCCAAAAGTCTGAAGAACCTGTTTGATCACTTCTGAATGGGAACAAGACGCAGCGGTTCCTGGGGGTTTCTCCTTGTAGGATGTATGGCTTTCACATTTGAACCACCATCTGCCATCACCCAAACTGTATATTCAGAAAGTGGCTTATGTTTTTCCTCTGGCACCAGGGTTACCATTTATAGCCACACACTCGATAATGGTGACATTCTTTCAAAGATCCTAGTGTAGCATCAAGGAGGTCAGACAGTGGTATTTTCTGCTAGTACCTCTCTGAAGCTTGGTTATTTCCTTCAGAATATCCCAGAAGATAACCTGGTCTGCCACATCGACATGTCCTGCAGTAATTTTCTGCACAGTGGGGCGGGCAATCTTGAGGTGAGAGAGCATGTGGCCATTTATCGTCTCCCCTGGAGGTTCCTTCTAGGCTTGGCCTGTGGCCTTCTTGTGGGCACTGCTGTGGCAGACCCACTGCCTCCTTACCCCACTAGACCTCAGGCCTTCATGTGAGTTTTCCTTTTTTTTTTTTTTTTAAAGAGCTTTATTGGAAGATAGCTCACATACCATAAAATCCACCCATTTAAAGTGTACAGTTCAGTGACTTTTAGTATATCTACAGATATGATTCACCTATCACCACCACCAGTTTTAGAATATTTTCATTGCCTTCAAAAGAAACCCCACCTTTTATTCATTGCTGCCCTCTCTCCCCAAGAAACCACTAGTCTACTTTGTCTCTATAGATTTCCCTATTCTGGGCTTTCATATGAATGGAATAATACAATATGTGGTATTTTGTGACTGGCTTGTTTCACTTAGCTTCATGTTTTCAGGGTTCATCCACATTTGGCATTTATCAGTATTTCATTCCTTTTTATGGTCTATTGTATGGACAGACCACATTGTGTCTATCCATGCATTTGTTGACAGATGTTTAGGTGGTCTCCTCTTTTGGCTATTGTGAATAATGCTGCTGTGTACATCGGGGTACAAGTTTTTGTGTGAACATATGTTTTGTGTGAACATTTCATTTCTCTTGGTTATATGACAAGGAGTGGAATTGCTGGATCATATGTAACTCTGCTTAATCATTTGGGGAACCACCAGACTGTTTTCCAAAGCAGCTGCCTCGCTCTACACTCTCAGCAGCTGTGCCTGGTGGTTCCAGTTTCTCCAGATCTTCATCAACACTTGCTGATCTGACTTTTCGATTCTAGTTATCCTAATGGGTGCAGACTCATGTAGATTTTCTTTTTTAACTGTTAAATTTTGTGGGTGCATAGTAGATGTGTATATGTATGAGGTGTGTGAGATACAGCAAACAGGCATACGATGCATAATAATTGATACAGGCATTCAGTGTGTAATAATCACATCAGGGTAAATAGGGTATCTGATACCTCAAGCGTTTATCTTTTGTGTTACAAATAACCCAATTGTATTCTTCTAGTTATTTTAAAATGTGTATTTAATTATTGACTAAAGTTACCCTGTTATTCGGTCAAATACTAGAACTTATTCTTTTTTTTTTTGTACCCATTATCATGTAGGTTTTAAAAGATTTTGGGAAGGATTTTCCCCTTCGTAATAGTTTTTTAATGCAATGTACACATTTTGGGCATTCTCTTTCCTAGCATCTGTAAAAGCATGACTCCTAAGAGGTCCTCTTGCCTGTCACAATAATGAAATTTCATTGTTTGTTAACCAAAAAATTTCATTGAATAAAACCAGTGTGGAATACTTTTGTGAAATGTGCGAGTTGAAGGGAGGAAGGGGTGTGGGGAGAAGCGGGGCAGTTGGCATAGCTCCTGGGGTGTTGGTCTCCTCCAGGAAACTGCTGTGATTCTCTTCCATGTGTCTGACTGGTCTGTTTGCCTTTCAGGAGGACTGGCGTTAGCCCAGGTGCTCTTTTTCTACGTGAAGTACTTGGTGCTCTTTGGCGTGCCTGCTCTGCTCATGCGCCTGGATGGACTCACTCCACCCGCCCTCCCCCGCTGCGTGAGCACCATGTTCAGTTTCACCGGGATGTGGAGGTCAGGCGCTGGGATTGCTAAAGTTGGTCAGGCATGTCCAGTGGGAGGAGCATGGCTGGGCCGGCCTCAAAGGGTTCGGGCTACTATCCTCTCCCTGTCTCTCACTCAAGCTGCATTTGGCATCCATTTCTTCATCCTACTAACAGGATGACTAATCCATGCTTTCTGGGTCTCTCACAATTATGATTAGTCTGTGTAGATAGGTGAGATAAGAAAGTTTCTTTCTGAGTCTGTGTACCGATGCACAAAGGGTTATGTTTGAAGTGGTTTCTTACTAACCTGGGAAAGGCTACTGTATCTTGATTTATTTAATTGCTTTCTCTTTTTCTTGAAAATGACATCAGTGTATGTGAGACTGTTAAGAAAAATAGACTCAGGATAGGAGGTTAGGCCAGTGTTGCAGTATACTATTTACTAAATCTAAGTTTCATTTTTCTTATCTCTTAAACAGTAGTAAAGATAATCCCTGTCTCCAGGAGTTGTTTTGAAGATTAAATAACCTAATGCATGTAGAGCAGGTGGTATATAATAGATGTTTACAAATGTTAGCTTTAACACTTGTGTTATTCCTATGCTCTGTGGACATGATAGATACTTTTTTCTGAAATTTTCTTTCTTTTCTAGATTTTGACCCATAGTCTTATGGTTGGTGTGGAGTCTCTTTTCCTTAGTCCCCCTGCCATTTCAGATTGTTGTTTTCTACGTGATGGACTTGTTGCTGTGTTCCTCTTATCGCTTCCAGAGTGTAACAAGTGACAGGATTGAGTTTGCAATTGAAAACCTAATGGAAGAACCTCAGGGTCAGCACTGGCACAACCATAGGAGTCGGTGCCTTATTCATGTGGCTCATTCCTTTTTATTTTTTAATTTTTGAGACAAGTTCTCACTATGTTTCCCAGGCTAGTCTCAAACTCTGGGCTAGATCCTTCCGCCTCAGCCCCCCAGTAGTTGGGATCACAGGCTTATTCATTCTTAAATTTCATCTCTATAGGCAAAAAAACCAAGACACAGGTAGGGGAAGAGCTCAATAAATACTGCCATATCTAATGTTGCCATTCAAAAGGAGGTAGTTAGCACTCAACATCCTGATTTTTCATAGTAACTTATTACAGATGCTGAATTTATCAAAGCCTCTCTAAATACATTTTATTTTTGGTCTAGTTTGCTTCTTGGAGTAAGAAATTTCATATGGTTATTGCAAGGAATTGCAAGGAATGAATTGCAAGGAATTGCAAGGAATGAATTGCAAGGAATTGCAAGGAATGAATTGCAAGGAATTGCAAGGAATGAATTGCAAGGAATTGCAAGGAATGAATTGCAAGGAATTGCAAGGAATGAATTGCAAGGAATTGCAAGGAATGAATTGCAAGGAATTGCAAGGAATGAATTGCAAGGAATTGCAAGGAATGAATTGCAAGGAATTGCAAGGAATGAATTGCAAGGAATTGCAAGGAATCGCAAGGAATCGCAAGGAATGAATTGCAAGGAATCGCAAGGAATTGCAAGGAATTGCAATTGCAAGGAATTGCAAGGAATTCAAGGAAGGAATTGCAAGGTTTCTTTTTGAAAGAAACCCTTCAAAAGGTGGGGTTTCTTTTGAAGGTAATGACATTGCAAGGAATGTTGAGTAGTTACTCTGATTTGTCCTTACTTCATCAAATATCACACGTTGCCCTGTTTTCATGGCAAGATTGCGGAATGTTGGCAAAGAGGTGCTCTCTAACTAGAAGGCCAGGGAGTGGTTTTTGTTGAAAAGGTGACCCTGGTTGGAAGGTTCTGTTAACTTTTGATTTACTCATCAAAGTCACTTACTGAGTCAATGGGTTGGGACCCAGCATGATTTGGGAACATGTCACAAGTGTCTGGTGTGAACCTTGCACAGTCCCTCTGCCTACTCAGTGTGAATGCTTGTACTCTTGCATTTCTTGGGAAGCACATACCCCTAAAAGGCTTCTCCCATATTGGCTGGCATGATAAAACCATAACTCCCTGGCACACATGCTGGTTTCTGGGTCCATGTCCATAAATACCAACCCACTGTGTCACCAGAGGCAGTTTCGGCAGTTGACTATATTTCATATTCAAAATGATTGTCTTGTCCTTTATTTTAATAATTTTTTTTTTGTCCAAGGAAGACCTTCAGTTCTATATCAACCACAGAGGTGGAGAGAACATGTCTGTCAAGACCTTTGTCACTGTCTTGATTAGAACTAGACTCATATAGTTGAGACCCCAGGCTGCTGAAACAGTCTCTCCTCTCCCTCATTTAAGACAAATGTGGACAAAAGAGTAGTAATGAAAAGTTAATCTGAGGAGGAAGCTCTGGGGTGACCCCTTGGAATGATGTCGTTCTAAAAAGAGGTGTTTCTGAGGGCATGTGACAAAGTAACAAAGAGGGCCTTTCCTGGGAGTGACCTAGACTTTTATCCTAGCTTCTTTAGCATGCATAGGTGTAGGTTTTCCACTCCACATTTTTAGGTTTCTTGAAGGATTTTCCAGGCTACTAATTATACTTAGAAACACACAGGTCTTTGTACAGAATGGCCATTCCATACTAAGTAGTTAAATTTAGGTATGGAGATGAACTTTTTCTGAGGCAGTGTACAATGTAAGACTCAGAAGTAGTTTTTTAATTGAAAAAAAAGAATAACAATTAGAGTGTCTCTTTTGTGTGATTTGCAGATGCTCCTTTACTAGTAGGAGGAGGTTGACCATGTTTCATGTTCAGTATCTGGTGGCATAACCCTGACACTGGTCCTGGTCTCATTCTCTAACTTTTCTCTTTAAGAATGCTTGTTAAAGGAAACTAGGTTTTGAATTTGTAATTTCTATTAACAGCTAACCTTACTTTTTCTGGGCCATCTGTTGAAGTATTGCTGCAGACAGGGAATGGCTCTCTTCCTAGATTTAGGTTTGAGACAAATTTAATCATGAGCAGATGTGAATGCTGGTGATGCAAATTATTCTGCTGGGTCATGTCAGCTATTCACATGGTGACATAAAGGGCATGGTGGATGGGAAGTGGAGGGAAGAAATGTGAAAACAATCTCCAGAGATGACTTAATGCTTACCTGAACTTCTCAAAGATCTACGCTGAATGAGGTTTAGAACTGCTGATAGAGGAATATTTAGCCACCCCCCATTTTAATGGAGCCATACCCTCCTGAACACCATGTTGACTGATTGCATCATCTTTCAGCCTACTTAGCATTGAGAGACTTGAAGTCAGCAGCCTGCCGTATCAGAGGAATATGAGCTCTACAGAGAACAGATAAAATTGGCCATTACCAGAGAGAAAATCTTCCTTGCCATGCTAGTTCAAATTGACTGTGAAAAATTGCAATTCACCAAGAAGGCCCAAACCTGAAAGTTAGAACCTGATGGGTTTGTTTTTCTTTCCTCTTAAATCTTCTTTTTCATATAATTTCTGCTCAGATTATTTACAGATATAACAAGACTCCAAGGAGTACGTGTATTCCCGCTTGCATGATTTTTCTGGGGTCTTATGGACCTGAGAAATTGATAATTTTCTGCTTAATTTTTGGATTTCACGTTTTAATTTAGATGGGCTGAGATCTGTAATGAGCATTTTTTGCCAGGAGTCATTAAAGATGACGTTGTATGTCTAAGACTCCAAATTAGAGACCTGATCCTATTTTCGTGATTTGATTTCTAGCTATGGAAGCAAAGCGATAGAATTTCCCATGGTGGCTGGTGAGTTGTGGGTCAGTTTCAATTATTTCAGGAATCCTGCACAGCTTGCCCTCTGCATTTCTTGAATTATGATGCTTTCAGGTGTTCAGAGGCAAACTCATGCATGATTGCTTATCCCAGGGGGATCTGGGTGCTGTTGGTGGCTGCTAGACCTTAATATATAGGAGTATCTTTAGGCTGAGAATGAGGAGGAATCTGAGCACCTTCTTTTAGTGAGGCATTGATTGCATGGGCTTTTAGGTCAATAGAATAATTTAGGTCCCTAGGTAGAGAGTTGGTTCAGCATGTTAGATGATAAATCAGTTCTACAAACTGCTGGCTTTGCATTAGTACTGCCTTTGAATCATGCTTAACCACCAGTTGCAGGACAGGATGGTGGTCCTGGAGTTGGTGAAGTATATTATCATGTCTACTGGGATTGTTGGGTAGAAGGCTGGAATAGGGTGAGCATAAAGAAGAAAAGGTCAAATAGGTGCTGTTAATAAAATACTGCTTTTTTTTTGGCAGCAGTCTAGTGACTAAGCGCTGGCTACCTACTAGTTATGTGACTTTGGACAAATAATTTAAATTCTCTGGGCCAATCTTTTAATCTCTGAGGAGAATACTACTACTTTGCCTCATAGGGGTGCTATGAGGATTGAGCGAGCCTGGCGTATAGTAGGTCCTCAGGAAGTGGTAGTTTCTTAGTACTTTTTCTTTGCTTGAAAATCAAACAAAGCCAGAGGTGACTGAGAGGTCCTCCTGCTAATGGGCCGGGTAGGGAGGAAGTGAGCAGTGATGGGACTGGCTGATGAAAGGCTCAATTTCAGCTCTGCACCGGAGATGTGATGATTCTGAGATAGAGACTATGGTGGAAGCAGTATGGGCTGGACCTTCAGAGGAGTGGCCTTGGTCTTGTCATTTTTGTCTGTTTCCTTATGTGAGAGGAGGACTGAGGTGTTAGATGAAAACTAGGAACACCATCTTGTCACTAGATGATGCCTGTGTTCCCCTCTACTTGTCTGTTAGCCCCAGCCACATTGAAGGGAGATGACCACCAGGATCCCTGTGCTAAAGTACATCCACCCCGACAAATCTCCTTATTCCTCAGTTTCTTGAGGCATTAAAATGGGGCTGATCATAGTACTCATCTCACTGGATTGTTGTAAGGGTTAGGTAAGATCATGTACTAAAGCACTGGATACACGGCAGGCATGCTGCAGAGATACCAAAATATAAATGATTAACTGATCATTACATAATTATATAAATAATGATTAATAATCATTACAAATAGAGTAAAATTTATGCCATTTGTTCGTTTGTGGTTTTATTTATGAGACAGTGTCTCGCTCTGTCACCCAGGCTGGAATGCAGTTTTGTGATTATAGCTCATAGTGGCCTCTACCTCCTGGGCTCAGGTGATCCTCCTGCCTCAGCTTCCCAAGTAGCTGTGACCAGAGGCACACACCACCATACACAGCCAATTTTTTTTTTTAAAGTTCTGGGATACATGTGCTGAATGTGCAGGTTTGTTATATAGGTATACATGTACCATGGTGGTTTGCTGCAACTATCAACCCGACTTCTAGGTTTTAAGTTCCGCATGCATTAGGTATTTGTCCTAATGCACTCCCTCCTTTTCTCCCCACACCTGGCTAATTTTTAAATTTTTTGTAGAGGAAGGGTCTCTACTGTTTTGGCCAGACTGGTCTTGAACTCCTGGCCTCAAGCAATCCTCTCACCTTGGCCTCCCAAAGTGCTGGGATTACAGGCATGAGACACTGTGCCCAGACCCACCATTTGTTTGTTTTTTAATTTCTCAGAAAAGAAAGACCCGATAGGGTGCTAAGTGTTGAAGTAGATGGAAGGTAGAAGAGGTGAGTGACAAAAGGTGAAAGACGGATTTCAAATTAGACGCATGGGAGTCCCCTGAATCTGCCCCAGTATGACCTCTCCCTCACTGCTCACAGAGCTCTTATTCGTTCATATAGCTTTGCAAGCAGTTTCCAGCCACTAGACATTTATATTACCTCACATTTTAGGTACCTACCTTAGTCAATCCCCCTCTCTCATAGTCCCATCTCAACAAACTCAAAAGATATTTTCTTTCTTGTAACATTCATATTTTAAAATCCCCTTTCCTTTTCCTTCAAACATAGACTTCCATAGATCAAAGTGGAAAGGGACTATCAAGTTAAAGCAAATTTTACGAACCATCATTATGTTTCGCTTCCTGGATTTATTTTTGCTTCACAGATAGTGTGTCCTCTTCTCCATTTTCTCCCTGTGTGGAAGATTTTTTTTGGGTGCCTTTACTATTGACAAGCTCTTGGATGAGTTTTAGAGTAAGAAGCAATCTGATGTAAGAAGCACCAGACATTTTCAGATGGAAGATGTTGATCACCAGTCACCAGAACATAGTGTTTGAGGCCACAGATCTAGAGCCTGAACTGCCTGGGTTTGAATCCTGGCTCCACTACTTACTAGCTGATGACCTCTCTGTGCCTTCGTTTCCTTCTCTGTAAGATGGAGATACTATAAATGGTATCCAATTCCTAATGGAGCTGGAACCCTGTACCTTTCATGGTAATAGTCACACTCTACTTGGTTGCAACCCATCAGCATATAAGCCCTTTGAAGGCAGTGATCATGTCTTATTCTTGTTTAATGCTGTAACCGTAGCACCCTCCTCAGTGCCCAGCATTCAGTGGAAAGCTATGCTGAATGGACAGGTGGTCACTCTTCTGAAATTTTGATCACCAGGTCTTAAGAGCAAGATTTCCAAGTATTTAGGTCTGGCAGCTGAGCGGCTTCTCTCTGCAGCATGTGGTGACATGTGGCTGTAGGTGTACTGTACCATGACTGCTTGTTGATACTCCACTGTCATCTCCCTGTTTTTCTCATTAAGTATTAATACGTGACATGCCAACATATCACATCTGCCGCAATTTATTTGAGAATGGCTTTGCCTTGTAAGGAATCTAGAAAGAAGAGTGTTTGCCTTTCTTACTTTATGACTGTCATTATTTTATCAGATGTTGTGCCACATCCTAGATAAGAGATGAGGGAGAAAGTTACAAATGTAAAGGAAGAAAAAGGGATTCAATTCAGACTTGGCTAGGAGAGAGGAGTTTGGCAACTGTTTATCTTTGGGGGTAGGATTTTTCTGAGGGGGGTGCTGAAAGGAGATATCCTAATGCCTTACAGAGGAAGATGAGGAACTGGATGCAAGGCTGGGAGAGAAGCCCTTCTAAAACACATCCTCAGAATAGCCCAAACTCTAGTAATAATAATCGTAATAATAACAGCAATAGCAGCAGCAGCAGCGCGAAGAACACATAATGCTTACGTTCTGCCAGGACAGTTATTTTTAAACAATGTTTTAAATTCATTTAAAATAACATTAAGCCCATTAGATGTTAATATAACATTTTTTTCTGAAAAAGTAACTGTTTTCCAATATCAAATAATTTAGTGAGAAGTTTTTTGCAGATTTAAACAAAATTCTCCTAGCAATTTTCAATGCATTGTTGTTTACTTTAGTCACCGTATTATATGACAGATCTCTTGAATTTACTCCTTCTAACTGAAATTTTGTATCCTATGAAGTAGTTACTGTAATTACAGATAATCCGGGGAAATGGACAAATATTAAGAACAAGTCTAATTCATCTAAAATATTCACCACCTTTGGAAAGTAAAATTATCTGATCCTGTAATAAGATCAGATAACATCTCAAAATCAATTAGAAGGTACTTGAGCTATTACAGCTTTGAAAATGTCTGTCCCTGTGTTTGTGCACGCACACACACTCAAGTATAATTTATTCAGAAAAAAAATCCTCCCACACGGCTTGTTCCCACTTCTGCAAGGACAGTTCTAATTTCTTTTATATATTCAATGTATTTAATCTTTACAAAACCCCTGTGAAGTAGATACTATTATTTTTGCCACTCTACAGGTGATGAAACTGAGGCATAGAGAAGTGGAGTAACTCTCCTCAGATCACACAGCAAGTGAGTGGTGGAGCTGCGATTTGAATCCAAGCACATGGCTCTTGAGTCTGTGCTCTTGATCACTCCCTTCTACTGTCTCTCTAGTGAAATGGAACTGAAGCAGATTTCTCCTTCGTGATCTGGAGTATGGGGCTTGTGGGACAGGATCTGGAATTTCGGGGTACCTGAGAATGACTATGGCTTACATACTGACCCCTAGAAAGGGAAATGGTTCAGGGAGTGATGGGAATGGTTCAGTCTGTGTCACAGTTGATGAAAATAAACTCTGTAAAATATTTAAAGAGGTTTATTCTGAGCCAAATATGAATGACCAACACCCAAGACACAGTCTCAAGAGGTCCTGAGAACCTGTGTTCATTAGGTTATAGCTTGGTTTTATACCTCAAGGAGATATAACACATCAATGAATGCACATGAGTTATACATTGGTTTGGTCTGGAAAGGCAGGACAACTTGAAGTGGGGGCTTACAGGTCATAGGTGGATTTCAAGATTTTCTGATTAACTATTGGGAAAAGAGTTATTATCTAAAGACCTAGAATCGATAGAAAGGAATGTCTGGGTTAAGAGAAGGGGTTGTAGAGACCAAGGTTCTTATTATGTAGATGAAGTGGCTGCTCTTAGAGGCAATAGATGGCAAATATATCCTCTTCAGACCTTTAAAAGGTGCTCAACTCTCAGCCAATCTCTTCAAGATCAGAAAAGGACCTGGAAAGGGAAGGGGATTCTCTACAGAATGTAAATTTCCCCTGCAAGAGACAGCTTTGCAGGGTCATTTCAAAATATGTCAAAGAGATACATTTTAGGGTAAAATACTTTAATTTCTTTCAGGGCCTGCTATCTGTCATGTAATGCTATACTAGAGTCAGGTTGGAATTTGGTATCTTATTGCCACAAAGCGTCTGTTTTGTCTTAAGATCTCTGTTTTAAGGTTAATGCTGGTCACTTGTGCCTGAATTTTGAAGGGAAGAGAGTATAATGAGGCATGTTCAACCCCTTCTTCCCATGATGGCCTGAACTAGTTTTTCAGGTCTACTTTTGAATCCCCTTAGCCAAGAGGAGGGGTCCATTCAGTTGATTGGGGGGCTCAGAGTTTTGTTTTCAGTTTACAGCACCGAGGGGGACGGGATGGGGAGAAAGGGAGTCACCAGTTTAACCTGAGTCACTGACTGGGTGAATGGTGTGGGGCCACTGGGGGCTTCTGTTCTTACCTTACATCCTTGTGTTACAAAGAGCAATCCAGAAACAGCTGCCCTGATGGAGGAAGGAAGTGGAGGCTTTACCTGCTGCCCACAAAGACTTAATTTGACTTAATTTCTCCTGCCATTGTCTCCTCCTGCATCTCCTTTCCCACAGCCACCTTGATGACTGTCCTCTTCTTCTCTTCCTTTATCTCAGTTCATGCTGGGTCAGGTCCTCCTTGCTAATGAAAAAAGAGAATTGTCTGTCCTACATCTGCTGGTCTTCAAGCTTCTGGGTCTGCTAGCTCTACCTTATTTCTAATTCAGACATCCCTTCAGCAAAGTCGTGTTGCTTTTTGCCCCACCTCAGTTCTGAGGACTGAGTGCAACCTTCTGTTTCTCTGAAATATTTACAGAATATTTGGATATGTCAATTTCACATTTATATGCAATTAAGTCTCATTCTTTTCCTGTATAATTTCTGCCTTTAGTCATCAGCTGAGACTTCATCTTCTACACTCCATCTAAAATTTATTTTTACGTAGGGCAGAAATTCCTAATTTGGGGATCCACAAGCCACTGAATCAGTTTTTCTTTAGCTTTTAGAAAGACCACCCCCCATAGAATCCCTGCCTCCTAGCATGGGGGCTGGCACATAGTAGGCACTTAACAAACCGATATTTTCTAAGTGAAAGAATGCATGATCCTTCACTATTCCCACTCCTTTGAGGAAGAGATAAATAATAATTATTTATTTTCTGAGACAGGCTCTCGCTCTGTTGCCGAGGCTAGATTGCAGTGGCGCCATCACGGCTCACTGCAACCGCCACCTTCTGGGCTCAGGTGGTCTTCCTGCCTCAGCCGCCTGAGTAGCTGGGACTATAGATGTGCACCACCATGCTTGGCATATTGAATTTTTGAAATATAGGTTTAACTTAATTTTTTATTTCCAGTGGTTAACCTACCAGCCTAAGTGCCTTTATGGTGATCATAAAATGCTGTCTTTTGCCATAGTCTGTATTTCCTATGTTGACCTGAGACTTCCTGGGCCCATCCTCCAGCGGCATGCATTCCAGGTTCTGTGTTTCTTTAAAATGTAAATGTTGCCATTTTTGTGTGTATTGAAAGACTCAGCATTAGAATCCAAGAAGGAGGTTGTGTTTCTTTATTGAGTCTAGTGGATAAGAGTGAGTCTGACGAGGAGGGAAATGTGGTGAACTTGCCTGGTTGGAGTCCACACTTCTTTTCTTCCTAACTTGGCCTCACCTCAGGTGTTTTTTTTTTTTTCCGTTTTTTTTGTTTGTTTGTTTGTTTGTTTTTGAGACAGGGTCTTGCTCTGTCACTAAGGTTGGAGTGCAGTGGCTCAATCAGGGATTACTGCAGCCTCAACTTCCCAGGCTCAAGTGATCATCCTGCCTCAGTCCCCCAAGTAGTTGGGACTACAGGTGTGGGCCACCACAACTAGCTATTTTTTTTGTTTTTTTTTAATTTTAGTAGAGATGAGGTCTCGCTATGCTGCCCACACTGGTCTCGAACTCCTGAGTGCAAGCGATCCACCTGCCTTAGCCTCCCAAAGTGTTGGGATTACAGGTGTGAGCCACTGTGCCGAGCTCACCCCAGTTCTTATTAACTAGGCAGACCCTTTTGAGTCCTGGCCAGGCCCTGGCAAGGCTGTGTACTTTGTGTTAGGCTTACCTTGCCATCCATCATGCTGTACCTTATCCTGGTTTTCTGGCCTTCATCCCTCTACCTTTAATGCAGGAACTTCTGGATCTCTTCTTGCACAGGGGTTGCTGAGGAAGACTTAGCAGTGCCAGCCAAGCCTCCTCCTTCACTCTGCCTAACTACATTTATTGTGATATGATCACCCTGTGTTTTTGTGGGATGCATCTTGCAAGAGTGGTTTATCAGAGTCCTAACCAGGAAGTAAAGCCAGAGCCTCTCTGATTGGGTTTTTACCTCCACCTACATGACAGACTTCCCTTTCAGGATGCCATGGGGTGACCTGAGGGCAGGGGAAGCTAGAACATGGGACTGAATAATTTCATCCTCTTCTTTCTCTTTCTTTTTCTTCCCATGGTTCACTGTGTCACAAGGGATTGGTTTTTTGTTTCATCTTCCTATTCTCTCTTGATGACATATTCTTCTTTAGGGAAGGAAGCCTTGTGGCCCAGCCCTTGTAGGGCGAATGGCGTATTCTTTTTGTAATATGGAGGAAAATAAGTTTTGACTCATTAGATTTGATTCTGAATTTGTGAGCAGCCAGACAACCACTAGGAATGAGGGATTGCTGAGAACAAAATTCATTGTTTTAGTTAAAAAAAAATCCCTGTTAGGATTAACTTATTTATTCTTGTGTAATTATATTGTTAAGTAAGGATTTAGATATTATCATCAATGAGAATCAGAGACACTGATATGTCCCAGATCACAGAGCTGGTATGTGCTAACTGCATTTAAATCCTAATCCTCTTAATAAGGTTTTGAACCATAAGTGTGTTTGCTCATAGAGGAGCATGTGAAAATTTGCGTATTCTGTAGCACTGTGGGTGAATAGGTTTTTTCTTCCTGTTAGACCAAGAAGAAAGGCAGAAGTTTTCTTATCCTTTTTGTGAGTCCTGAGATTGCAGACGATTACAGCTACAGACAACATTTGTTTTGTGTTGCTATGCAGACCTACTGTCATCTTTATTCTAATCCACCTGTCTGTACAGACATTCAAAGACTTTCTCTTGGTATACTAACAAATTCTCTGATACTGTCCAACTGCTTACCTAATGAATAAGATGAATACTTTGTCTTCTGCTAAGAACCACAAACTGTAATTACCTGCAGGGTAAAAGTTAAGACAAATTCTCTGGTTGTCATGCTTGCAAACAATGCTTTATTCTTTAGCATGGTGTATAAGCCTGGCTCCAACCTTCTATTAGAAATTCCTCTCACTCACCTTACTGGCAATAGTGCAGAACAAGTCTTCATTCCTCAGTCCAGCCTATGCAGCTCTCTTACAAACCTCCATGACTTGGGTGCTGGCTTTTTAGTACCATAGGGCACACTCTCTGGACCCTTCTAATATCAGGCAAAATACCACTGAACTTCCGGAGGCCAGGGACTGCTATACCTTACTGTTTTGTATTTGATATTTTGCTTTAACACAGCCAGTGTTTTGGTATTTAGCAAGAGCCTTGCATTAGATTCTTGGTGTCATAAGTAAGATCTGAGGAACAGCCACATCAGTTTCTCCTGGGAGCTTGTTAGAAATTCAGGATCTTGGCTGCCAACTAAAACCCATGGAATCAGAATCTGCTTTTCAGCAAGATCTCCTATGAACAGTGTATGCATATTAACATTTGAGAGTCACTGGGCCAGATGACTTCTCAGGACTTCTCCTCCTTGACATGCCACGGCTCCATAGACTGCCTGGATGATGGCCATGAGTAACTGTAAATATGTTTGAATATTCAATATCTTACATTCACATGGATCACAGGGACCAGGACCCTGAAGAACTTAAATGGGAGTTTTTACTGACTTTACCAGGGGATGGGACCACAAAAGGACTGAAGAGACAGGTGACAACAAACTTGTTGACCAGCTCTAAGGCAGGGAGGGTGCTGGAGGGCAGCTCTTTGGAGGAGGTAAGGAATCAGGGAAGCTCGACTTACAGGTGCTCAAACCATATAAAGGCAACTGATCTACAGCCACAAAAACTTGGGAAAAATGAGTTGCCCCATTTGTTGTCACAGGATGCATTTGGCCTCCAATTAGTTTTCCTGTATATGACTTCTCCCCTTCTCTGCCTTCTTCCCACTGTTTCCCTAGAGTTGCTTTTTGTGTGTAAGAAGCCCACAGGGGAGGGACTCTGCCATTCAGGAAGAAATGCCCAGTTCCTGGTTTCTGGCCGAGTCCTGTAGGCATCCTTCTGTGGATTTTGGAGGATTGCCCACCTGATGTCCACTGCAGGGAGGGATCTAGTTTCCTGTGAGACTATTTACATAGGAGAGCTGACCTACCAGACTTCTGGAAAGCATCATCAGGGGCATGGCCTTACTGTTGAAATAGAGATGACAAGTTCAAGTAGGCATTCCATTTCTGGGAAACTTGCTAGCTGCAGGCTACAGAGGATTTGCTAAGAAGTTAATTAAAATATACATCGTGGGTATCCTACAGGTGGCGCCTGGGTTGTGATTAGTGAGTGATTGCGAGGCAGTCAGGCAAGGTTGCTTGCTGCATTATTTTAATCGAGGTTCTTCAGCTGGGAGTGGGGAACAGGGTTGTCATTAGGAGACTAAGGGAAATGGACTTGCAGAGGCTTGGTAATGGGGGCAGTAGCTCAGATCTTATGACACATTGTCATCATAATGTAAATCTGCAAATAATACTTGTCTAGTTGGTGGCTGACTTAATTGGTAGCAGTAATTGTCATAGCAATATATTTCCAAGATTCCTTGTATTTATGTTGCAGTTGGGATTAGGTCCCCTTCTTGCAGTCTGGTTTTAATGAAAAAACTGAGAGCTAAGATCTTAGGTTCCCCAGGATTTCTCAAGTGAGTTCCTACTACAGAGTGGGATGTGGTATATTTGAGACAGATGTATTTCCTCCTGAGTTGTGTGGTCACTCACTCTAATAGGATTGATCCAGAGGGAAATTCAAGGGACTGGTTTTATATGTTATGTTTTTTGTGTGTTTCATTTTCTATTAGATAGCAGATTTAATTTTCCGAAAGTTTTTAGCGAGATCATTTGCCAATATTTGCCTTTGGCTCAATCATGATCAACTAAAATGTGGCCTAGGTGCCTTCCTTCCTCAAGGCTGTTGGTTGTGAGAGTCCTATCAGTAGAACCAAGAAACTGGACCAGCCCCTTTCCTGGTTTGAGTAAAGACTTCAATTAGAGTTATAAGTGGAATTTGGCTGTGGTCCTTGGCTATTGGGATGGTGAAATAGGAAGGTGAGGGGCCGAATCTCTGGAATCTAAGAAAATCTTTAGCAGCCTAAGGGTTCTAGGTCTCTTGCCTGTGCTTCAGAGGAGAGGGAAGGATGTTAGGTGAGGTGGAGAGTGATTCTCTCCCACTCTGTGAAAGCATCTTCCTAGTGGAGCCTTGACCACAAGGGACTCTTCGGCCCTTTTCCAGCATAATGTAGGCAGAAAGGAATTTTCCTTATGACAAGTAGGGACAGGACCTGCCCTCAAGAAATCTATGCAGGCTGTTCTTGTGTGAGTTTGTCATATATGCACCTCAAAAGTGCCATTTATCCAGTCTTAGATGGATACTCTGGAACTGTTGGCCCCGAGGAATGTGTCATGAAATGTTTTTCTGGTGCTGGGAAGCATTTTTCTGGACCCCTTCCCTCCATAATGAGAGACAAGCATCTGGGAGAGGGTTTGCAGAGTGGTGGCATCTGTGTCATGCCATCTGACCCGTGTGGGCTTAAAGTGTGATCTCTTGGCTGTTGTACTCTGACCACTGAGTGGCTGGTGGAGGTGCCAGCAGCAGGAGTAGCAAACAGTTTGTCAGCTGTTCCCGGGCAAGTTTTATCAGCATCACACTGAACAGAGTGTCCCCTATCGTTTGACCTTTCCCCAGATTATTCTGTAACTTCATATTTGATTCTTGGATGGTCTAGATTATTCTCATCAATACTTCGCTTACAGACTATTTAGACTTGTTGTAGAGCCTCTCAGAATGAATTGTACCTGAAAGTCCAAATTCTCTTTGGTCAAGGAGTATTTATTGAGCACCTACTATGGGCCAACCATTGACAAATGTATATGATACAGAGCTGAATAGAGGAGTCCCTGCCCTCAGGGAGTTAATACTGACAAGTAATGTGTCACAAGACAGGCATGACCATCACTGAGTCTCCATAGCCCCTGAATGTTTAAAAACATTTCCACATCTATTGTCTCATTTGTTGGTTCAGTAGATTAGTCGGAGAAGGCCTTGTTTTTGTCATCTCCATTTTATTGATGAGAAAAATAAAAGCTTAGGTTAAATGATTTGCCCAGAGAGGAGAGTGGCAGACCTGAGACAACACCATGTCATCTCCCAATAGCATGTCCTAGTTTACTTGATGTTGGTTTCTGTAACAGTTTACCAGTGATTAGCTTTAAACTGTCATGTCTTTAAAATGTAAATATTGTGGTCAGTGGATACCTTGAAAACTAAATGAAATTACACTAATTCCCTGAAAATAAGTGAAATAAATTGTTTTGTTTGAATAATTGTACGTCACTTTGACATAAAGTTGTTGGAAAAGCAGAGCAATATTTTAATTCATTTAAAAAGCATTTAAGGGAGTTATGTAATGATGTAGTCTAGAGAATAGAGCATGAGCTTTGGAGTCCAGCAGACTCGGAGTCACATCCTGTCCTTACTAGTTCTGTCACCTCGGTCAAGGTACTTAACTTATCTAAGCCTTAGTTTCTCTACCTGTTAATGGGCTAATGATGCCTACCTGCTGGGGTGAAGGTGAGAATTTAATCTTTCTGTATAAATTAAGGTTCATGTTCTGTTTGTTACTGGACATTCAGGCATTAAAGGTGTGTGTGTGTATGTGTGTCTTTTGACTAAACTGACACAATATGAATTACATAGCTATTGGAAGTTCATATGGGGTAGAACAAGGTGTAGTCACCCTCCAGGGATACTGACACCAACGTCCAAAGTGTGCTGGAGGTGAATCAGGATTGAGAGAGACCTCACCTCCGTATTGAAATCCCACGGACAGACTGCAAGCTGAGGAGTCAAAGTTGAGCCAGCAATTAACCCATTTATGCCTGAGGTTGCAATTTTTTGAATATTTGCAATCAGACCTCGGCGATGACATTGAGCAGTAGGATATAAGTAACTCCCACATGCTTCGTGTTCCAGTAATGGAACACTAGCCATAAATAGTTGCCAGGGAAGACATGGAGCTGCAGCTATTGATATGTAATGAAGCTGCTGCTTACATGGGCAACTCTATGGAGCTTATTCCAGGAGGCACAACACCAGGGATTTTAGTTACTAAGGATTAATGCAAATATGATGGTGCTTGGCACCCCCCATTTCTGTTTGGAGCCCGTTACATCCTGCACCCCTTGCTGTCTTGCACTTTCCATCTACAGTCTGCCTCTAGAAACCTGGCAGCTGTCTACCTGGGTTCAGCTTCAGAGCCTGCAGGTAAACTTTGTTCCCCATCCAGCCTCTGCTTCCCTTTAGGCTCAGCTGACCTCTCCCTGATAGCTCCCCTCCAGGAGAGCATTCCCACCTTATTCCTTTATTTTCCTGGATACACTCATGTGGGACTTTTCCTCTAGGAAGGCACTTGTCAGATCTCTGCTTCAGGGGAGGCTGTGACTCCATCCATCTATCCATTCACTGATCGAACAAATATTTGTTGAGTGCCTGTTATGTGTCAGCAACTGTGCTTTGTGCTGGGGATATAGTAGTGAACAAAACAGGCAAAAGCACATACGCTCACATAGCTTACTCTCCAGCTGGTAAGACAGATAATTAACAAACCTAATAAATAAGCGAATGATATGGTGTGTTAGGATGTGTGATAAATGCTATGGCAAAAATAGAGCAGGATGAGGAGGGGGACTTGGAGTTCTGGGGGAAGGGTTGCAGTATACAGTTAATATCACTTTACAAACACTGAATTAATGACCACTGGGCCATTGCTTCTAGGGGAAATACAGGGTTAGGTTCCTGCTAGCCTCTGGTTACAAACTTCTCATCAACTGATAATACATAACTTTGTTTTTTTGAATGTTTCTGCTTAAAGATGCCTTCTTTACCATATGTAGTCAATTCATTCACATTGAACTCATGGCCAACAGCACCATAACTTGTGCTTGAATAAAGCTTTTCTAACACTTGTGTTTTCTCCATAAGGCTCATCACAGCCTTCCAGTACTTAGCAACGCTAGACAGCACTTCATTACTGTGCTTGGGGGTCACTTTTAACAATGAAATCGCCAAAAACACAAAAATGTGAAAAACAAGGCACTAAATAGGTGGTAGAAAGGATACTCCTAGTATGAGAGCTAAAGCATGGAGGTGGCATGGGCCTTGTCGGATCTCACCCAGCTGAGGTCCTCAGCAGCACTTCAGACTTCATTGGGTGATGTACATATTTTGCTGCACAGAACTTGTCTGTGAATGGCCACAAAAGTGCCTCAAGTATTGATTTTAAGGTTACAAATAAATTTTAGTGAGGTGAATTTGCAAATACACAATTTGTGAATAATGAGGATTGAGTGTCAATGAATGATCAGCATAGGCTTCATTGAGAAGGTGATATCTGATGAAGACTTGGAGGAGATTATGGGAGTCATGTGGGTATTTGGAGAAGTGTCCCAGGAAGAAGGTGCAGCCAGTGCCAGAAGTGTGCCCAAAGTGCTCAAGGAATAGCAAGAAGGCCAGTGTGGCTGTCATGGAATATGGAGTGAGCAGGAGAGTGGCAGGAGACGAGGGTGGGGGAGTGGACTTTGTAAGCGATAGTTCATTCTTTGGTTTGTATCTGAGTTAGATGGGGAGATGTGGAAGGGTTTTGAGCTAAGAAGTTTTACAGCACTGTACTGTGTTGAGGCAGAAGCAGTAAACCAGTTAAGAGAGTGCCGGCAGTAATCTATAGCCAAGCCTAGATGTCATCATCTGCTCACCACTAAAAAGAACTCTTCTGTACCTCCTGGTCCCCAAATCATTCCCAGATCACACATAGAGCACAGTTTTTAGAACTCAGCCACCTTTCTGGAACATCTCAAGGAGAGTTAAACTGTGGGATTACAGTACCTGCTGCTGCTGGTGCCTATCTGAAAATGTGCTGCCACTTGAAACTGAACTAATTGAAGCTTTAGTTTCTCTAACGCAATTTTGTACTTTGCATTATTAGCCTTACACGTTCAAATTATTTTAAACACAGGGTGCCAGTAATTAGATAGAAGAATACTCCCTTCATTGTTTGTCTGGATAAAAGGTACGTATGCTTCCTTGCTAAGTTTCAGCTTTCTTTTTTACAACCGTGATCCCAGCCCTTGAAAGCCACATCTCATTCACCTTTACTGGGAAGGGGAATGTGGTTAAATAGATTGCCTGCATGAAGATATTTGTATCGAAGTAGAGAGTGGAAATAATTCACGTCACGTTGCTGTACTGCTATAATGAATACAGAATATACTTTAGGTAATGCATTATTAAAGGCATGCACAGCAGAGCTTCCGTGTATACAGTTTGAGTGTGAGCTTATTAGCATTTCAGGTTGATACCTCTTTAAGATTTAATTAGATTCCAGGCTTCAATCAATTTATTAAATGAATTTCTTGCTGCTTAAAAGGTGTAATGTGTTCATGACAGTAGCTTTTCATCACTCTCTTCTCATTTCCTCATGCACTCAAGCAAATCTCAGCTTCTGTCTTGGATTCAAAGCCAGAGATTATTTTCCAAAGATACTATGCTGTATAAACATAGCCTCTTTTGTGCTTGGGGATATTGGGGCTTTGGGGAGAGTTATTTTTTATCCACACTGTCTGACATGAATGCACTTCTTGTAGATTTACCACCAGTAAATGTAACTAATGCATAATAATAGCACTATCTTCTGTTTCAATGGCCCTTTGTCACTGTGACTCTTTCTACTATTCTTTTGGCACAAAATTCACAAACTTTTATTTCTGTTGCCATGGGGAGAGTGTTGGGACTATTCAAATAGTGGGAAATTAAATACATCAAATCATAGTAGTGATTTGCAAGACAAGCTAGAGAGCTAGACCATAAAGTGCGTAATTTCATGATGTGTTCTGCATTTGTTTAGAAGAGTAGAGAGAACACTTCTCTGAGCCCAGCAAGCGTCCTAACCTTGCCTCTGTCATTAACTGCATGAAAACCCTTAAGTCAGCCGCTGGCTATGATTGCCTCATCTTTGAAGTGGGGCCCTTGGTATCTTGTCATTGGAAGGCAGGGGAGAGGTCTGATCTAGTTCCAGCAGTTTCTTCCAGCTTTAGGTTCTGTGTATTTGTGGGGTAAGGGAGGGTGATGTGAAAATAGATTAGTTTCCATTTATGTCTAATAGCTATCATCTAAATAAAGCCTAAAATGCAAAGTGGAAGAAGTGATATAATTTATTTGATGTAGTTTTAATTTGTGAATGAACTAGGGCCTCAGATTAAAGTCAGTTGTGTCCAGCTCAGCTAAGGAAGTTATTTTTATTATATGGACTGTTTATCTCCTCATGGGTTACATTTTTGAAAGTTCAGTTGGAAAGGAGATTAAAGACCCATCAACCAAGGTAGAATAATATAAGTATAAATACATTTCTGTACTATAAATCTTTCTATAAGGATAAATCGATTTTTGCCACAGAGCAAAAGCTGTGGTCAAAATGCTGTGAATTCACAATTCAGGGAAAAAAATACTAGTTAAGAAGCAGAGCCCAGAGGCAAAATGGGATTGTGACTGATTGACCGGCTCAACTTCAAGGACAATGCTGGTTTTATTTTTGCAAGCCTCAACATGGGCTAGGTTATGTAAGAGGCCTGTGAAATCTTAAAAACTGATTTTCCACCTGCAGATTATTCATGTAAGGAATGCTAAACCCTATTATTAACCCCAAGCCTGATTTCTCACAGAGAATAGAATGGAAAAATGCCTGACTGACATGTAGGTGGAGTTCTAGGATCTTCTTTAATCTGGAAAATGTCCGTAGCCTTTTTTTGTCTTTTATGACATTACAGAGTATAGTTCTCCCTTATTTA
This sequence comes from Homo sapiens, assembly GCF_000001405.40. Classification (NCBI taxonomy): domain Eukaryota; kingdom Metazoa; phylum Chordata; class Mammalia; order Primates; family Hominidae; genus Homo; species Homo sapiens. The sequence continues at coordinate 264,031 of NW_011332687.1, forward strand.
ATAGAACACTCATAATTTTGAAGTATCCTAATGATGAGATTGATATTATGCATTCTGGGCAGGAATACTACATAAGAAGTGTTATATCCTTGTCAGGGTATGTCATCTGGAGGGACACCATGTCCAACTCTGCCCATTAGAGATGTTAATTTTCATCATCCTGAAGAATGAATTTTGTCTGATTTATCCGCTGTTACCATAGCTACTTTTTTTTTTTTTTGGCCTTGCAGCTAATAAGCAATATATGGAAGACACTTGAAGACCATGCAAATACTCTGCTCTTTGTCAAAATGTCCCCCTAGACTTAGTGTTATGGATTATTTTTGCCTGAGCCAGTTTTACCCTGATGGTTGCAGAATGATTTTCTGACTTTGGCACTTACCAGTGGCACTAGGCATTCTTTTGAAAACATGAGCTCCTTCCCCCAATTTGTTTCTATATTTATTTTCTATATGGATGCACCACTTCCTGTGTTTCAGCAGTTTACAATTCATTACTTAGTTATGTATTTATTTTTTGGTGCTCACATTGTCTCAGTCTTAGCCAATGGGAGCCCCATCAACCTGCTTCTCTGTCCTTGGACATGCCCAAATGGGATTTGAGAAGGATACCTTATATTAATAAACTCTGCCCTGCCAATCACCTTTTTTCCCTCTGTGGTCCCTAAAGTATCCATACATAAATTTGGGGTCATTGCTGGCTATGTGCAGAGTAAGATGAGGTATGGGCTAGAGGTTCATGGGGTCTCTTTGCTCCTCACTGAGCCCAAACTTGAACCTCAGTGTCTTGCCTCGTGTTGAGCGGCTACCAGAAGAACAAGAGAGAGAAGACAGTACATGAGAATATGAATGAGGAAAGAGAAAGAACAGAGCTCAGGCCTCCCCTTCCCCCATGCAGGAGTGGGCTCAAGACCTAGATGGGAGTGAGAATAAGAACACATCTATATACCTGACTTTTTAACATGCCAGCTCCTCCTCCTAGGGTATGCAGCACACAGTGCTACAGTCTGATCACTCTGAGGCAAGTCCTCCTCTCTGTAGACTCAGGGTCAGCCGCAATAGACTTCTTCACTAGTCAGCCCTGGTCAAAGCTATAGCCTTCTTTCTTGTTCTTCATATTTGCTTAAGAACAGGACCCATTTCATCTCTTCCTTGGGTGCTTCCAGCAGAACTGACACACGGACCTCTCCCACCAGCGACTCCTCAGGTCCGGGGGCTGCTTGGATCATGAGGTCTCTATATCAGTCAATTTTCACACCACTGATAAAGACCTACCTGAGACTGGGTAAATTATAAAGAAAAAGAGGTTTAAGATGTACAGTTCCACGTGGCTGGGGAGGCCTCACAATCATGGTGGAAGGTAAGGAGGAGCAAGTCACATCTTAAATGGATGGCAGCAGACAAAGAGAGAATGAGAACCAAGCAAAACAGCCTCCCCTTATCAAACTGTCAGATCTCGTGAGACTCAGTCACCACCATAAGAACAGTATGGGGGAAACTGCCCTCATGATTCAATTTTCTCCCACCGGGTCCCTCCCACAATACATGGAAATTATGGGAGTACTGAGATTTGGGTGGAGACACAGCTAAACCATGTCAGTCTCAGACTGTATGCCCTGTGTTGTCTTGTGTTTCCAAAGGGCGTCTGATAGGTTGTAATATTGGGCCTCAATTTCCTTTAAGCTAAGAGAAGGAATAAGATTAGGATCTGTAAGATCGTCTTCAACTTCAAAACTCTCTAATTCTGAAAATTGAGGCAGGAATTATACGTGCTTGAATTAGTATTCTCACATATTTGCCCTTACTCATCATCCTAAAATTCTGCTATTGTGTGTAGCAAAATGGGCACTTTTCATGGGTTTTCTTCTTTAATAACTTCTTACTACTCCCCTAAATGATCCCTTTTGATAGAAGTGTAATCAGGATGTTAATTAATATATTTGCTAGCTATAACATAAGGACATAAAAACAAAGTATTCTCACAAAAAGGAAATGAATTTGTGTAACAGCCTAGTAAAGGGCATATTTTTGAATTCCTCCTAAGACTACATTAAGCGAATGCTTACCCATAATGAAGCCACTCCAATCAGCTTCTCATTTCTTCTTCATTCATTCTGAAGGATTGTTCTTGAGCTGCTGAAAGTGCTATTCACATTATTAATAATTAGAGCTTTTGTCTAGATGCTGGGTCCCCTTTTCAAGTATTCTGACCATCTGCAGCTCTGTGTACTTACCTGCTAGCCACAGGTAGAACTGATCAAGCATGTGTTCTTTTGAGTGGACAGAGTCCACACCCAGACCTTCAGTGTGGGGGAAGCACAGTGTTTCCTATACGTCAGGCTAACTTCTAAGGTGGTTTATTAATAAGGGACTTGCCCCCAGTATTGACAGTTCATGTCCAATAGTACCTTTTCTATAGTTTGTATACTTACAAAGTCAGGGGCTTCTAAAAACTCAAGAATCAAGAGCATTCATCTCAGGAATCACTGTCATCTAAAATCAAGCCTCTTGATTATCTTCCTATTGGCTTGAGCAATGGGCAGGTAAGTGTCCTCTCCCCTCCATCATTAAATCCTGCACAGGCTGCCAGCCTAAAGGAAAGCTTGATTTGCTGATTATACTGTGGCTTTGAAAGCTGCTTCTGCTCTCTGAAGAATGTGAAAAGGAGGGATAATGAAGTCCCCAGTCACTCTCAACTTAGAGCCATATAATTATTTTAAATTGTTTTCATTGTCTGTTCTTCATACCTGTGATGTGGTTTTTCAGATTTCACTCCTAAGATGTCCAGATCTTGATGCAGAGGCATAGGCAGTAGGAGAGGACGGGCAGGAATGAGTGTTGCCAGGCCATGCATCTGTGTGGCTGTGCAAAGAGCTTAGGATTAGCTCAGACAGCAGAGCAGTAGATATGTGGACAGAGTGAGGAGCTCAGGAGCAAAGGTGAGGACAAAGGAGTTGCAGAACCATGAGGATGTGGTTTAAGGGAGGCCATTCTCAGAATAAGTCAATACTCAAAAATAATGAAAAGTAAGAGGTTTTTTTTTAGCTATGGAAGAGCATAAACATGGTCTCCTGCAGAGCCCCACAATACCTACTTGAGCTTCTCCGTGGACTTCACAGAGAATGGTCTTCAGAGGTATCCAGTTGAAAGACTAGGGTTATTAGTATTCTGAAGGGAAGTTCACAGTGGTTGCTACAGAGTCCCATTCTCTTCCAAATTTGTTTTGACAGCCAGGAAGCATGTGCATGTTTTAATATGTGTTTCTCGTATGACACTGAGAGGTATGGATAATGAATGGCTTGGAAGAATGATCCAGAGATGCTGGTGAAGGGGTTCAGAAGATGTTGCTCCAAAATATGCCACTTTGGCATATTATTTTGAGCTAAAAGAAACTGAGAACCAGCCAACATAGGAAATGTTCTTTTACCTTTCCCTCAGCTGCCTAAAATAAAGTATAAATTTTCCCTTTTATAAAGGAAATTTACATTTATGAAGGAAGTGCTCATTAATGTTCATTAGTAAAGGCATCTGTAGCAGGAAGAAAGCTACCAAGAGACAGCTTTTATCACCTAAGGGACTTTAATCTGCATACCAAGGCAACCTTTATTCACCATCCATTTCCTCTTCTCACCTACCCATAATTTGCCTTCACCATCCCTCAGAAGCCCCAAACCCCTATTCTTCTCTGTAGCTCAGATGATACATTAGTTTCAATCATCTGGCTGCTTCCTCGTGGGATTCCCATGCATCTGTATGTAATTAAAATTATTTTTCCTCTGTTAATCTGTCTTATGTCAATTTGTAGACCAAAGATCCTGAAGGGTGGAAGGAAGCAATTTTTTTCCCCTCTACACTGGAGAATTTGATGCACAGCACAGCAATTTATAACACAGAAGGAAAATCTATAAAGGTCACCTGGCTCTTCTTTCCCCTGCATATCTGCATCACAGATTCCCTCATCTCCTTCAAGTCTTGACTCACATATCACCTTCAAAGTGAGGCTTACCTGGACCATTCTGTTTAAAACTTCAACTGACATCCCCACTCACCCCCTCACTCTCCACTTTTTCTTTTTACTTTTTGCTGTAGCACTTGGCCATTCCCTAACACATGATATGCTCTAGTTATTTATTATACACATAATGGGGGTGAATTGTTGATTGTCTGCCTTTCCCTGTTGGAACAGAAGTTCCATGAGAATGAAGATGTTTTCCCGTTTTATTCACTGATGTACACCAACAGCCCAAACAATGCCTAGCACCCAGTAGCTGTTCAATGATTATTCATTCGATGAATGAATGAATGAAATAAGAGGTAAAACATGGCCAGGCATGGTGGCTAATGCCTATAATCCTAGCACTTTGGGAGGCTGAGGTGGGAGGATCGCTTGAGCCCGGAAGTTTGAGACCAGCCTGGGCAATACAGTGAGACCTTGTCTCTACAGAAAATTTAAAAATGAGTAGAGCTTGGTGGTACACACCTGTAGTCCTAGCTACTCAGGAGGCTGAGGTGGGAGGATCATTTGAGCCCCTGAGGCAGAGATCGCAGTGAGCCAACTGTGGCACTGCACTCCAGCCTGGACAACAGAGTGAGACCTTGTTTCACAAAAAGAAAAATAAGGTAAAACATTCACAGACATAGCAAAGAAGCCAAAATGGGGACCTGGAGGGAACTCATTCTCCGGTTTGGCTTAAGTGAGAAAGGAACTTTCCATACTAAAAAGTGGATAACAGAAGCAATGCTTTGCTGAATGGTTCATGACAAATTCTGTTAATTGAAAAGTCTTAAGTAACGTTCTTTCTACCTGTATGTGTTCATTCAAGATTCCAGCTCATTGACACAAAGTCATTATTTTGATATCATTCATTTAGGGTACAACTTTATTTAAATGCAGTGCAAGTTATTTCTTTAAAATGTGCTGATTTGTAAAATATTGTGTTGTTAGTAAATAGTTCTCTGCTGTCCCTAAACAGCTAGTAGCGGGCGGGGATCAGGGAGTGGGGAGATTAAACTGGAGGGAAGAGAGTTGAAGAAAGTAACTGGAGACAGGGCTAAGCTGGGATTCTTCAGGAGGAGTGACAGAAAAGTCATTCTGAGGCTGTCAGCTTAATGCCATAATTGCCTTACATAATTTAATACATAAATGCTGAATAAACACCAATTAAAGCCTTCATGAGAGAGAAGCAGGCTAATCCAAGGATCTTACTTTGGGCACCTTGACTTGTGCTCATAATTGTCCCCACGTTGTTATTATTTTTGCAGCCTCCTCCAAGTAGCTTGTCAGTTCCCCTTGACCAGGGCCTCTTTTGGTCATGTTCTCTTCCTATTCTATAGCAACTGGCATTTGGTGTTGTCCTGGTAACCATCAACTTCTATGTTTGCATTTCTTATTTGGAGCTTGAAAAGCTGAGGTTGTAGGTTAGGCTTCCTACATGCTGACCATCTGTGAATCTGGGAAAACTGCCCATGACCTTCTTAAGCAGAGCACATACCTTTGGATACATGCCTTTAGTGAAAGAGGAGCTCAGGAGAATCTGCAGATGCTCACCCTATATCACTTCCAGGTATGCATCCCCCACAGCCCACAGTCCCAGTCCTTTGTGAAGGCCATAACAACATTTATGATTATTTCAGATCAGTTGAGTGGGCTTGTCTGTAGGAGGCATAGTCCTCAACGACTTTTACATCTTAACATAGAGCAGCTATTAACTGCTGAGATATAGAAGGAAGCAAAGAATTTAGTGAGCCCATTTGAGTTAAAAAAGAAAAAAAAGTAACTGTAAAATTCCTCAATTGTTTTTAGATCTGTTAACCAGTATCATGTCCTCTGGATTAGCCCAAGTTTGGCATCTGAGCTTTGCTCCCTGATGTCTGATGAAGTGGTCTGGACTCCAGGCTCATAGGCTGCCAAGGCCTTCAAGTCATGGAGTGGGACCAAGTAATGGTGTAGAAGAGGGGAGAGAAAGAGGCTTGTTAAATCAGGGAATAACTCTGGCCTTTAACACATTCTAAAGAGAGGAAAGATATCTCTGAGCATCTCATACATTTCTGCCACCAGCATATCTTCTCTACCAGAAATAATGACCACACATGGATATGAATGGAGTGATGTCTCTACTGATTTCCTTGGTTCTCCCCATTTGAAGTTGAAATGACCTTACTTAGACTTGGTTCCTGGGAGAATTCTCTAGGGGAGAGGGACAGGAAAGCTGAAGCTCAAAAATCAAACCTAAACATTTTCTTGTTCACCCAAGAGGTGATACTGATATTCTGGCCAAATCAAACACCTTAGCAAACTTCCCAGGTTTGAAATCCCCATGTGTCCTCAGGCAAATGAGATTATTGAGATTATTAATCAAAACTAATGTTTTCACAAAGGGAACGAAAGACATACCTGCTGACCTGATGGTGGCATCACACCAGAACTTGAAATTGAAGCCTGTGGCATTTAACCTGGGTGTCATGTCTTACTTTTTGTCAAATGTAAACTCACTAATAGGAAAAGAGACTTTCACTCAAGTGAAAGTTTTCTGCTAAGAAAACCATTCCAAAGTAGAGATTTTTACTTTTCAAGTAGAAAAATGTTTCAACTATGAAATTGCAAAAACATTCTTTTACACCAGAAGACAAAAATAACACATTGTAAGGAGCATAGGAAAAAAAATCCATATGGAAAAAGTTGAAACAGCCAATATGTGTTTAAGAGTCTCCATTATGCAGCCATCTCACATAAACTGTCTGAAGACACCATTTTTGTGAGACACACACACACACATAGTGTGTGTGTGTGTGTGTGTGTCTGTGTGTCTGCTGGATTGAAAGTGGGAAGAAATGGTGGAGGGGCAGTGATTTATGTGCTGCTAAGTCCTCTGAGACCCTAGTCGGTGTGGTTCAAGCCTGATTCAAGCCTCTCAAGCTGAGCTTTGCAGGCCCATCACCATCTCTCGGAACTGGCCTCCCACCTCACTCTTGAGCCCTCTCCCTCTGTGCTGTCACAAATGCTGAGTGAAATTTTTCTAGAAGATAAATAAGTCTCTATCCAGTCATTGCTCTGCCTAACACCCGTGGCTCCCTAGTGCCTTAGGATAAACTGCAAACTCCTATGAGGAGCAAGTTCAGAGAGCTGGTGGGAAGGCAGTAGTTACGACTTTGAGCCGTGAAACTGTGCTTCCTGGGTTAGGACCTTGTTCATCTACTTACCAGCGGAGAACCCTTGGGCAAGTTATTATTTCTTTGGTTTTCAGCTTCTTCATCTGTAAAAGTGGGATAATAGTACAACCTTGACAGTGTTGTTGAGAGCATTAAATGAGTTCTAACACATACTAAACACCTAATAAAGATTCACTTATTGTGATTACTTATATTCTGCTCCCAGTTTGCTTCTGCCCCTATTCTTCAGTCACACCCAGCTACTTGCAGAGCTCTTCCCTACCGGCATTCACCTAATGGACCATATTTCTTTGTCTGTATTTAGCTTTTTTGTTTGTTTGTTTGAGATGGAGTCTCACTCTGTCGTCCAGGGTGGAGTGCAGTGGCCCGATCTCAGCTCACTGCAACCTCCACCTCCTGGGTTCAAGCAGTTCTCCTGCCTCAGCCTCCCAAGTAGCTGGGACTATAGATGCACACCACCATGCTTGGCTAATTTTTGTATTTTTAGTAGAGACAGGATTTTACCATGTTGGCCAGACTGGTCTTGAACTCCTGACCTCAGGCAATCTGCCTGCCTCGGCCTCCCAAAGTGCTGGGATTATGGGTGTGAGCCACTGCACCTGGCCCTGTCTTTAGTTCCTATAAGCTACTTTCTCTGCCTAGAAAGTAATCACACACACGTACCCACCTGCATCCTCTACATCCATCTTCTACATCCTCCCACTAACTCTTTCTTAACCTTCAAAGTTCAGCTTAGGTCAAGACTCTTTTACTCTGAACAGCCTACCAGATATCACTCTATTTTAGAGGCTCCTGTAGCTCCAGTTCATCTTTCTCTCCTACCATTTATGATACAGCACAATAATGGTCTGTTTACTTGTAGTTCTTCTCCCAGTAAACATTCCCTCACTCCCCAAGCCCCATGAAAGAGGGATTGTATCTTGATCATTTCTATATATCTCCTGCCTGTATATTGTGTGCTCATAAATGCTGCATGCATGAGTGGATGGTTAGATGGGGGGAGGCATGGATGAGTGAAGGCACTTTGAGAGATACTACCAAAGTAGAATGTGTCTAACGTGGTTGTAATGGTTAGGGGTTTGGAAACCTATTTGATTAAGAAATAGGTCAAATATTTGAGAAATACCCATGCTCTGTGAAAGAAGTCATGGGTAGGAGAGGGTTTAAAGAGCTGTCTTTGGATATATAAATGGCTAGAGTGTACACTTACTTATTCTGTATTGTTTAACATGGCAGAACCATGACCAAGACTGGGATGAAAGATACAGGCCAGTCTCAGCTCAAAATAAGGAATATAATTTTAATAAAGGGATTTCATTTTAGTAGCAACTGGCTAGGTTATAGCAAAACTCTGCACCAAAAGAAAGCTAGACTAAATGATCTCTGAATTCTACTCTGTGCATTAGTTTTTGTCTTCTTCCTGTCAGTGGATGGGTTCAGATGCCAAATGTCTTATCAGCCTTTCGGGATCTCATTTCTTAGAGGGCTACTGGGCTCCAATTCTTAAATAGTTCCCTTTTCCCTTTTCAGCCTGTGTACCCTCATTTTTCTACTAATGCCTTCAAAGTTTACAAAATATCAGCAGTTGAAAGGATCAAGTACTTTGATTCTAGTTCAGCCAACCATCTGAATATTTGTTTTCCTTTATAACACCCTACACAGTGCTAAGTTTGCAACTTTTAGTCATCCAAGCAGAGACAGTAAAAAAGCAGGGAGATCTATGGGTCTTATGGTAGTCAAGATTTTCCAGAGAAACAGAATCAATAGGTTGCACTCACATGTATGTATGTGCATGTATATATACATACATATTTATATATATTTATTCATTTTAAATAATTGGCAAATTCAAACTCTGCAGGGCAGGCTGGCAGACTGAAGAGCCAGGGAAGAGTTGATGTTCTACTTTTGAATCAAAGGTAGTCTGCAGACAGAATTACTTCCTCTTTGGGGTCCTCGGTCTTTTCTCTTAAGGCCTTCAACTGACTGAATAAGGCCCACCCACATTATGGAGGGTAATCTGCTTTATTCCAGGTCTACTGATTTAAATGTTCATCATATTTTGAAAATACCTTACCTGCAACATTTATACTGGTGTTTGACCAAACAACTGGTACCATAGACTAGACTAGTTGACACATAAAATTAATCATCCCAGGTCTGGAGTATGAGAGAGAGGTCAAAGCTAGAAATACAAATTTGGGAGTCTTGAGCATATAGGTAGCACTTAAAATGTTGAGACTGGGTGCGGAGGTTGCCAAAATGATCTAGTGACGGGAAACGTCTCAAGGCGGCCCATTTGGTTACAGTCATAATTGAGCTGAAATCCACCTGAAAACCCTGTTTTCTGGTTCATTACTTACCCATATTAAACTTACCGGTTCCTTGCATCACCACCTCAAATGGTATTCTTTCACATCCCCACCTCAGCCTGGTTGTTATCATCAGACATGTCTTTCTTTGTCAATCTGTCTTTAAAGTAGGCACTTGAAATTGAGGGTGACCTTCCAGGTGTGGTCTGATGAACACAAGACATGCTCAATTCTTTTGTTCTTCTATTGAAGCAGATAAATATTAGAATTTGGTTGGAGGGAGGTGGGTTAGAATACTGTTGATTCATTGAGCTCACTCTTGGCTTAAAGGCTAAATCTCAATCTGCTTCTGCAATATCACCTTGTCTCTATCCTACATGTGCAGTGCTTTGTAGTCCATAGTAAAGACTTGGGCTGTTCCTCTGAGTGAAGTGGGGAACAATTGTAGCATTAAGTAGAGGAGTGATGTGTCTTGGGTCTTTAAAGGATCATTCTGGCTGCTCTGTTGAGAATGGCTTTTTGGGAGCAAGGGGAACCTTTTAGGAGGCTATTGAAGTGGAAGTGGTGAGAAGTCATCAGATTCTGGATATATCTCAAAGTAGAGCTAACAGGCTCTGCTGATGGGATTGGATGTCAGCGTTACAGAGTCAAATATGACTGCAGGGTTTTTAGCCTCAGCCGCTGGTAGGATGGAGTTGCCATCAACTGAGATAGGGAAGGCTACCGGAGGAGGAGATGCAAGTGGGGAGATCAGGAGTTCAGTTTGAAATAGCTTTTTTTTTTTTTTTTTTTTTTTTTTTGAGACAGAGTTTGCTCTTTTTTCCCAGGCTGGAGTGCAATGGTGCAGTCTTGGCTCACTGCAACCTCTGCCTCCCAGGTTCAAGTGATTCTCCTGCCTCAGCCTTCTGAGTAGCTGGGATTACAGGTGTGTGCACCACCATGCCTGGCTAATTTTTTGTTTTTGGTAGAGACAGGGTTTCACCATGTTGGCCAGGCTGGTCTCAAACTCCTGACCTCAGGCTATCCGCCTGCCTCTGCTCCCAAAGTGCTGGGATTCCAGGCATGAGCCACTGTGCCCGGCGTGAAATTGCTTTTTGACATCCGAGTAGAGTTATTTAAAAAGTAAGGAGATGTATGGCTCTGGACTGCAGGAAAGAGCCCTGAGCTGGGACTCCCAATTTGGGAGTCTTTAGCATAGGTAGCACTTAAAACCCAGAGACTGGATAGTACGACTGCCAAGGGCATGAGTACACAGAGGAGAGAAGAGGACCAAGGACCAATGAGCCCTGTCTCTCCAGCAGTGAGAGGCTGGAATCAGCAAAGGCACCTGAGAAGGAGCAGCCAGTGAGTTACCAGGAAAACCAAGACAACGTGGGGTCCTAGGGACTCAGTGAAAATCAAGGAGGATATCTATGTAATAGATTATAAACTTTATATATAGTATAGAATATTTTATACATCTATAATATATAATACATGCTTAATATATATTTTCCATAAAGATTTTATATAAATTATAATATATTACAAAATTTATATAATAGATGACTTCTGGGGAAATACAGCAAAGGTGGCTTAGTGGAAAGGGCACCAGGAATCAGAAGGCCTGAGGGCTGGGCTCAGTTCTGTTGGTCTTAGTTCTTTAACTTTAGGCGTGTTAAATAGCCTTTTTCAAGCAACATTTTTGACTCATCGGGAAAGTAGAGATTTTAATCCTTTCTTTACTCTCAGTTATTGCAAGAATCAATTGAAGTAATAGATATGGATATGGTTTGTTAGCAATAAAGATCCTGTCCTCCCTCCTTCTCCCTCTTTCTCTATGTATGTATAAATGTATGTATAGAAGGAATTCCAGATATTTGTTACAACTAATGCCTATTGGACCATTCAGATTATGACCTATTGTAGGTCATAATCATTTTAGTGGGTTTCAGGCAACATTTGAAAATGGAATAAGACCAAACGTGGTGGCTCACGCCTGTAATCCCAGTGCTTTGGGTGGCCGAGGCGGGCAGATCGCCTGAGGTCAGGAGTTCAAGACCAGCCTGGCCAACATGGTGAAACTCCATCTCTGCTAAAAATACAAAAGCCAGATGGGTATGGTGGTGCATGCCTGTAATCCCAGCTACTTGGGAGTCTGAGGCAGGAGGAGAATCACTTGAACCTAGGAGGCAGAGGTTGCAGTGAACCAAGATCACACCACTGCATTCCAGCCTGGGCAACAGAGTCAAACTCTATCTCAAAAAAAAAAAAAAAAAAAAGAAAAAGAAAATGGAGTAGAAAATATCAGTATTCATGGGTTAGAAAGAGTAAAGTTTTTTTTTTTTTTGAATCTTTTTAGTTATATACTTGCGTTAGTTATCAAATTACTCCCACACTTAGTAGTTTAAAACAATAAGCATTTGTTATTTAGAGGGGTGATGTCAGCCAGGGCTGCAGTCATCTGAAGGCCTCGCTGGGCTGATCCTCTTCCAGGCCTATGCCTGTGGCTGTTGGCAGGAGGCCTCAGCGTCTCACCACATAGGCCTTTCCTTAGGGCTACTCATGACATCTTTGCTGGTTTCTACCAGAACACATGACCTAAGACAGAACAAGAGAGTGCCCCCAAGACAGAAGATGCAGTATCAGATCAAAAGTAAGAGTATCAGATCAAAAGTAATCAACTCTGATTCTCTTCTCTTCTGTTAGTCACATCTAGCGATCCTGTTACTGCATGAGAGGGACTTTACAAGAGTATAAAGGTTGGGAGGTGGGGATTGTCCAGGGCCATCATGGAGACTGGCCATCACAACTTCTATAACTGGGTTGAGTTATAAGATACATCTTTAAATGTGGGTCATGTGAGAAAGTGTTTAAGAAACACTGCTGTACAGTGTCTAATACTGTGCACCATTAGGCAGAGGTGTACATTAGCTAGCAGAAGCCCATTTAGGAAGCTCTGCTGTTGATGCTCTCTACACCCATGGTTAATTAGCTGTGACTTTAAGATCGTGAATATGAACACCAGTGACTTTTACAGTGAAGCAAGATAATGGAAGTCTTACCGGGCTATGGGGGACTGTTTGTCCTTAACTGAATTGAGCCTGTACTAATGTCCTTTCAGAATCCTTCTGTCTGATTTCTGTAGTTCTATACCTTTTACCTATCTGGTCATCTGCCAAGTATATCTGCTGGTGGTGGGTTCTCACTTCAAATCTGTGGCCATATTTTATGTACAACTGTGTGGCTTGTTTCTTACAGAATATGTTACAGGGGTTTGTGATAGCAGTTATACTTTTAGCTGATCTTTCTGCCTGTTTATTCTTCTTATGAGTGTGGTCTGAGTAATGAGCTTATGGGAAATTCTACCTGGAGATAAATGGGGTATAATTAAACTTTTATATCTTGAGAATAGGGATTATTAGAAACATAAAGGTATGCCCTACTTAAAGGAATCTTGTAGAATAATTACAGACATGATTTGTGTAATATAATTTGATATATTCCCTGGTGTGAAAACAAATCTGTTTTAGCTCTCCTAGCCAATATTTTTTGTGTTGACTAGTGTAAATGACTGAAAAATAACAAATTATTTTTGAAGTGCTAATAGATCCTAAGCAGGCTAGAAGTCTCTAGTTAAACAGTTAAAAGACCAGTAGAAAACACAACACAAAGTAAAAACATATGGCCTCGGGTTCTTAACTTGAAACTGTGGCAGTTTCAAACTGGAGTCATTTCTTGATATAAAGTGAGCCCTACTAATTAATTGGAAAGGAACTATTCTACAAGAAAGTTTCTTGGTTTGATGTTGACTGTTTGCTCTTCACACTCCTACTACTTGTCAGCCCTGCAGCCACAGGTCTTCTCTGGCTTAAGATTTTACACCTGAGGGCTTCTCTCTATCTTCCAGTCACAGTGGAGGATTGGAGGATGTGCTGTTTTCAGTGGGCTCGCAGGTCTGTAGAGGCCCATTTGTTCTCGAAGAGTTGCTGCTGCTGGAATGCTGGGCTGACTCTAATTTTTTTTTTTTTTTTTGAGACAGAGTCTGGCTCTGTTGCCCAGGCTGGAGTGCAGTGGCGCAATCTTGACTCACTGCAACCTCCACCTCCCTGGTTCAAGCAATTCTCCTGCCTCAGCCTCCAGAGTAGCTGGGACTACAGGCATGCACCATCACGCCCAGCTAATTTTTATATTTTTAGTAGAGGCTAATGTTGGCCAGGATGGTCTCGATCTCTTGACCTTGTGATCCGCCCGCCTTGGCCTCCCAAAATGCTGGGATTACAGGCATGAGCCACCGAGCCCGGCCATAATTTTTTATTTATGTATCAGTTGACCCCCTAAGCTATCAACTTCTGTGGTCAGGGACTGTCCATCCCTGTACCTGACAGCATTTGGCTCATGGGAGAAGCTCAGTAAATGTAAAGAAATTACATTTTTTATTCTCTTGCATGGATTTATGTCCAGAAGAACAAGGTTTGGGGTACAATATGCAAATGATACTACTTTTCTTAGTGTTTCTATTAAATGTAGTAAATTTTAATTTTCCTCGAAGTACGTGAAACTTAAAAATTTAAATGTTGAGACAACAGTATGATTCTTATTTCTTGAATTAAGATTGATTTTTAAAAATCTATTAAAAATCCCTGTAGCATTTTTGGTAACATTCAGTGGGAGAGGAATTTAGTTTTTATAACACAGATAGGGACCACTGGTAGCTTGAGTGAGCAGGTTGAGAACCACTCAGCTAGAGAACACTGAATGCCCCTTTATGTTCTCACCTGTGCATATCCCTGAAGACCTGGCAACATTATCAGTCAGCTTTATGAAGTGACATCTTCTCTGTCCAGAATGCTGTCTGAGCAATGGGTGGCTACTGAAGGTGTTGTAGGCCTGGCCCACTCACCCGGCTTTAGTATTAATTATAACTAGGAAAAACAAAAGCAACTGTTGGCATAGTGGATTATGAAAGGCCAGGCACTCTTTTATATGTATTGCTTCCTTGCCTTGCAGTCTGTTTTTTTTTTTCTTTTTTTTTTTTTTTGAGACGGAGTCTCGCTCTGTGGCCATGCTAGAGTCAGTGGTGCGATCTCAGCTCACTGCAACCTCCATCTCCTGGGTTCAAGTGATTCTCCTGCCTCAGCCTCCTGAGTATCTGGGATTATAGGTGCCCATGACCGTGCCTGGCTAATTTTTGTATTTTTGGTAGAGACCAGGTTTCACCATGTTGGCCAGGATGGTCTCAATCTCTTGACCTCATGATCTGCCCGCCTCAGCCTCTCAAAGTGCTGGGATTACAGGCATGAACCACCACACCCAGCCCTTGCAGTTTATTTTTATTTTTCCTTGCAGCCTCTGCTGTGCGAATCAGCCTATACCCTGCTTAGTCCTGAGAAGACCATCTGTATCACACTGCCTTGAACCTCAAGCCTCAAGCTGTGACAGAGCCCTGCAGAACTCCATCCTCATCCATGTCCCTCTGGTCTCTGCTTCCCATTCCCCACACCTGCCTATGCTGCATTGTGACATTGACAGTTCACAAATTGTGGCTCCTTAATTTTTTTCTTCTGGACTTCAGTAAAAATAATTTGATGGAAAGCTATGGAAGTGGCCGGGTGTCATGGCTCACGCCTGTAATCCCAACACTTTGGGAGGCCAAAGTGGGCAGATCACTTGAGGCCAGGAATTCAAGACCAGCCTGGCCAACATGGTGAAACCCCATCTCTACTAAAAATACAAAAAAATTAGCTGGGCATGGTGATGCATGCCTTTAGTTAGTCCCAGCTACTCGGGAGGCTGAAGCATGAGAATCCTTGGAACCCAGGAGTTGGGGGTTGCAGTGGGCTGGGATTGTGCCACTGCACTCCAACCTGGGTGACAAAGAGAGACTTTCTCTCTCAAAAAAAAAAAAAATTATGGAAGGGAAAATAGCCATATTCACTTAGATTAGCTCAGCCACTTAAGTGAAAGAGATGCCCAAGGAGACACTTAGACATTTTGCTGGTAATTAGTAAGCCTAGGAGAGGCGGCTGCAAAGAGTAGGAGAGCTTGTTGTTTTAAAACCCTGAAACTCTACTTATATCTTAGTCAAGTAGGGAATAAATAATCAAATGGGAATTCTTAAAGCTCCAATATATCATGAGCATGAGAATAAAACTGAGAAAGGAAAGGACACAAATTAGAATGAGAATGATAATAAAGTCAAATACATTTTCAAAATTTGTAAGTATCATTTTTAGATATAATGACTGTTGTCTTTTGAGTCCTGGTTATGGCAAAAAGTCTTTTGTTTCAATATAAAAGGAGGGAAAGCCTGTGTACCTCATTCCAGTTAAGCAACTTTTCAAAGCAGTTGGGTTTGGGTTACCAACAGGGGCAAGGCCAAATGTTCAACTATTCTGAGAGGTGAAACTAGATCCTTGAAGGGATCATGTGATGTCTACTTTTCAAACCATAACGAACAGATTCATCAAACACATGTCATGAATAATCACTTGTTGTGATGATGTATTCACAAACTGCTGAAGGGTAGAATGAGGTTTTAATAAGATGACCGATTATAAAAATATACATGCAGGAAGATGCTCAGCTTTTAAGATTGTATTAATAATAGCCTTATATTAGTTTTGTGTTGAATTCTTGTGACCTGCTGGCACCTTTTTGGTAAGTATTGACTCATTTAATTACCCAGCTCCCAGAAGTCAACCCTTAGAAGCCTAACCTAATTTCTTTTGTTTCCTGAAGCTCTGGGTATCTTGGGTGCAGTTTACTCTATAAGCAGATGCTGAATCCGCTGTCTGTACGTAATTTTTGGGGCATCATGGAGAGGAGGTGTAAGTCATATATCCTTGTTCTCTGTTTGGAGATACTCAGTAGTGTGGTTGTCAAGGGCAACCTGGGCAGAAAGATCAGCAGGGCTCTGTGGTTCCATTAGGGATGTAGACTTCTCTCCTCTTAATCTTGCTGCTTTTGGTTGCCTTCTGGGCATCATTACTGAAGTGCTACTTGGAAGAAAGAAGAGAACATTTGTCAGCATCTCCTGTGGCCCTGGAGCCAGCTCCCCTTATCAGTCACCAACTCAAGTGATGTTCTGTGGGGACTGTTGCCAGTTGGCTTCCACAGTGAGGATCCTAAACACTATGGAATTGACATATTACCTGGGAAGTACCTCCCACACCAGGCTGTCCAACTTCTTTTTCTGCAAAGCCCAGCTAGAGCATCAGCTCCTCTGGGAAGCCCTTCCTGCGCGCCTCTCCTGCCCTCCCCCATGCTGGTAAAATGTAAACACCAGCTCAAGACCTCTCACAGCACCTCATGCTTATCTCTTCTTTGGCATTTGTCCCTTTGTTCTGGATTCATTGCATCACTTATGTTTCCTCCACCAGACTGAATGCTGGAGGACCACACTCTGCTTTGTTCAGTTTTATTTTTCTAGCCTCTAATGCCATGCCTGGCACATAGTAGGCACTTTAAATATTCATTAAATGGATTTCTTTGCCATTCTTATTTTGGCCCATAGACTCTGTTGCCCCAACCTCTGCCCTTTGCAGATGCTTGAAATCTCCTGGCACATCTGTTTCTGTCCTATCTCCTCCCCGTTCTCCCTTTTGCCGCAGCAGCTTTGCCCTGCTTCATCGGTTGCATTGGAGTTTGGGCAGGAAAATAGAAACCACTCAAGATATTTTGGGTGGCAAGGATTAACTACAGGGAAGTGGAGGCACACAAAACTCATAGAGGGGTGGTGGAGTGGAGGGTTGGAAGGCTGTTGGAAGCTGCTGCTGCTGATCTTGGCTGCCTGCAGCACCAAAGTGGGGTCTCAAGAGTCCCTCACTGCAGAAGCAGCTAACAAAACCCATGTCTGCAATCTGCTGACGTCCACAGTCCTGTCCCCAGCTGCTCCTGGGGAAAAATGGCTTTTCTTTCTTTTTTCCCTTCAGTTCTTATGAGAGTGCCTCTCATTGGGAGAACTGAATCAGAAGTCAGCTGAAAAGGGAATCTGGAAAGTGCTAGTTCATAGGCATTTCACCTCTGAGGTACAGGCCAGTGCTTAGAAGGAAGGAATGTCCACACACAAAAACTGGCACATCAAGAACACTGCCTTGCTTCATCCGAGACCTTCTCCCTGAGCTGCCTACCCCCACCCTTTTTTTTTAAACAAAGCTCTGACCATCTTATTGGATGCCTTAATTTTGTTAATATGTGGGAACCCTCATCCTTAGTCCTATTCCAGCAATTAGCAACCCCTCTGCCTATATTTTAGGTCTCCTCTATTCTTCTTCTTTTTTTTTTTTTTTAAGTGGAATGTTATTATATTTTGCTTATCAGCGGTTCATTGTTTTTAAGAATTAAATCTTTCCGGCCAGGCACGGTGGCTCACGCCTGTAATCCCAGCAGTTTGGGAGGCCGAGGTGGGTGGATCACGAGGTCAGGAGATAGAGACCATCCTGGCTAACACAGTAAAACCCCATTTCTACTAAAAATACAAAAAATTAGCCGGGAGTGGTGGTGGGCGCCTGTAGTCCCAGCTACTTGGGAGGCTGAGGCAGGAGAATGGCATGAACCCGGGAGGCAGAGCTTGCAGTGAGGTGAGATTGCATCACTGCCCTCCAGCCTGGGCAAAAGAGCAAGACTCAGTCTCAAAAAAAAAAAAAAAAAAATCTTTCCTAGTCCAGAAATTATAAGCATAATCTTTTGAAAAGTATATCTCATTTAATTTATAGTACATATGTCATTTGAAAATCGCTGAATTTTTAGTGAGGCAATCTGAGTTTAAGTTAAAATCAGGTCCCTTATTGGCCGCATAATTGTGGGAAAATCATTGAATCATGCATTCATGCATTTACATATTTATCAGGCTTGTACTAAGTGCTAAGAGCCAGGCTCTGTTAGGTACCATTGGCTGTTAAATGCCTGTAATATACAATCCCTATTTTCCTTATAGTTTGTTAAGAAATGTTTGTGATGATGCTTTGTAAATTTAAAGTTCTACTGAAGTACTAATTATTATTTTCTTAATAGACAACAACTTATAAATTCATGTTTAGAATTACTTTAACAGAATTTATTGTAGTTATAATAGGTCAGCAAAGTGGTATCATGGTCATATTAAGGCACAACACCTGGAGTGAATCAGCCTCAATTTTTTTTTTCTTTCTTGCTGTCTATATACTCAAGATTTAATTTAGCTTATACTGTGTACTCAATATACTGTCTATATACTGAAGATATTTTTTTTTTTTTGAGACGGTCTCCCTCTGTCACCCAGGCTGGAGTGCAGTGGCACAATCCTGGCCCACTGCAACCTCCTGGGTTCAGGTGATTCTCATGCCTCAGCCTCCCGAGTAGCTAGGACTACAGGCATGTGCCATGACACCCAGCTAATTTTTGTATTTTTGGTAGAGACAGGGTTTCGCCATGTTGGCCAGGCTGGTCTCGAACTCCTGGCCTAAAGTGATTTGTCCACTTTGGCCTTCCAAAGTGCTGGGATTACAGGCATGAGCCACTATGTATTCAATATTTAATTTTACTTAGCCTGACTGCCTTGCCCATGCTCCTAGCAAGGCAGGGGTGAGGTTTAATTGTCCTACTAGAACAGGACACAGTAGGTGAGAGGTAAGTCCCCAAAGGAAGCCAGGCTTTCCCTCAGAACCAACAAGCAAACAAGCAAAACCAACAAATGCCCACATGTAACTCCTATCTACTTTTCTCTCATCTGATGACTTTGCTTTATACTCTTGAAAATTTTCTCTCCACCAAATCACTGCCATTTGCATTCATCATCTTCTAAATCTTCTGTACCTATCACCTGGTACAATGGAAGACTTTCCCCCAAATGAACAAACACCAACCTTGTTTGTTTCATCTTTGTTTGGTGACTGTGGTTCCTCTTCTCCTTCAGGACATAACTCTTCCTCATTAGAGTTATCCACACCGGGTAGTGTCCTCCTCTCCTTCTCATCCTCTCTTCACTTGGCTCTAGTCTGGCTTCCATTTCCCCCACTCAATGAAGCTACTCCTCAAAGTTGCCGGTGACCTTTCATTTGGCAAATGTGTCCAACAGACATTTTTACATGAAGAGATAAAAAGCAAGATGAATTTAGACCCTTATACACACCCCACGCAAAAAAATTAACTCAAAGTAGATCATGAACTTTAAGTGCTAAACTATGAAACTTTTAGAAGAAAACATAGAAAATTTTCAAGATCTTGGGTTAAGCAAAGATGTCTTAGATATAACACCAAAAGCATGATCCACAATAAGAAAAACATCAATCAATTGGATTTTTGAAATTCAAAACTTTTGTGCTTCAAAGACATTTTCAGAAAATGAAAAGATAAGCTATAGGTTGAGAGAAAATATTTGCAAATTACACATCCAATAAAGGACTTGTTTCCAGAATACTTACAAGGGTAGGAACTTTTCTTGTTCATTGCTGTATCCTAAGCATCTCTTGTAGCTCTATTGAGCATCTAGAAGGTACTCGATAAATATTTCCTGGATAATTATAGCATTAATATAGTTTGGAGAATACTCTGTTAGGATTCTTAATGACGTCTAAGGAGGAGAGAAAACAATCTTGAAAATTTGTAGAATGTTTTTGAAGCATTTGTACCTACTACATTTATTCCCTTTTCTGCTCTTGGTATCATTGTATCCATGCCACAGTTAAGAAAACAAGGCCATGGAGGGATTAACTTTTTGCCTGTGGTCAAATGCTGTTACGTGGTAGAGCCAGAATCCAGATCTCGAATTTCTAATTCTACATTCAGTGCATCATGATTTCCACTGCTGTTGGGGAGATGTCTTCACTCCTGAGCTGATGATGCCTGGAACTGGTGCCTTCTCACCTTTCCTTCAGCAGTGTGAAATGCCCAGATCTCAAGCTTGTGGGCCATTTTCCCAGACCCTCCTTCCTGATGATCTGATGGCAGACACACTTGTCTGATCCATAAGAGCATGTCATGTGGTAACTCAGGACTGTTTTCACCGTGTTTGTTCTGAGGAGTTTGTCCTCCCAGGGCTTGTTTTCTACTTTTCTATCAGACCTTGGTATTTCACAAAACGTGTTTGACTGCCAACTGGGATCATGCTAGTCTAAGTGTCTAAGTTTATTTTCACTTCACTTCTCACTATGTTCCCGGCGTAGCTTTTTATTCTTTTTTTTTTTTTTTTTTGAGACGGAGTCTCGCTCTGTTGCCTAGGCTGGAGTGCAGTGGTGTGATCTCAACTCCAACAACCACCTCCTGGGTTCAAGCGATTGTCCTGCCTCAGTCTCCCAAATAGCTGGGACTACAGGTGCCCACCACTACACCCGGCTAATTTTTGTATTTTTAGTAGAGACGGGGTTTCACCATGTTGGCCAGGCTGTTCTTGAACTCCTGACCTCAGGTGATACACCCGCCTCGGCCTCCCAAAGTGCTGGGATTACAGGCATGAACCACCATGCCTGGCCCAACTTTTTATTCTTGACTGTGAGCAGGTTGAGACGTAGGTTAACAGATGGAGCTGAAGATGGTATGATATGGTGCCAGTTACTATGTGATGTCATCAGGAAGCCTATTCTAAGAATTGTGCCTCAGGCATCCTTAGAAAATAAAGATGTTGCTTGAGACTGAGAGGAGGGCAGCATTGGGACACTTTGAACAAAAAGCTGGGGTCTAGGGGGCCTGGTCGATCAGCCTCAGCTCTGCTGTTTGTTGTATTTCAATTATTTCATATTCCTTATTCTCTGCTTCCGAATTAGTCAAGTGAGGAGGAGGTTAGGGCAGATACACTTTCAGGTCTTGTCTGCTCTCCAAAATTGGGTTAGGTAGGCCAGCTGAACTAATCAGGGCTTCTTGAGTCTAGGTATAAACTTTATCACCCTAGCGATGTGCTTTGGTTTTTGCCCCCAGCTGTGCAAATTAGTTCTCAAACTTCCCAGACAGGAATGTAAAGGCTGAACTCAGGCAGCCTATTAATAGGCTAAACAAGCGTAGTGATAAAAGACTGAAGTTTGCAAATGGGAGAGGTGGAGGCAAGGATTGACAGCTAAATTTTGGTACATTGTCTACATGCTGCCCTGCCTGTGTCATGCTAAGTGGCCATGACAACAGTGGTTCTAAAACATACCTCAGTTGTATGGTATTTGCCACTCCTGGCCATAGTCTGTTGCTGTTTTTATCCCTAGCTTCCACCCAGCCGAGATTAGTCTGGGAGGAAGGACAGTACCCCAAAGGGCAGGCAGCCTGTTAGAGCAGAACAAGTCCTGGAACTGGCCATGGGTTCTGGTCTGAGTTCTGCCATGGACACGGTGTGTGGGCCCCACCCCTCCTCCGTCAAAGAAGCAGTTCTAAGCTAGGTGATATACAAACCTCTGTGCTCTGTGAGTAAGCATATGGGCAGCACCACTTTGTCAGGCCCAACAAGCCTAATTTTGATGCACTGTGAGGCTCTAATGAGTACAGCAGTCATAATCATCATAAATAAACTGCCAGGGCTGCCCTGGATGTGTTAGCCCGGGCACAGTCTACTAATTTGCTAATGGTAATCAGACAGGAGCTGCTGCTGTGGGAGGGAGCATTCATACTTAGAGATGCTGCCTGAAAGTGCCTGAAACACGAACTTGGAAACTTGAGGCTTAAAGGAATCTTAAAGGTCATCCATTCCAGTTTTTTTATCTCAAGCTGAAATCTGCCTCCCCATGGCTGCTATCAGTTGATGTGCAGACAGCAAAACTTGCATATCATACACACAAGATTTTCTGTTTTTAATTTCTGGAAGGAGCTAAGAATAATATGTACAGGATCCGTGTTCCTTATGTCTCCTCATGAGGAAACCCTGGTTTTCTGTGGGCTGGTTAGTTGTGAGACTATTTCCTTAAAAGGTGATAAGAATGATTGTGCTATAGTTTGATCACTATCTTATTTCAGAAGAGAACCCCTATTTTTATCTGTGGGTATTTATTTTATGTACTTACATAAAATAATCAGTGTATTAAATAACTACTTTTTAGCCTCTTCTATGTGCAGTGTATGATGCTAAGTGCCAGAGCAGACAGAAGCATTGGTACCTTATTACAGGCCTATCATTCACACATTGCTTCACTCAACGACATTTATTGCTTTCCGGAAGGCTCTGGTTCTTGCCCTTATGAAGTTTTTGGTCTGTTGTGGGAGAGAATGATTGATTAGTTATCAGTCACACTGCATTGAAATTATTGTTGACTTTGCCATCCCTTTAGGCTCTATTCTCCCTGAAGCAGAGGTTATGTGCTGTGCATTACTGAATTTCCAGTATCTAGCACAGAATGGGCACATAGTAAATATTTGTTAAATGAGTCTGTGGTTGAATATATGAAGGAAAAAGCACAGACATTGGTGTCTGCTCTGAGCTAGATCCTGATTCAGCATTTACTAGTCATGAGACTGGGAATAAAGACACAAGCCTTTATAAAATAGGACCTATTTCACAGGGTTGTGGTGAAGATTAAAAATTGAGAATATACAGAGTGCTTAGCCCAGTGTTTGGCATATACTTCTAAGAAAACAATGTGTATTCTTTTCCTACTGTAGCTCCTTAAGGTGCTTTTTCCATCTGTATACAAAAACTAAAGAAAACATTTTTCTTTTTTCTTTTTTTTTTTTTTTTTTTGAGACGGAGTCTTGCTTTGTCGCCCAGGCTGGAGTGCAGTGGTGCAATCTCGGCTCACTGTAACCTCCGCCTCCTGGGTTCAAGTGATTCTCCTGCCTCAGCCTCCCTAGCAGCTGGGATTACAGGCACCCAACACCACGCCTGGCTAATTTTTGTATTTTTAGTAGAAACAGGGTTTCATCATTTTGGCCGGGCTGGTCTTGAACTCTTGACCTTGTGATCTACCTGCCTTGGCCTCCCAAAGTGCTGGGATTACAGGCGTGAGCTACCGCACCTGGCCATGAGAATATATTTCTAGAGTTCATTGCATTGCTAGTGTTTTGAAATTAAAGATGGCCCTACAAGGGAGGCCCCACCCCTGAACTCTTTGGAAGGAACATGAGTTAGGTTTACCATGGTAAAGAGGAAATCCATACTATACATTTCAAAATCACTGATGGAGTAAATTTCAAATATTCTAATGACAAAAAATTTGAGGTGATGGATATATTAATTAGCTTGATTTAATCATTCCACATTATGTTAAAAAATCATAGCATGGCCGGGCATGGTGGCTCATGCCTGTAATCTCAGCACTTTGGGAGGCCAAGGCGAGTTGATCACGAGGTCAGGAGATCAAGACCATTCTGGCTCACATGGTGAAACCCCATCTCTACTAAAAATACAAAAAATTAGCCAGGTATGGTGGCATGCACCTGTAATCTCAGCTGCTCGGGAGGCTGAGGCAAGAGAATTGCTTGAACCTGGGAGGTGGAGGTTGCAGCGAGCCGAGATCATGCCACTGCACTCCAGCCTGGGTGACAGAGTGAGACTCCTTCTCAAAAAAAAAAAAAAAAAAAGTCCTAGCATCACTTCGTACCCCATAAATACATACAACTATAATTTGTCACTATGTAATAATAATGATAATAGAAGAATGAACTCATGATTCTGAAGAAGCTGCAAAAGCCCGCAAATTCTGGTAACATGGAACTAGACCTCTGGTTGGGTAGACCACAGTTTTCTTTTGGATAGAGTCACTTTCTCATATGATACTTAATAAAATTATTAAGTAATGATGAAATAACATTTTTAAAATATCACATAAATTTAAATAACAGTTTATAGTTTTAAATATGTTTGGTTTATTTTTTTCTAATGGGAACAGGATGAAAAGGCATATACATTCTTTAAGCCAAACCTTTAGCGTCGTATCAAATATGTTGCCTGACTTATTGGTGGTGGAGTTGGTAAGATTAAGATAATGGCTCTTATGAAGAGCAGCTTTATGAACCACTTCATTCTTCCAGCCAGTAAGATAGCTATCACTGGTTTTATCATGTGGTCTTGATTTTCATTTTATATATGTTCACTCATTTACAGCTCAAAAACAAAATATATGAGGAAAAACTAATCCGAGTTATAGAAATTAGATTCTGATTTTAGGATGCACTGTTAATTTCTCTCTATACACAAAAAACATGAACTTGTTTGCTTTTCTTTTGCAAGGAGTGTGCTTTTTATCTTTCATTTTTAAAATGTTGAAATAATCTTAAACTCACAAACATTAGAAGCACAGTACCTATGTAACATTTTCCCCCTGAATTATTTGAGATTAGGTTGTGGACATGAAGCATCATCACTCTGAGTACTTCAGCGTATGCTTCTAAGGACACTTTCCTATGTACTAGGTTGGTGCAAAAGTAATTGTGGGTTTTGTCATTACTGTCAATGGCAAAGACCACATGCAATTACTTTTGCACCAACTGAATAACTGCAATATGCAGATTGAATATCCCTTACTTGAAATGCTGGGGACCAGAAATCAGTGTTTTGGATTTCGAGCTTTACAGATTTTGGAATATTTGCAATTATACTAGTTGAGCATCTCAAATTTAAAAATCCAAAATCTGAAGGTGCTCTCATGAGCATTTTTATGAGTGTCTCATTGGTGCTCAAAAAGTTTTAGATTTTGGAGCATTTCAGATTTCAGATTTTTGGATTTGGGATACTCAGCCCTCTAATAACAAAACTCAGGAAGTTAAGGTTGGTGCATTCCTACCATTTATTCCTCAAAACCAAGGTACTGTTCCCTGGGGGGTCTTCTGGCTAATGGAGACTGTCTGGGCTCAGGTGTTAGTTTTACCCCTAACTAACAATCACTTAACCTCTCTATGCTTCTGTTTCTTCCTCTGTGGTGCAGATGATAATAGTATCTATCTACCTCATAGGGTTATTGCAAAAATAATTGTATGTGTGTAGAATGGATGAGTGCCTGGCACATGCTAAGCACTGTGTGTGTGTGTTGGCTTTTACTATTAACATCCCCCCTTCTCCACTCTGTGTGTGCTGCACTGTGCCTGCATGGTGAGAAACTATAACCCTTTACTCTCCACTAACCTCGCCTGCCTTTCTCACATGATCCAAGGAAAGTGAGAGGCAGCATTAAATTAAAGCTTGTGTATATTCTACTCATATCTTGTAGTCATTGCAAAGGCTCTTATATTTACAGGTGATTTTTAAAAAACCTGCTCTTTGTCCCACCTCTGGAGTTAGAATTAGTTCTCAGATACATTCATCCTTTCATGCATTGGGTGTCTATACAGAATTGTCATTGGGAAGTATTTTCAAAGCCCTAAGATGTGCTTTGCAAAGGAAATCTTTCAGGGCTGTAAGAATGGATAATTTCCTGGCTATTAGTTGAATAAGAAAGACATATTTTGCCTTTCAGAGATTGTTATATTTTATAATGCAGAAATGGTTTTGAATATATTTAGTTTTTAAATTTTCAGTAGGTGGTGTGCTAAAGCTTAGTGTCCTTAGCTAGGTCTCATGTTACAAGTAGAGGAGGAGATGGGAGAGGGAATTGGTTTGGCTGGCCACCATTTCTATGAGGAAGGGCACCTGGAAATGGAAAGAAATGAATTGACTACCACATCACCCCCGGAGGCCATGGCTAGGTTGAATGAGAATGATGGTGTTGGCATGAGTTGGATGAACCTTATTTTTTAAAAACTGATAGCCATCCAGACACAAAAGCACAAATACTGTATGACTCTGCTTACGTGAACTTCCATCACTTTCCAGAGCCTGGCTAGCTGAGACGGAGGAGGTGGGCGGCACCTGGGGAGAAGCAGGTGGGCTTCCCTGGAGCAGGGCAGCCATGCTGGGAGAAGCAGAAATGAGGTGGAAGTGGGAAGACATCAGCTTTTAACATGAACCATCATTTTCAATTAGTAATAATGAAAGGCAGTGAGAACCCTGCTTTTAGCAGGGTGCTTGGGAAGAGCAAGTAATTCGTGCATTTTAGGGTTCAGTTTGATTTCCAGCTTTTTTTCTACTGGCTGTCAGCTCTGGGCATACCAGTACCTGCCTCACCAGCATGTATATGTGAGCACAAAACATAGTACTTGCCACATTCTAAACAATAAATATAATTTCTCATTATTAGGTTTTTCATTACTGTTTCAGTGCCTTCCTCTGACCCCACTATATACTGCGGATCTCTGTGATTTCTTCCATGTCTGCTTTGTCCTGTGATTCCCGGAATAGAGTCTGTTGGTCTCTGTCGCTAATGTAATTGAAAAGGCTCTACAAGCTTTGGATGAGTGAAGGAAGCTGAAATCTTTGTTTTAATCTACACATACTTCTACCTCCCATATTATAGATCTGGCAACCTTAAAATTGCTGTCTGTGGTGTGGATATTTATTTATGGGGCTGAACAAAGTAGCCTTGGTTTTGGTTGAGAGAAGAGATCATTTCTATTTTTAAAAAATTTGTGTTAAATATAATTTTAGGAAGAACTTAGCATCTTATCCAGGTCAATGTAAAATCAAATGAAACACATCAGCTCTCCCTACAGGTAGATCTCTCCTTAGAGAAGAGCTCTGTGCAGAAGACTTATGAATAAGTGGAATTTATATATCTCGAATCCCGTTTTTCCTGAATTATGTAATTATTTTAGGTCAGTGATGTAGTAAATGAGGTCTGTCATGTTTTGGCTTTGAGTTTCTTTATTCTCACCTATGCTGTGTCCATTGTCTGTAAAGAGATACTTAAGCACATAAAATAATCTTGTCATTTAAAGGTGTCCCACAGGGAATCTTAGTGTCAGTAATCACCTGTCATATGTCAGGTGGCGAGGTACCAGGCATGATGGGATGTTCCAGGGATGAGTCAAGGGTGTCGCCGGAAGCTAGGGACAGGCAGGGTCTGGACAGGCGTCAGACCCCCCCTCGAGGGTGAATTCCTGTGTCCATTACCTCTTGTCTGAAAGGGACAGAATTAACTCAGGCCCTACTCAGTCAGATGGCCAACCCAAGAGGCGAGACTGGTGGGTGGGATGCAACCACCACCCGTTAGGTGTTGGGAGCAGTGATTCTGCCTGGGGGACTATATCATCATGATTCTGGCCGCCTGGTCTTTTTTTTTTTTTTTTTTTTTTTTTTTGAGATGGAGTCTCACTCTGTCGCCCAGGCTGGAGTGCAGTGGTGTGATCTCGGCTCACTGAAAGCTCCGCCTCCTGGGTTCACGCCATTCTCCTGCTTCAGCCTCCTGACTAAGTGAGACTTCACTGGCCACCTGGTCTTCTTACTCACAGTCCGACCCAAAGGGAGAGAAGGGCACTGGCTACATGATCAGAGGTTCAGGAGGAACAAGCATGCTAGTTAGAGAAACCAAGGCAGTGTCGTTTATATGGACTGTACCAGTTTCGTGGTGTCAGGAAAAGGCTGTGACTTAAAGGGTCTGCCATAGCCCAGCGCTATGGGATGCCTGGTGTGAGCCTCAAGCACAAAGTCAGGCTCCCCAGCTAGCGCATGGAGTTGCAGCTCTTCAAATCCCCTGCTCAGGGCAGACCCAGAGATGGGACAGGGTTGTTCTCTCAGGTGGAAAGCTCCAGGACTACAACTAGGTGGGGCTTGGAAGGCCAAGGTTGACCCTCCACTCACTGCCACACCAGCCTCTCCCTGCCCCACCCCCCCTCACCTGCTTCCCTTTGGCTAGTGTGGTGTTGGGCTTTTGAAACATATTTCGGGCTGAGTGCGGTGGCTCACACCTGTAATCCCAGCACTTTGGGAGGCTGAGGTGGGAGGATTGCTTGAGCCCATGAGTTTGAGACAACCCTGGGTAATATAGACTATGTCTCTACTAAAAAAATTAAATATTAGCCAGGCGTGGTGATGCACACCTGTAGTCACAGCTACTCTGGGGGCTGAGGTGGGAGGATTGGTTTAACCCAGGGGGTTGAGGCTGCAGTAAATGTGATCGCACCGCTGCACTTCAGCCTGGGTGACAAAGGAAGACCTTGTCTCAAAAAAAAAAAAAAAAAAAACCCATATATATGTGTGTGTGTGTATATACATATATATATTTTAAGTGAACATCTGAGACACGAATATTACAAACGGACTCATATATTGGAAAAGTGGAAGGTACCTGGGAGATCTCCTCTCATGGCCTATATTTCTAGAGAGAGCTTACACTTGCTGAGACACTTACGCTACTAGAGAGCAGTGTTTCTGCACCAGAATCTCCTGGAGAGCTTGTTAAGTTTAATTGCCGGGCTCCTTCCCCAGAATTTTGGAATTGGTATGTCTGAGGTGGGGCCTGAGAAGCTGCGATTCCAACAAGTTCCCAGGAATGCTGCTGCTCCAGCAGCCACATCTTGAGAACTACTGTGGTAGAGCAATCCATTTAGTCATACTATGAATTTAAATTATAAATATAGTTGTCTAGTCTACCATTACTATAAATATCTTTTATTGATATGCTTGTCTATGTCTCTTTTGAACAGGTATTTTGATGTTGGACTGCATAATTTCTTAATCAGGTAAGCCAATAATTTTTATTTTAGATAACATTGAATAACATGTCTATTATGAAAGATTGAAATGGAAAATCTTTGTTAAGTATCTTGATAAATAATGGCACTTATATATATACTTGTCAAGAAAACATTGCTAACACTATGGTTTTTTCTGTTTCCCAGAATCACACGATTAAACAATTAAAGAAATCAATGTTTAAAGAGGCTTATTTCTGAAGTGATAGTTACCTAAGATCTTGACAAGTATAATTCCAACTACTAGGCTGCTGGGAAAACTAATTGAAAAATTAGGAGTGCCAGCTTGTATTCAGACGTTAAACAACCCCCTTAACCAATTTTCCCTCCACTGAATTTAATCTTTTTAAGTGGAATCTTCCAGTTGCTTTATAGTTGTGAAGATACAACCTTGTTCATAATTGAAAGAGATTACAGATGGCAGTTTATATCCTAGTTTATTAATGATTTTTACCAGAGTTGGCTTATGGGACATATTAATTTCAAATAGCTGTTAAATGTAACAGAGGTTAAATGGAAATAGACCAGCATATTAATCATAGTTTTAAGAATATGCATATTTTGTCTGCTATCAACTTTGCTGTGTTTTCTAAATGTATTAATATTGAGCATGTATTACTCTAATACTGGTAAATAATGATCGTTAAAATGCTTGTCAGAAATATTGAGGGAAGCAGAAATGGTTGCCGAAAGACTGCAAGCTAAAGATGACAAGGAAACCAGAAATTATGTAGAGCGATTTGCTTTCTGCAGGTATGCATCTCTAAATGCTAGTTAATTCTGACTAATAGCCTGATAATGAACAGTCTGTAGACTCCATGTGATTTTTGGGTAAGTGTTATGGTGGTTCTTTTCTGTACAATGCATGGCCATCTCCCTATTGGTAAGATGCTCTTTGAGAGGAAGTGTACATAATTGACATCACCTTTATCCCCACCAAAAACCACATTTCCTCCACACTGGATATGGTGATGTTCCGAGTGAGGCCATGCATACCTTGTCCTCTTTGACCTCTTTTCCAAGGCTCATCCAAGTCTGCACAATGAAATCTCCTCGGCCTCCCCCATACTCAAGGAATAAGGATGGTCCTGGCTTTCTCCAGGATCCAGACACAGATAGTAGTGTGTGAACTGCTATCTTCGACACAGCAAGGATAAATACATTTTAGCAGGAGGGACAAAGAACCAGCAGTCATGGGAAAGCAGGCATGAACATTCCATATTTGAACTGATCAGAAGAATCTGTCTGGATGTATTAATACTTCAGGGAGTAGTTCGAGTTTTTTATTTAATGTCTTTGGTGCTTTGTACAACTCCCATTGTACTGTTCCCTTAATGCCTTGTAGTGGATGCAAGTTTGTACTCTTCTTATTTTTTCTAGTAAATTTATTGAGGTCAGCGATCATGTCTTAGTCACCTATCAATGATTAGATTCAGAAACTTGTATAGGATCAACCTTCAACAAACATTAGGGCTAGGAGGGAATGAATGAGATGAGACAGAAAGGACAAGGGGGGTGAGGCAGGTTGAGAAAAAGCTGTACAGTCATTTATTCAGCAAATAACTTAAGCCTACCATGTCCACTTACTTGGATATGTCTGGGAATGCTGTCACTTGCAAAAACAGACATTTGATTTGAAGCTTTCCATGTGTTTATCCCTTGCCAGGCCTGTAGTTAGAGAGAGCAGTGGTCTGCCTTTGCGATCCCTCTTCTCTTTCCTTCTGGGCTCCAACCATTCCTCCTATGTTGGGTCTGGAGGAAGGAGAGGCAGTGGTCAAGTGTCTCTAATGTGACTGAGACTGGTATCCCCTTGCTCTGGCAGGAGGCCCTTTTGGGCAGGTGCTGGAAGATGCTCTAACTGGTCACCTTAACCAGTGTTCTGTGAAGCAAGCAGAACTGGGAGGGTAAGGCTTCTCTCTACCTTGCTGTGCTGTATTCTGTGTTTCCTTTCCCTCATTCAGGTAGGGGGCAGAGTAAATCAGCAGGTTTATTGCTTATCCAACTGGGGAATGAGAAGTCAGTTTTGCAGGCATCCCTAGCCTCTGGGAGTAGATCTCTTCCTCTCCCATCACATGACAGTGCGCCCCAACAAGCAAACAACTTAATGACTCCAAGGAGTCCCTTCATCTTTCCTCTTCCCAGCTTGGGAGTAAGGGGTAGGGGTGTTAAAGATGGTGGCTGGGAGCAGAGTCAGTTCTCCATCTCACAGTAATCCCAGAATGGGGTGGATCTCACCTCTTTATTTGTAGCTCTCTTCAGAAAGTGAGTATTTTCAGGCCAGGCACGGTGGCTCACGCCTGTAATCCCAGCACTTTGGGAGGCTGAGGCAGGTGGATCATGAGGTCAGGAGATCGAGACCATCCTGGCTAACACGGTGAAACCCTGTCTCTACTAAAAATACAAAAAAATTAGCCGGGCATGGTGGCGGGCTCCTGTAGTCCCAGCTACTCGGGAGGCTGAGGCAGGAGAATGGCATGAACCTGGGAGGCAGAGCTTGCAGTGAGCTGAGATTGCGCCACTGCACTCCAGCCTGGGCGATACAGCGAGACTCCGTCTCAAAAAAAAAAAAAAAAAAAAGTATTTTCAGCCAGGTGCAGTGGCTCATGCCTGTAATCCCAGCACTTTGGGAGGCCAAGGCAGGCAGATCACTTGAAGCCAGGAATTCAAGGCCAGCCTGGGCAATATGAAAAAAAATAGTGCCTCTACTAAAAATACAAAAATTAGCCAGGCGTGGTGACACACACCTGTAATCACAGCTACTTGGGTGGATGAGGCATGAGGATCACTTGAACCCAGAAGGCCAAAGCTGCAGTGAGCCGAGATGGGGCCACTATACTCCAGCCTGGGTGACAGAGTAAGACTCTGTCTCAAAAGAAAAAGAAAAAAAAAGGTATTTTCTGCCCCCAGCTTGGGAGGGAAGTCAAACCTGATGGGACCCAGCACCATTTATGACTGGACACCTTAGTAAGAACTGTTTCACTGGGACAGTGACCCTGAGGCTAGGTTGAAGACGGTGGGGTTAGCAGTGAGGGAATGGCAGCAGCAGCTCCTTTAAGAAGATAAGCTGTGAAGGGGAAGAAAGAAAGACAGGGCAGCTGGTGGAGAGGGCGGGTGGAGTGGATATTTTTTTCTTTTTAATGGGATGAACTCTTGTATTTAGCCACCAGAAGGTCTTAAGTGTCCTTTAGACTTAGAGAAAGCAGTTTCATTTAGGTGGAGAGAAGTAGAGCCTGATTCCTAGGGGGAGTGAGTGGTCCCTTAGTAACCTCAGACAGCAATGGCATTTTCTTGTAAATATGTCATTAGAGAAAACCTTAGAGGGTTGGAAGAGTGAGAGGGATGGTACTTAAGGAATCCTTCTCACTCTATAATGGACAAGAGAAGAAAATATACTTCCCTTTGTAAAAGAGCAAATGTGGGAGAAATTGTCATACGTTCCCCACACCCCCTCAAGATTAACTACATTTATTAGCTCCAACAAGCTCTTAATGTGCAGTTTGGTTTGTCAGGCTGTATTGAATGCTTAGTGTTTGGCATAAAAAAAAAAAGCTGCAGCATGCCCTGAAATTAATCAGCTGCATCTTTTAAATTGATGGAAGTCATGTCGACTTCTCTGGAATGACGTAAATTTCCACAAAGCCAAGAGCCCTATCTTTGATCTCAGACTAGGCATTTGCAAGGAGGGACATGCTTCCTTTTAAGCCTTGGAGTGCTCCACTGAGCCATGGGGGCAGGAAAGAGCTGTCACATTTAATGAAATGTGGGCACTGTTGATATTAGTGTTTTGTGATGACTGTGGGAAAATTCAGTGAGCCCAGTCCTGCATCTTATAGAAATCATAGACAGAAGCAGCAATCACAACTCACCTAGGGATGGCCTCAGAAGAAGCCTACTGGCTGGAGTTCTTAAATGTGACACCGCACAAGAAAAGGTGACCAACCTGGGGAAAGAGATTACAGAATAAAAATCTCTGTTTCATTATAGATAACAGGGTGGCTTGTTTAAATTTAGCTTAGTTTAGCTTTGGCAAGAAAGTAAGTGATTTTGGTTTGATTCTTGCTGACTGAGGCATTTTTCTTTTATTTTTCTTTCTTCTTTTATCTTTGAATAGATATGGGGTTTTGCCATGTTTCCCAGACTGGTCTTGAACTCATGAGCTCAAGCGATCCTCCCGCAGTGCTGGGATTACAGGTGTGAGCTACTGCACCTGGCCAGCACTTTTCATCTTACTCAGAATTGTAGCCAGCACTGTCTCTTTTAAGACAAAGGTGTACATGTGGTCTCACTTATATGTGGAATTTAAAAAAATTGAACTCATGGAAACAGTAGAATGGTAGCTACCAAGGTCTGGGAGTAGGGACTGAAGAAATGTCAAGGAATACACAATTTCAGTTAGAGAGGAGAAGGAAGTTCAAGAGCTCTATTGTATCATAGGGTGACAATAGCTAATAATGATGTTTTCTTGAAAATTGCTAAGACAGGAGATTTTAGGCTTTCTCACCACAAAAAAGATAAATATAGGAAGAAATGCATGTGTTAATTAGCTTGATTTAACCATTTCACAATGTAAAAGTATTTCAAAACATGTTGTACACCATAAATATATACAATTTTTGTCAGTTAAAAAATAATATTTTAAAAACGATGAATGATACTTGTTTTGTTGCCTCCCCCACCTCTGACTGCTCCTATCTGACCTCCTCAGGTGGGGCAGTAGTTTTCAGCAGGATAACATCATGAGCAGGATAACATCATGACTTTAAAAAAAATTGACACACTGTATTTATATTTATGGGGTACAATTTGACGTTTTGATGTATCTATGTTGTATAATGATCAAATCAGGTTAGTTAGCATATTGGTCATCTCATACATTTATTATTTGTGGTGAGAACATCCAAAAGCCTCTCTTCTAACTATTTGGTAATATACAATACCTTACTGTTAACCATTGTCACTCTACTGTGCAATCGGACACCAGAACTTACTCTTCCTATCTAATTGAAACTTTGTACCCCTTTGCCAGCCTCTCCCTATCCTCCCCTCTCTACCCCCTCTATGGTAACCACTGTTTTATTCTCTGTTACTGTGTTATGAATTTTTTTAAGCTTCCACATATCAGTGAGATCATGTGGTATTTGTCTTAGTTTGTCTGGATCTTCTCAGTTAACATGACGTCCTCCAGATCAATCCACGTTGTCACAAATAACAGGATTTCATTCTTTTTTATGGCTGCATAGTATTCCATTGAGTTGCCAAAATCAAATAAAATATAGAGATGAATCTCTAAATTTAAAACATTTTATTTGGCCCCAGGCACGGTGGCTCGCACCTGTAATCCCAGCACTTTGGGAGGCTGAATCGGGTAGATCACTTGAGGCCAGGAGTTTGAGACCAGCCTGGCCAACATGGCAAAATCCCATCTCTACTGAAAATACAAATATTAGCCGGGTATGGTAGTGCACGCCTATAATCCTAGCTACTTGGGAGGCTGAGGCATGAGAATCTTTTGAACCTGGGAGGCGGAGGTTGCAGTGAGCTGAGATCATACTACTGCACTCCAGCCCTGGGTGACAGAGCAAGACACCGTCTCAAAAACAAACATTTGGGAAGCAAGAAGTTTCAATTCAGGGCATACATACAGACCAGGTGGTCTTCCGTATGTCCAGAGAACAAATAGAAAGTTGGGAGTTTTATTAGAAAGAGAAATGTTATGTATTGTTTTGAAAGAAAGCTCATTGGCACTAGAGAGGCTTTTGAGAGATGGTAAGCTCTGATTGGTGACTGATGATGGTAAATAAAACCAGTGTTAGAGTCTTGGGAGGTCATTTCAGCAGCTACTAGGTAAAACTGGTCTTAGGGTTACAGCAGTCTGTTTTAGCACCTGAGCTTGTGGAACATTTAACTCTTGGAACAGGTGCTATGTGTCCCTAGTGCTTTTCTTCCTTGGCCCCTCAACTCTGATTTAGTTGGGTATGACAAGAGTGACCCAATTTGTATAATTAACTTTCACAGTGTGTATATGCCACATTTTCTCTATCTGTGCATCTGTTGTTGGACACTTGAGTTGATTCCATCTCTTGGCTATTGTCAATAGTGCTGCAGTAAACATGGGAGTGCAGATATTTCTTCAATATACTGATGTTCTTTCCTCTGGACATATACCCAGTAGTGGGATTGCAGGATCATACAGTAGTTTGGTTCTTAATTTTTTGAGGAACCTCCAAACTGTTTTCCAAAGTGGCTGTACTAATTTACATTGTCACCAACAGTGTGCAATGTAAAGAGTTCCTTTATCTGCACATCCTTGCCAACAATTTTCTTTGCTTTTTTTTTTTTTTTTTTGAGGCAGGGTCTCCCTCTGTCACCCAGGCTGGAGTGCAGTGGCGTGATCATGGCTCACTGCAGCCTCAACCTCCTGGACTCAAGCAATCCGCCTACCTTAGCCTCCAGGTAGCTGGGGCTACAGGCATATACCACCATGCCCAGCAATTTTTTTTGTTTTTTGGTAGAGACAAGGTCCTACTGTGTTGTCCAGGCTGCTTTTGAACTCCTGAGCTCAAGCGATTCTCCTGCCTTGGCCTCCCAAAGTGATGGGGTTAAAGGTGTGAGCCACCACACTTGGCTTTTTTTTTTTTTTTTGTCTTTTTGGTAATAGCTATTCCAACTGGGGTGGGGTGGTATCTCATTGTGGTTTTGATTTGCATTTCCATGATGATGGGTGATGTTGAGTATCTTTTCATATACCTGTTGGCCATTTGTATATCTTCCTTTGAGAAATGTCTATTAAAGTCTTCAGCTCATTTTAAAACCCTTTGTTTTTTTGTTTTTTTGAGACGGAGTCTCACTCTATCACCCAGACTGGAGTGCAATGGCGTGATCTCAGCTCACTGTAACCTCTGCCTCCTGGATTCAAGTGATTCTCCTGCCTCAGCCTCCTGAGTAGCTGGGATTACAGGCACCCACCACCATGCCCTGCTAATTTTTTGTATTTTTAGTAGAGACAGGGTTTCACTGTGTTGGCCAGGCTGGTCTCGAACTCCTGACCTCGTGATCCA